>NC_000001.11:190684587-191309587 GCF_000001405.40 Homo sapiens | reverse complement strand
CAATGCAGAGCACACTTTCAGGGTCCTTCAGCTACAGTGCAGTGTGAGAACTTGCAGACACAACTCCATCTGCCTTGAGCAGCTTTGCTGAGTCTTGAGGGATAGGCTCATCATGAAACATATGCTTCCAGTGCCCATTATTGCCTGTGAGTAAAAAGTTGCTTGATTTAAATTTTTGTATGAATATTCAGTCTCTTGTGACTTATGCAAGTGGATTTAGATTGGTGCTTGGTATGGGTGAGTAGAGTCCTCTTCTGAGATTGATACCTGAGCACAGTGAACCTGCTTCACAAGACCCCTCCTGTTTTGACTGAGAATACCACAAATTGGAGTGTATTCCTTTTAAATCTGTACCATACAGTAGGGCCGGGCGCGTTGGCTCACGCCTGTACTCGCAGCACTTTGGGAGGCCGAGGTAGGTGGATTACCCGAGGTCAGGAGTTAGAAATCAGCCTGGCCAACATGGCGAAACCCCATCTCTTAAAAAAAAAAAAAATACAAGTTAGCAGGGTGCAGTGGTGAGTGCCTGTAATCTCAGCTACTCAGGAGGCTGAGGCAGGAGAATCGCTGGAACCTGGGAGGTGGAAGTTGCAGTGAGCCGAGATTGCACCATTACACTGCAGCTTGGGTGACAGAGTAAGACTCTGTTTCAAAAAAAAAAAAAAAAAAAATTCTGTACCATACAGTTCTAATTTGTTTTACCATTGACTACTCATCATAATGATCACAACATTAATAACAAGAACTTTTTCTGATCCAGAAATATTTTAAATATGTGTATTTTATTAAAATTTATAAGGTGATTAACATTATTGTCACTTTTCACCTCAATTTTACGGATTATGAATCTAAGACAAGAGTTGAAGCAGCTTGCTTAGAATCCGACTCTACTAGGTTTATTTCAAGATTCAAATCCATGTGACTTTGGACCCAAGCCTGTGTTCTTAACTGCCCCACATGAAAGAATGAATGTTGTTTCAAATATTCATATGTTAATCTGCAATGTCTTCATTAACTCAGATTGAGAATCTTTTATCTTTTTTTTTTATTTGCTCTGATGTGGTCTTTTAGATGTTAACGTTGCATATTAACCAAATGTTTCTCCATGATTAAAATAAAATTTCTATTTAAAAAATCTTATATCAGTTAGTGTTTAAAAATATTTTAAAAACATGAAATTATTTTAATGATTAAGTAAAATGTTAGACATTCAAAACAATCTTAACAATGAGTTGAGGTCAGTAAGCTTTAACCTGATGAGTGTTATACTCACAAAACTATAAAGAAAGTAAAGAAAAATAATATATATTTATCACAAATGTGAGAATGGAATAAAAATCAGAACGGAGAACTCCAGTGGAAAGAAAACAAATTATGAAAGGAAGGATGTTCACTCTCTTTAGGGAGTAGAACCAAATACAATTTTCTTTGTTGTTTTTTGTAAATTGTTGTCTTGTAAATTCAAGACAAACTGAAAATAAAAGAAATAATGTGAACTGAACTCTTTATGGAGAGAGAGAATTGTCACTTTAAAGTCAATTATAATCTTTTAACACAACCATGAGAAGATACAGGAAACTGAACAAATAGAGTTCAAGTTATCAGTCAAGGCTGCACTGCATACTCTCTATTCCAGTCAATTTAGACAGAAACTTCATATTAATGCATTTGTGTTCTATTTACTACTTACAAAAATGAGCAAAATAATTCAATGTAGATTATGCATGTTAGCACCACAGAGGTGGAGGTTCTGGGATGTAGCTAGAATAGGGTTTGTGTGTGGGCACAATGAGTTCTTAAAAGGGGTAATCGTTAGTCATGTATGAAATACTTCCTTGGACTACAGACAAAGAGCATATATGTATGTGCATAAAAGCTCTGTGAAAGGAGTTATTTTAATTCATAGAAGGGCACGCACCTCCCCCAATTAAATGAGCATTGTTTTAACATACAAATTCTGAACATTAATCACGTTTTATTAGTGACTTGTAAGTTCTTGCATAAATATTTAGGCAAAATAAAATAGTTTTTATGTAGTGTATTTTTTTCCTTTACAACTAAGCCTATTTGTACAGACTTCTTATGAAACCACGTTTTACATTAGAGTTTTGACCTAAAATGACAAATACAGAGGGTAAATTGTACAAAACTAACAGTTTTATAAATAGTGCATTGTTTGAATTAAATGAGCAATTTGGATTTTTATAATTACAATAATAAAAAAGTGTCAGTTTTCAGTAGCTATGTTATGGTTTGAATTTATGTGTCTGTCCAAAACTAAATTTAAAACCTAATTTTCAAGGTGATGGTAATGGCAGCAGTGCACTGTCTGTAGCGCCACTACCATCATGCCAGCTGCTTAAGGGAGGGTGCAGGGAGGAGGCGGACAGACCACCAAAGCCCACCGCCCTGGGAGCTGCTGTGATGGGGCCAGGGCAGGTTGGCCACCAGCAGAAAAGAGCGAGCTTGGGCAGACAGAGTCCCTGAGGTGGAGCTGGGCCCAGGGCAGTGCTGCGCTTGCACACGAAGTGTGGGTGCTATGCCCAGGGCAGGAAGTGGGAGTGGCATCTTCTTTAGGGACCCAGCCAATGATGCAGCCACTACACCCACCCCGCTGAGGGTGCCAGGTTCCAGTGCCTCTGAAGGAGGCTCTGTGTGAGGCCATTTGGGGTCACTTCCCCAGGGTCCACCCCACATTGGAGTGACTCCTGAGCCTGACACTTCTGTTGACTACCTGGGTCTCATCATCCACCCCACCCTGGGCTGCCCCGAGCACCGGGGCAATGGGGGGAAGTTTGTGGTGATATCCCCCCTGCCCCAGACATTGGAGTGGGCCCAACAAGGACCTGAAGGCTGGGACCCGGGCTTCCCATCCTGTGAACCAGAGTGGGGACTTGTGGTGCCTTTTCCAGGCCCGCCAATGGCTGCCCATGGGTCCTCCAAGGCCCATAAAAGCCCCACGTTCAGTTAGAGCTCAGCAGATGTTAGGACGACCAACTGCAGAGAGGAGCTACCCACTCCAGGGACTCTTCACTGCTGAGAGCTGGGAAGATGAGGGGGTGACCTTCCTGCAGTAAGTTCCCACTTCATGGTCTCCTGTCTGCTAGGAGCTGAACAATCATAAGGATACCCTGGCTGCAGAAAGGAGCTACCCAGTGCGGCTCTCCTCTGAGCTGTTCTATCACTTAATGAAACTCCTTGAAGTCTTGCTCACCCTCCACTTGTCTGCGTAACTCATTCTTCCTGGGTGCAGGACAAGAAGTTGGGACCCACTGAATAGGGCTAAAAGAGCTGTAACAAAAGACTTGGGAGCTTCTAAAGCCAGGGCTTTGATTCCCTTTTGGGGCTTGCAGTTCCTGGCATCTCCAAGTTTCCAGGTACCCACCATGTTTCCTGGTGCCAGCTGCAGAAGCTGCTTGCAGTGCACCTGGTCCAGCTGCAGCCTCATGCAGAGCCAGTGCTCATGCTGGCACCTGGAGATTCCTACCCCATTGCAGCAGTCAGAATGTCTGACTGCACAGTAGACAGACCCCACACTCACTCACACACCCCTCACCATTCCATTTAGTCTCCCTCAGCAGGTGTGGGATCCCGGCCAGTGTTGTGAGCCGAGCACAGCCTGCCAGGTTGAGTGGGCAGAATGAGCCCAGAGGGCCCAAGAAAAACTTGGGGAAAGGCACCACTGGCCACAGAAGTGTCCAGCCAGAAAAGTGACAACCTGAAGATCCTGTAACAATGGTTTTAAAAGGTGGGGACTCTGCAAGGTGATTATTCATGAGGGCTCCACTCTTGTAAATGGGACTGATGCTCTTATAAAAGGGGCTTCAGACAGCTTCCTCTCATTTCTGCTGTGAGGACACAGCAATAATACCACCATCTTGGAAGCAGAGAGCAGCCCTCTCCAGATTCTGAATCTGCAGGCAATTTGATCATGCACTTTGCAGATTCCAAAATAGTAAAAAAAAAAAAAAAAAAAAGTTTCTATTATCTATAAATTACTTAAAGTTACGCAATCTAAGGTATGTTGTTACAGCAGTAAGAACAAACTATGACAAGCCAGATAGCAGGTATGTTTTTAAGTCCATAGATTTTCCTCTCTGCTTTACAATCTGGAGAGTTGTCACTTCCATTTTTTATATAAGGAAACTGAGTCTCAGAGAGCTTATGCAATGTACCTTGGGGCATGTATCTACCAGTGATTAATACAGCCTAGAAATGCCTAATTCAAAAAGCTGGTCTGAGCTCACAAAAAGGGTGTGTATAAGCTGGGCTATAGAGGACATGAAGAAAATGGGAGACACACTGCTCAATAGTAAATATGAAATTATAGGAGACAATGTGACCTAAAGGGCCTTCGAATTCAGCCCTGGTTATGCTGTTAGCCAGAAGAGAAACACCTTTGTCCATTGTCCACTGTGATCTCTGGCTCTATCCTCTGGGAGATTTTTTTCCCCTCATTATCTATTATTGCCATACAATCTCATAGTTTATATGTGGAAGACCAACTATCACATGAAATGTGGCCCAGCCAAGTCACTAAAGAAGGTAACTCTAGAGATTTGGAGTCAAAGATATTCCTAGCAATAAAAGTGCTGTGTAGCTGATGTATCTTCAGTGCTTAGTAAGATCTGTTGTAGCCCTGGGAAATTGATCATGAATTTGGATTAAGAATCCTGACCACGTTCATCATCCCAAATAAAACTTTCTTACAAATGCTTGACATATAGCTCTATTTAACAGCAAATATGCTATTTCTTAGCACTTTGTGATTATACTTGACATTTAGAAAAGATTGTAAAATATAGAGTTGTCAATCTAAAATACAACAAATAATGTCATTATGTTATACTCTTCATAATATAATACATACAATAAGTAAGATGTTCAAGCATATGAACCTTTAGATAATAAATTAAGAATTTTTTGGTTTGATAGATTATTATAGCAAATTTTGGTATTTTTCATTCATTAATAAGATAGAAAATCTATGTTAGATCCCTAGTTGTCACATTATGTCTTAATGATTCATTGTGCTTAGTATATTTCATGTAGTATTTCAAGTCAAACATGCAACCAGTAAGAAAAATTGAACTGAGTTAAATGTAAAATGTTAGTTATTTTTAAAAAGTATTTCAAAATCATTTATTTCAAACACATTTTTATGTTTTCCTGATCAGACTCGTGTTTTATAATCTGAAGGTTAAAAAATGTCAACAAAGACACAGATAACAGAAAAAAAGTGCATTACACATATTACACAAAATTTTTGACATTAATGTAATGGCAAATGATATAATGTATCAGTTCCAAAATAAAAAAAATAATATAAATTAATCTATTTTTGCTAAGCATGCAGATTAATTTCAACATGATCCTCAGAAATTAGATGGATGATGTTTACAATTTTAGCTTTGACATTTGGTATGAATTTAAATGTATCCTTAATGGTCTGATATGAAGTTATTAATACATCTTGAAATAAATATATGGCCTTTATAATAAATGGTAAAATATTCCACCCAGATTACCAAATAATCACATTTTAAATGGTGTCTCTCAAGAGTCCTTAGAAGTAATGTTTTATTTTTTTCTTTTACTTTGCTAAGTTCCAATAATTTTTTCTTTAAGTCTTGATCTTTTGTGGAAACTAGTAGTGCCATATTATTCATGCATGACATTGATTTTGTTGATAAGACATTAACACTTTATTGATGCAATGTTATTCTCATGGATGAGATAAAGCTATACCTGTTTTCCCTGTTTCTCAAATTTGATGTGTGATGTTATTAGTTAATGCACAAGGAAAACTACACATAACATAAAAGACTTTATGGAAAATTGGGACAAAATGGCCAACTAGTCACAGCCAGGAAGAATGTCTTCAGCTGAGACAAGCCAGAATAACGAGTAGATCAGCATAATCCAAACAGTCCACCTGTGAGAACTCATTATGAGTGGATAGAGAGATGATTCAGATGTCAGGGATGAATGGGGAGGAAGATAGGAACCCTTTGCAGGGTTGTTGAGAACCAGGATGTGTTCCACCCCTGAATGACTTCTAAAGAATGGATGAATGGAGTTAACGCAGAGTGGCCTACTCTCACCATAGACCTCTGAGATCGTATCTGCAAGAAAACTTACAAGCTCCAAGGACATTTACATGGGCAGGGGGAACTGTCCAGAGAGTAGGCAGAGAAAGAACTTGAATCTGCAGGGACCCCAGGTGGTCTGGCATGGGTATTCTGCAGTTGTATTTGGCCATAGGTGCCTATTCTCCAGGGCTCTCTGTAACCCTCTAGGCGGTACTGACCTGTATGGTCTGCTGGACCTGGAGAAAGCAGGGCTATCTTTCCCATGGGACCAGGGAGAGTCAGATTTATGTCCCCCTGACTACCAGCTCCTCACAGAGTCCATCCTTGGCTGTGCCAGCAAACAGTGCAGCCTCAGCTACCTCACAGAAATATGTTTGCCAGCAAACACTGCCATAGCATTTTCAACAGAGGCCACTGCTGCCCCACCAGAGTGCTTTTGCTGACACCCTCCTGCTAAAGAGCATTCACCCAAAACCCTGTCACCTCTCCTCTGCAGCATGTTTGCTTGCAGTACCATAGCCTCCCCTGTAAGAGCATTGCACACCTGCAGTGCCTTTCTGTACTCATTGGAGTGCTTTCTGCACACAGTGCCTCTGCCACCTTCACCAGAGTGATTTGACTGACAGCCCACCACCAGAGCATATTAGCCTATAATCCTACCACCACCCGCACCAGAGTGAGTTCCCTGGGCATGTTTGCATGTGACCCAGCTGTAGCTGCCACTGGAGTGCATTTGCCCATGGTGCCCATGAGGCCCATGATGAAGTGCTGTTGCCAGCAGTCTGAGAGTACCTCAGCTACTCCAGCCCAGCCAAGGCTCAACATCAAAAGACCTGAAGACCAAGCTCACACCCAGTCCCAGGCAGCCATGATTAGAGCACAAAGTGCCGGAGTGAGGAGATAATCCTGGCCCTTGGAAAGCATATGGAAATCAAGCCCGTCAACTATATCCACTGGCACCACAGTCCTCAAGGGCAATGAAGTACATGAAAAAAAAAAAAACAAACTCTCTCAAAGGACAGAAATATCAAAGGATAAGAGAACATTAGACTTCACAGATGAGAAATAACCAGTTCAATAATTTTGGTAACTCTAAAAGTAAAGCATGTCTTCTTACCTCCAAGCAATCACACTAGCTCCTTAGCAATGGTTCTTAACCAGACTGAAATGGCCAAAATGTCAGACATAAAATTCGGAATATGATGGGAAAGAAGCTCATCAACATACAGAAGACAGCTGAAACCCAAACCAAGGAAAACAGTAAAATGATCCAAGAGTTGAAAGACAATGTAAGCATTTTATGAAAGAACCAAACTGAACTTCTGAAAATAAATAATTCACTACAAGACTTTCAAAATACAATTGTCAGCTTTATCAGCAGAACAATAGCTCAAGCCAAGAATAGAATCTCAGAGCTTAAAGACTACTCATTTGAAGCAACATAGGCAGACAAAAATAAAGAAATAAGAACTTATCAAAATGAACAAAACCTTCAAAAATAAGAGATTATGTGAAAAGAGCAAACCTATGACTCCTTGGTTTTCATGGAAGAGAAAAAAAGAGAGCAAGCAACTTGGAAAATATATTTGAGAATATAGTACACAATATTTTCCCCAAGCTCTCAAGAGAGGTCTACATGCACATTCAAGAAATTTAAAGAACTCCTGTGAGATACTACGCAAAACAACCATCCCCAAGCCACATGGTCATCAAACTCTCTAAGACTCTAAGGTGAATGTGAGAAAAAAAAAGCCTTAAACACAGCTAGAGAAGATGGGCAGGTTACTCACAAAGGGAACCCCATCAGTTTAACAGCAGACCTTACAGCAGAAATCTTACAAGCCAAAATAATTGGAAGCCCATTTTTAATATGATTAAAAGAAATTGCAAATAACAAATTCATATTCCGCCAAACTAAACTTCATAAGCAAAGGAGAAATTTTTTTTTCAAACAAGCAAATGCCAAGGAAATTTGTTACCACTAGACCAGCCTTACAAGATGGCTTAAAGGGAATGCAAAGCATGAAAATGAAAGAACAATGCATGCCACCACAAAGACACAATTATGTACAAAGACTGTTGACACAATAAAGCAACTACACAATCAAGTCTACATAACAACCAGCTAATGACATGATGACAGAATCAAATTCTCACATATCAGTATTGACCATGAATATAAATGGGCTAAATGTCCCACGTAAAAGGCTTTGAGTAGAAAGTGGAATAAAGGAGCAAAATAAAACTGTCTGTAGTCTTCAAGAGACCCATCTCACAAGTAACAACACCCATGGGCTCAAAGTAAAGGGTTGGAGAACAATCTACCACACAAATGGAAATTTAAAAAGAGAGCAGGGGTTGCTATTTTTATATTAGATAAAACAAATTTTAAAACAACAATGATGAAAACACAAAGAAGAGCATTACATAATGATAAATGTTTCAATCCCACAAGAAGCCCTAATTATCCTAAATATACATACACCCAACATGGCAGCACCCATGTTCTTAAAACAAGTTCTTAGAATTATGTAAAGAGAATTGCACAACCACACAATCATAGGGAGTGACCTGAACACCCCACTGAAAGAGTTATACAGATAATAGAGGCTGAAAACTAATAAAGATATTCTAGACTTAAACTTGACCCTTGACCAATTGGACCTAATAGCTATCTACAGAACACTCCCCACAACAACCACAGAATATACATCCTTCTCATTAGCACATGGCACATACTCTAAGATTGACCACATGCTTAGCCATAAAGCAAGAACTTTTGCATAGCAAAATAAACTACCAATAGAGTAAGCAGACAATCTACAGAATGGGAGAAAATATTTACCAACTATGCATCCAAAAAAGGTCTAATAACCAGGATCTATAAGTAATTTAAACAATTAAGCAAACATAAAACAAGTAACCCCATTTAAAAATGAGCAAAAGACATGCACAGACACTTCTCAAGAGAAGACATACATGCAGCCAACAAACATGAAAAAAATGCTCATCATCAGTAATCATTAGATAAATATATATGAAAACCACAGTAAGATACCATCTCACACCAGTTAGAATGGCTACTATGAAAATGTCAAGAAACAATAGATGCTGGTGAGACTGTGGAGAAAAGGGAACACTTAAACACTTCTGGTGGGAATGTAAGTTGGTTCAGCCACTGTGAAAAGCAGTCTGAAGATTTCTCAAAGAACTTAAACAGAACTACTA
This sequence comes from Homo sapiens, assembly GCF_000001405.40. NCBI lineage: Eukaryota > Metazoa > Chordata > Mammalia > Primates > Hominidae > Homo > Homo sapiens. The sequence continues at coordinate 191,300,267 of NC_000001.11, read as the reverse complement.
TTTAATCCAGTAATCCCACTACTGGGTATATACTCAAAGGAAAATAAATTGTTCCACCAATAAAACACATGCATACACATGTTTATCACAGCACTATTCATAAGAGCAAAGACATGAAATCAACCTAGATGCCTATCAGTGGTGGACTTGACAAAGAAAATGTGGTACATATATACCATGGAATACTACACAGCCATAAAAAAGAACACAATCATGTCCTTTGCAACAATATGGATGGAGTTGGAGGCGATTTTCCTAAGTTAACTAATGCAGGAACAGAAAACAAAATACTGCATGTTCTCACTTGTAAGTGGGAGCTAAACATTAAATACAGGATCAAAAGGAATTATAGACTGCTTGCAGTGTAGGTGGGAGGGGAACATGGGTTGGAATGCTACCCATGGGGTTCTATACCCACCACCTAGATGACGGGATTATTTGTACACTAAGCCTCAGCAACACACAATTTATCCAGGTAACAAACCTGCACATATACTCCTTTAACCTAAAATAAAAGTAAAGAAAAAAAGTTGTCAAAAAAGTAAAAAAAAAAAAAAAAAGAAATAGAAAACTCAAATTTAAGTTTTCTCTGAAGTTAATACTTCTCAATCCTGCTTTCTGTCTTTTTGCCTTTTCTTGATGTATTTTTGTTAATTCAACTGCTTTAAAACTTATAGTGTTGTCAGCTTCAACTTGAATATTGCATTCTGACCAAATCAACAAATCCTTCTTGGTTAGCAGAAATGTTTCAACTATTTAAATAAAGTCTCATTGTGTATTTTAAATGAAAAAAACAAGTCACAAAGTAGTGTGCAAATTTATTTGTGCTTCATTGTGTCTGGTATTTTTATCTATTAAATATATATTAGCAGTCTTAAAGTATATATGCTAAGATGCATGTTTATCTTTATATTGCAGTTATGAATGCTTTTCATTTTTTCTCTTTAGTTACTGTGTTTTCCAAAATTAGTATGTATTACTTGTATCCCTAAATACAAGTAATTTAATAAATGTGCCAGTCAGCTATTTAGAAAATGTCTTTTAATAAAATCTTTTTGGAACAACAAAAAGACATCACTTAGCTTCAAAAGGCGCCAAGCAAAAAGTTTGAGACTTATATAAAGTTTTAATTTATTGAGATGCAGAATATGCAGTTGTTTCTTTCTTTCTTTCATGCCAAGGTAGCCTCCACTCTACAGGAGTAGATAAAGATAAAACTGAGCTTTTGAGGTGATGATTTTGACAAGATATTATGCAAAAATCAGTGTATTACTCTGTAACTTATAGTAAAAATATTAATTCATTTTCAGAGTAAGCTATACTTTTAACATATTAGCTCTATAGAAAACAGTGATAGTAAATACTTGAAAAATTCATGTAATTAATTAGTAATTTACTTTATTACATTTTTTTCTTTATGTGACAAAAACAATATGGTGTCCAGAAATAAAAAAAATGAGAAACCATTTTTATTTTTAGTAATTATCAATGTTTTTGAATTATTAATATGTTATATTTACTTTGCATTAGAAAATTAATAAACTTCTTTTTTTTTTTTTTTGATGCACAGTGTCACTCTATCACCCAGGATGGAGTGCAATGGTGGGATCTCAGCTCACTGCAAGCTCCACCTCCTGGGTTCACCCCATTCTCCTGCCTCAGCCTCCTGAGTAGCTGGGACTACGGGTGCCCGCCACCATACCCGGCTAATATTTTGTATTTTTAGTAAAGACTGGGTTTCACCCTGTTAGCCAGGATGGTCTCGATCTCCTGACCTTGTGATCTGCCTGCCTTGGCCTCCCAAAGTTCTGGCATTACAGGCGTGAGCCACCACACCCAGCTAAACTTCTCTTAAGCATATTGGTTTTACTTTTTATTTTGAAATAATTTTTGATTTAAAAAAAGAGTTGGAAAGATATTACAGAATATGGGAAAGGGCTTCAGGATTGGCTGGCTGACTAGGGGAAACCAAAGACACCTGCCTCCTCCACGAAGAAGGACCAAAACCGGGAGTTCATAACTACACACTGAATAGAGCATTCAAGAGAAAACCAGTATTCAGCAGGGAAGTGACAGGGAACTCCTAAGCCATGGAAGAAGAGGGGAGAGAAGCAGCTACTATCCTGGCCAGAATCAGCTCGGAGCCAGAAGAAACTCCTCAGCACAGGGTAAATGTACCTGAGAGATCCTCAGCAGTTCACATTCACACTACATGTGCCTGAAATCCTGGTCAAAACCCTTCAGCCCTTGTGAGTCCTGAGACTGCTATAGAAAACTTCTTGGAGTTCACAGGACGACATTGTTTCAGAAAGGATGTTCACACTGGTTACCACACACATGCTGAGACCCAAGTTGCTACAGCATGGCACAATTTTGATAGCCCAGAAACACCAGACTATATCCTGACCTGGAGCTAAACAACCCCCGCATCTTCGTATTCCTGGAGCCTTGCTCACATCTCCCAACATCCACCCAGAAAGCTGTAGTGTCACAATGTTGGGTCTCAGTGGTGTGGCTGAGTTTTCAGCACTCTAGCACACACAGTTTTCTACACCCCAGGAAGTGGCCATTGTAGTCCACGAGGGAAGCTACTCCCAGGACAAAGAGATCTGAAGCATGTATCCACCAGAGCCTCAGAATTGCCTTCTTGACCTGCAGCCACTCTTGACCCGCTGAGAACAACTCAGCATTGACTTACCATAAGGAGTTTAGCATACCTGCAAGAGCCTTCAAGGGATGAAGGAAACAGCCTGCCTGAATGCTTTCTTGGGACCTAAGGATGAGCCTACCTCTCTCACCACCACTGCTGCTGGTGCCCAAGCACCCCATCAGGAGTCCTGAGGGTTAACCTTCTGTGCATGCCACAGCAGGTGCTAGCAAACGTCATTGAGGAGCCTAAGGATATGTATGTGCTGCCTGTAACCCTACCAAGCAAACCTACTCATGCTATTCAGAGGCCTTGGAATTGGCCCATCATGCTGGCTATATGAATGCCCACACACATCATCTAGGGGCCTGAGGTCAGTGTGACCCCACCCACTGCAGCCCCTCCCAGTAACTGAGAGCATCAAGAGCCTGAAGATCAGGAACCTGAAGATGAGCCCACCAAGCCTGCCACCACGACCACTGACTGCACACAAACTCATGTGTCATTTGGGGGCCTAAGGACTGTCCCATCCAGCGTGCTGCTGCTACTACTACTGGCGCTTGTGTGTGCCATACAGTACTTCCAGGATTGGCCTACCACTGCTACTACCATCACTGATGCTATGTGTGCCAATCAGGGCCCCAAGATTTTGCCCACCCACCCAGAAAAATGCTACCACTGCTGGAACCCGAGCAAGTCACATGGAGGCCAAAAGATTGGCACACCTGGTCTTCCACTGCCACCATTGGTGCCTGAGGACCAGGATACCTGACTTCTCTATCCCCAGCAAAGCCTTAATATAGCCTCCACTAACAACCACAGCCTAAGCCACTGAGAAACTCACAGACACCACTGACGTTCATGATAAATGAAGAAATCATACAGAGACTACATTACTGTCCCCACCCCAATTCAAAGCCAAAGCACCCCCCCAACCAACAGTATAGATACTCCTGTAGGAAAAATTCTTTTCCTGTGAAAGCCAATCCATAAAATTAGAAAAAAGTGACTGCTACAACAGATGTGCAGATATGAACCTAAAGACATGAAATACGTGAAAAGGCAAGTAAGCACGACATCTCCAAAGGAACACAATAATTCTCTAGCAACAGAATATGCAAAAAAGAAATTGATGAAATGCCCAAAGAAGAATGCAAAGTAATATTAAAGAAGCTCAATATAATAGAAAACAGCAAAGATAAATAATATAAAAATTAGAAAAACAACTAATAAACGGTATGAGAAATTTGACAGATTTGTAAAAACAAACAGAAATTATAGAATTAAAGAATTCAGTAAAAAAATATAATGAAGAATTTCAACAATAAACTAGATCAAGCTGAAGAAAATTTTTGAACTTGAAGATAGGTTTTATCGAAAGAACCTAGTCAGACAGAAAAAAAAAATAATGAAAAAGATGAAAAGGAATGAACAAAACTTATTTAATAAAATAAGAGTTGAAAACTTCCCAAGTCTTGCAAGAGATATAGGTGACCAGAGACAAGAAACTTAAATGACCCAAATAGATTCAACTCAAAAAGGTCTTTTCTGAGGAACATTATAGTAAAGCTGTCAAAAATCAAAGACAAAGAGAAAATTTTAGAAACATCAGGAGGAAAGTATATACCTTTATTTTTTAATTAAAGGGTACAAAGATTTCAAATAAACAACAAAATTATGAACCTTAAGGAACTAGAAAAGGAAGAACAAACCAAACCCCAAATTAGTAAAATAAAAGAAATAATAAAGATCAAAGCAGAAATAAATGGTAAATGAAATAGATTCTAAAATACTATAAAAAACCAATGAAATGAAAAGTTGTTTTTTTTTAAAGATATACCCTTCATTCAGCTTACATAACTAGGGTGCATTAATGAAAACTGAGAAATTCACACTGGTACATTACTATTAACTAAATAACAGATACTGTAAGAATTTCACCAAAGTTTACAATAATGTCCTTTTTCTTCCAGGCTTCATTAGGGATTTCATATTGAATTTAGTCCTCATGTATTCATGTCTTTTTAGTTTCCTCTGGTCTGTGACAGGTGTTTATTTTTGTTTTGTTTTTTGTTTTTGTATTTATTTTTGCTTAGGGAATGGTGTCAGAAAAACTAATTGCAAATGGCCTTGATGGAACTTTTTTTTTTTAGGGTGATGAAATTTTTCTATGCCTTGGTTGTTACATTGTTTACTAGTACATAGACTTTATCAAAGCTAATTCTACAGTAGGCTTAAAATAAGAAGACTTTATTTTATATAAATTATACCAAAATTTGATTTTCAAAGCAATTCCAAAGAATATTGGCTTATAACATTATTAGTGAAACATCCTTATACCTTTTCATTATTTTTATTACAATTAATGAATCCACAAGGACAATTTTCAGAACTCAAATTAAATTCCATCTAGAATACTGATCACTGTAATTCACAAAGCAAAGGAGAAGTCACCAAGAGACCTCTGTTACACTTGCAAGGGAGTGCTTTTTATGTTTTTAACTAGTGATAATATTGCATTGTTACACTCCGTAGAAGCCCAGAAATTAATATTCTACTTCCACACGAAAATTAGACAAAGAATTTTCCATGGAAATTCTAGTCAGCATGTCAGCACCCAGTCAGCATGTGTCAATCAAACTAATATTGCAAAGATATTTTTAAGACAAACTCTACTGAATGCAATTAAAAAACTTTAAAACGAGGAAATTCTTATGCATATGGGTATACATTTATAACAGCTATATATACATATTTAGACACACATATGTTATATATGATTTAATGAGCTATTCACTATGATTTTCATTAGTCACTCAGACGTAAAAAGGTTTGAGTTAATCTTGTTCATCGGTTACTGGTAAATTATCTTCATTCTGTCTAAGGTCCTGCCTTTGTCTTATTTATCAATCACTTTCTTTGCTGTAGCACTTTCTTCTCACATTCATCGACTGAGACAACCACTTCCATATATTTAATGTGTATACTAGTTTTTAAATATTTCACACATGTGATATGGAATCTTCAAAAATGGGTGACTTTTGTAGGTGTGCATTATTTTATTCACATAAATATTTTTTATAATTCTGTACGTTTTGTCTAAGCAATATATTTTTGAGATCCAGTCAACTTTGTTATATGTTCATTAAATCTGTTTACTCTAGATTTATTGTAATACCTTATATTGTATAGTCACAATATTTTGCCTATTCACTTTCCAAGTCACTTCTGGTTTCCTACCAGCTCAAACAATATATATTTTTGCAAAATTATACACACAGGCATAATCTGTTATGGAAATGTAAAAGGACATTTATTTGATGTATCACAGGAGCAGAATTATTGAGTCTTTTAGTATTGACTACTTGTTTTCACTAAGTTGTGCCAGGTTGCTTTCCACAACATTCTCAGCAAGAGTGCATGAGGATTCTTGCATACACCTACCCCCACCCACCATCACTCAACATGAGCATCACCCACTATTCTATTCATGTAACACTAAAAAATTACACATCATGGTTATTTTAATTTGTAATTAGGTTATAAAGATAGATTCCTACATTTTCTTCTATTAACTTTGTAGTAATTCAAAGCCATGCATCGGGACCCTGCCTGTATATGCAGTGTTACATAGGAATCTATCTTTATTTCTCTTTATTAATTTTTGATGCTGAATTTATTGTATATTAATGTCCACAGTAGATCCATTCCACTCCATTTTTTCCTTTCATTACCTAATGTTTTTATGCTTACTAGTCATGTATACTAACACGTCTTTTCAATTTGCTTTTTCTTCAGGTTGAAAATATTTCTTTGTATTCAATATAAATTTAGATTAACTTGATTTAGTACCTTAAAAAATCAATTTGGAAGACAGATTTTTTTCTTTGAACTAATACAATAATTTGGGAAAAATTTAAATCCTCATAATATTATGTTGTTTCATCTAGTAGCTAAAATATCTTTCCACTTATTTAGAACATCAGGTACATCATTTATATGAATTCAAAAATTTTGTCAAGAAATATATTTTGTATTTCTGGGGGGTATATTCTTATATACTTTGTAGTTTTTGTGGCCATTGTAAAGGTATCCTATTTCTGAATTGCATCTTCAAGTTGGTTATTGTTACCATCTTGGTTATTGCAATTGTAGAGTAATGCTATTGAATGTTATGAGTTGCTTTTATTGTCCAGAATTTTTCAAAAGTTCTTATACTATATTTGTGGATTTATTTTATAAGTGGATGGTCATATTTTCTGCAATTAATATAAATATTCTAATTTTTCATTTAGGTCCTTACAGATTATGACCTCTGAAAAGTTTACCAAGACATGCAATGGGAGAGAGTTTCTTTTCTTTATCAAATTATTAAAGGAAATGAGTATCAAGTTTCAGATATTGACTTATATTTACTATAAATCAAGTAAAGGAAGTTCTAGTCTATTAATAAGAATTTTTTAAAAAAAGAACAGAACTTTAACATTATTAACAAATTGTCTTTTAATGTGGTAAATTACACAGATAGAATATTATGATGAATTTTTCTTTCATTCCCAAAGGAAACATTAATTAGTTGTTGAAAAAAGAGAAAATAAATAAAATTAAAAGATGAGAATAAAAGAAATTGAGTGAAATAATGAAACACAGAGTATTTCTATCAACAGCAAAAAGCCAAGAAAGCTAAAAAGAAATTAAAAGCAAAAAAAACAAAACACAAAACAAATTGAATAATTGCAGATTCAAAACCAATTTAAAATCTTAAAAGTAAATTATTTTATTCTAATTAATTTTAAAATCAAAATGAGATAGAAAGATTTCTAGAAAAAAATATTCTAGGGCCACAATTAAACCAAGAAGAAATAATGAATTGAGTGAACCAAAAATGTTAGTAATGGGAAAGAGTGAAAGGCTTCTTCTCTTCCACTGAAAAAACTAGTTCCAAGTAAATTTTACAGATGACTTTCACCATATCTAACAGATAAAAAGAAAAAAAAAAAGGATGTCTATATTTGAAAGAAAGAAAAATTAAAAAAATTATTATTAGGTCACACTTCTTTGAAATATTATAACCTATCACAACACCTACTTCACAAAAGAACATAGTGTATATCTATATTGGGTTGCTTTATATACTAAGTAAATACAAATACATATCTAGAGTTTATTTTTTTCTCCCTCTCTTCATTTAAGACTGTAGTTCTCAAACTATGGTCCACGGAGCCCTCTGAAAATACTTGATAACTTTCAGGTTGTCTGCAAGAATAATGTATTTCTAACTACATACGTACATGCATACGTGTATAAGAACACATTTTTAAAAATACATTTCAGCCAAAAGAAAAATGCAACAAATTGAAAGTATAAGTGAACGTAAGAATCCAGTTGTCTTCATTAAATCTCATGTTAAAGGAATTTGCAAAATAATGGCACTTCTAACTAATTTTGTGTGTTTTTTTTTTTTAATTCTGGAAAAGCATTGTGCAATTTTAATAAATATTTATGTTAGATAATAATAGATTCTTCATTTTTTTTTTTTTTCTCTAGCAGGAATCTCGCGCTGTTACTCAGACTGGAGTACAGTGGCGTGATCATAGCTCACTGTAACTTTGAAATCCTGGGCTGAAGCAGTTCTCCCACCTAAGCCTTCCAAGCACCTATTGACAGATATAATTTCCATAAAGAAACAAATCTTTGTGTTCAGAGTCATCAAGTCATCAATAATTTTAAAAATATTAAAGGGTCATGATATCCAAGCTTTTTTTTTTTTTTTTTTGAGATGGAGTCTCGCTCTGCCGCCCAGGTTGGAGTGCAGTGGTGCGATCTAGGCTCACTGCAAGCTCCGCCTCCCAGGCTCACGTCATTCTCCTACCTCAGCCTCCTGAGTAGCTGGGACTACAGGCATGCACCACCACGCCCGGCTAATTTTTTGGTATTTTTCGTAGAGACGGGGTTTCACCGTGTTAGCCAGGATGGTCTCGATCTCCTGACTTCGTGATCCGTCTGCCTCGGACTTCCAAAGTGCTGGGATTACAAGCATGAGCCACCGCGCCTGGCCGATATCCAAACTTTTCAGAACAGCTTCTTTAAGATACAAAACAAGCACTAAAACAGAACTACAATTTATTATGTTTTGTGTTTTGGGAATAAAATTTTCACATGTAATGATAAAAGTATGACGTTATTGGATCATAAGCATATAAATAAGTGAGACCTTGGGGTATATTGTATTTCTTCACACAATCATAACCGGTTATTAAATCACAATGTGTGTGTAGAGAGAAAAATATATATCAGCTGAAGATATAGCTATATAGATAAACAACTGAGTTACTAAAATGACCTTTTATTGAGCAACGTGATTTGAACTCACAATGAATTTTCACTTTTCATTTAGTATTATCACACATTTAAAATACATGCATCAGAGTAATTTCTTTTACTGCTAACTTAATGCTAAACAAGGTCTGCAGCACTGGAATTCAAGAACTCATGAATTTAAGATGAGGTCCACTAGGAAAACTCTTACATTTATTTAAACAATAACGTTAATTGGCTTGCTCAGAATCATAATACACATAAATGTTTAAAAGTACAACATTTAGAAGGTCACTTTTACTTGCAGATGTCTGTGATTCTGTGAGATTTTGAGAGTCACCTAACACTTTAATTGGAGCAGATCAAATTTCAGTTTCTCTGAGTAAATATAATACTAATAGCTAGCCTTTAGGATGTGTTTCCTCTTGGTCAGTATGGTAGGCAACGTTCTATAAATATTTCTCCTAAGGTTTCTGTCCCCTGGTTAATCATTCAAACATTAACTAAAGTATTTCCCCGAAGGAATTTTGCAGATGACTTAGGTGACCTTAAAATACAGATTATCTTGGATTTTCCAGGTGGTCTAATGTAATCACATGAGCTTTTAAAAGCAGCAGCAGAAGGCAGAATTAATCAGAGAGGAGCAGAGGAAGGGGAAAGCAGAAAGAAGTAAAAGAGAGGTCAAAGAGATTAGACGCATTCACGTGGCTATGACTGGGCTTTTAAGATGGAAGAAGAGGGCTGTGAGCCTAAGCATGCAGGCTCCCTGTAGAAGCTGAGAATGAAATGAGCCTTAGCCGACAGCCAGCAAGGAAACTGAAATCATTACATCTAAGTGGAATTGAGTTTTGGCAGCAACCTGAATGAGCTTGGAAGTGCATATATTCCCAGAGCCTCCAGAAAGGGACGGAGACCTGCACACAACTTGATTTTGACCTGGCAAAACCTAGGGTCAAGAGTCACCTGAGCCCACTGTACCTAGACTTTGCCTTACAAAACTCTGAGAAAATAAATTCATGTTATTAGAAGTCACTAAATTGTGGTAATTTCTTAAGGCGACAATAGAAAACTAAGAGTTAGGTATGAGCTTTAGCCCTTACCACAGTTTTCTGAGCTAGACACTATTATCTTGTCCTTTTTTTCTTTTTTCTTTTCAATATTTATTTTTTTTTAGTGGAAGCAGAGATATAAAGTAGCTTTCCAAGATCATGTCACTAGCAAGTGGTAGATACAAAACTTGTACGTCTCATCTTATTCTAGGAAACATTCTCTTTACCTGCAAACTACAAAGCCTCTGAGTAATTTGTTAGATGACAACTCCCTAAATTACAATTTATTAAATATATGATCAAACATGTGGTTTTTCCTTTTCCCATTGACAACCTTTATTACTGCTCAATATTTTTCTCTTCTTGGAAATCAGTGTTTCATCTGACCTAGCAAGTCATTGTGTTCAAACTTATCTTTTCTTCCCTTTGTTCTCAATTTCTCGCCTCCCTCACCAAATCCTTGTTTCAAGTTATAACTCTATAGAAAGTGATCTCTGATTGTGCCATTTTCATTCATCTTCTATCCTTCAAATGTGCACAGCCCATTTTAGTTATGAAGAATCATTTTTTTCACCTCTAAGCTGCCTTGTGTAATTTACAATTATTAATGCATCATGTTTAAGGATCTGAAAATTCTAAAAAATGTTTCAGTTCAACTCTGGGTATGTGAATTATTTCACAGGGAAACTCTTAATAAACTCTGTTCTGACCCAATGATCAGGAGTTAATTGTTACTCAAATTTCCCTTACTTGCTCATCTACCAAAAAAAAAAAAGAAAAAAAAATCATCACCTTGCTCCTCCTCTTGAGTACGGAACATGATATTTAATGGTTATTTCAATTAATTATTCTCCACATCTTTAGTCTTTGTACATACCCAGAGAAAATGTAATTGTTCTTTTCCTGAAAGTGCAATAAGACTAGAATTTTCACTGAGATTTTATGCCAATTAATTAAAAATCTCCTTAAACTTCAACTTTAACCTTTTTATTTCTCTTCAGACTTAGTTAATATCCTCATTTTTTGGTGCTTTGGCAAGGTAGATAAAGCTAGAGATATTCTAACAATACACATTAGACATCATTTGTTAAATTGAAAAACGAATGAAATAAATGTAATTTAATAGGAATCAAAATAATTCTGCTTTCTGTCCCCCAAATTGATAAATGCCCTCAGGGAAAGAATCATGAAGCCCATTTTCTCTTACAAGGTTCTTTCTCTGGAGTCTTAGTCCCTCTAGTATTTGTTGCTTCATGATACGTTAAATTCCTTTAACAACTGCCATTTTGCCATTTTGTCTGGCATTTCTGATTGTTTTTGGTAGGAGTACCGCTCTGCCACCTGATAGTCATCCCACTGTAAAGAAAAAGTTGACGGAAAAAGTTTAAATTTTACTGCTATTCCAATAGAACGATACCAGAAGTTGGTAAACAGAGAATAAGATTAACGGTTTTTTAAAGGTTGAGCTTCCTGCTGTGTTGATCCTGGAATATTCCAGGCAAGAAGTAACGGTGATTTGAACAATGATGATGGAAGTGGAAAAGAAGGAGAAATGAACACTCTCAGGCTTTATGTTAGGGGTATACCAAGTTATCATTAGGAATTAAGTATTGCTATGCAAATATTTTTTTCATAAGTTTTTTTGTGGAAATTAGCCAAAGTAACATAAAATGAAAAATAAATCAATTAATTAGATTTTCATAATATGAAATACTATATAGTCAATAAAAGTTATGTTTTAGAAGATTATTTAATGACATAGAACTAACTATGATGATAAATTTAAGAACAGTTTAAGTAGTAAGACATCAATATATGTAATATATATGCTAGGATACCCTTCTAAGTGTTGTATATCGTCATGACTAACTTTGAAGCAGATTTTATATTCTTTCCCATTTTATGGATAGAGAGAATTTATGTAATCTCTCTAAGGTTAATAGCCTGTACATGGTGGAACTAACATCTGAAACCAGAACTAGATTCTGAATCACACATGCACTAACATACAATATTGCACATACATATATACATCTCTATATGCTATATTTTTAGATAGAGTATATTTGAGTGGTTAGATAATTATATCTATTTATATTTTGTGTTTTTATAGCTTTTTCAATATTATTAAAATGCCCATATTTAAAGTGGAAAATCTGATATATTTTTACATATGCATAGACCTTTGACACCATCAGCACTGTCAAGATAAGGTAGATGTGCCTGACTCCCTTTTTATAAACTTACCTTCATGAATTTTCCTTCCTTCGTCATCAAAAGGCAATCACTTATCTGCTTCCTCTCAGTGTAGATTTATTTGGTGTTTTCTAGAATTTTATGTAGATGCAGTCCTACAATACGTACAAACTTTTGTCTAAAATCTTTTATTCTGCTTTATTTTGAGATTAATGTTTTTATGTGTATTGAGTATGTTCCTTCTTATTTCTGAATAGTATTCCATAGTATGAATATATCACAAATTATTTATTCATTTACCTCTTGATGAACTTTTAGGTTGTTTTTAATTTTTGGATATTATAAATAAAGCTATTATAAACATTTGTGTATACGTCTTTTTATGGACATATTGTTAATGCCTCGTAGAGCAATAGAAGTATAGCAGTAGGGTCATGTGATAGGTGTATTTTTTAAATAAATAGAAATACTGCTGAACTAGTATTTATTTCAAAGTAGCTACTGTACAATGTAATATTCCCACCAGCAGTTTATGAAAGTTACAGATGTACCACATTCTTGCCAACAATTGGCATGGCCAGTCTTTTAAATTTCAGCCAGTCTAGTGGGTATGCAGTGGTACACTGTGTGTAGGGGGAGGGATAGTTATATAATATTTTTATCATAGAGCCTATTAACAATTTGTTGTATTAGTTTAGCTGTTTAGTTGTTTCACTTAGGTGTGAATGTTATTGTATTTGAATTTCTTTAATGGCTAATGGGGTTCGGCAGCACAATTTTTGTAAAATGACTGTTCAAACTTTTTTGCCAAGTTTAATTGCATTTAAAATGAGTTGTAAGAGTTATTTACATATTATAGGTACAAATATTTTATGCAGTATTAGACTTGCAAGTACTTTCTGCAAGTCTGTGGTTTACGTTTTTGTTTTCATAGGAGTGCCTCCACAACATTTTAAAAAGATTTTTTTAAATTCTGATTAAATTCAATGTATTAATAATTTCCTTCCAGTTTTCATGTCAGTTTTTAAAATATTTTCTAAATCTAAGTTTACCAGTATCTTCTCCTATGTTTTCTTATAGAACTTTTATATATTTAGTACTTGCATTAAGGCCTATGATATAGAGTTATTTTTAGAATATATGTGAGGTAAATGCTAATGTTGATCTCTGTGTCTCTCCAGTTGTTCCCATTTCTTTTGTTGAAATGATTGTTATTTCCCAATGAAAGTGGTATATTTATTAAAAATTAGTTGGTCATAATATGCATGAATATATTTATTCATCCTCTATTCTTTTTTTATATTTTGTCTTTTTGTCAACACATACATTTTTAGAATTGTAGCTGTATGATGCATTATAACATATTCATATGTATTATATAATATATAATTATAATGAATTAAATATAAATATATATATTTATTCAGCCTCTTTTTTCATATATTGTCTTTATGTCAACACATACATTTTCGTAATTGTAGCTTTATAAAAAATGTTTGTCAGGCACTTTAAGTTCATTAATTGTGTTTTTTTTTTTCAAAATTATTTTAACTGCCTAGATCATTTGCCTTCCAAATAAATTTTAAGTTATCACTATTTATTGATGGAATTTTAAGTTGATTCTAAAAATGGGTTTGGGGAAAATTGAGTCTTCCAATACACGAACCTGGTAGAGTTTTATAAGTATGTAGGTTTCTTTAATTTTAGTGATTTTTGTAGTTTTAGTGTGTTGTCCATATGTTTGTCAATTTTTCAACATTATTTGATATACTATGTTTTCTAAAATTGTATTGTGTTTTAAAATATTTTCTAGTCATTGCTAGTTGTAAAAATGCAATGGATATTTGTATGTTTCTCTTATTTTCTGAAAATTTTTCAAACTCTATTAGCTCTAGGAGCTCTTTTACATAATTTATCATGCCACCTATAAATAATGACAGTATTTTTTATTCTGATTCAGAAGTATTTTATTTACTGTCTTGTCCAACACTATTGGACAAAATTTCCAGTAAAATGTCAAATATATATGGCTAGAGGATCAATTCTTAATTTGCGCCTGAGCGCAGGAGAAATACCTGCATGTTTTTAAATTTAGGTATCATTTTAACTTTAATAGATGCCTGTTATGAAGTTGAAAAAGTTCATTTCAATCCCTTGTTTATTAAGATTTTTTCTTTTTATAATAATGAATAGATGATGTAGTTTGTTGAATTTTTTTGAATTTATGGAGATGATGATAGACACACTTGTTTATAATATGTTATTGAAATTAATTTTCTAATTTTGGTAAATAAATGCTACAAAAATATTTATGTAGGCTATCTGGCTGCTTAATTTTCTTGTAGTCTATTTCTCTGGTTTTGATATAGGAATAATGTTGAACACACAAAATTAGTTAGAAAATAGTCCCTTCTCTGTTCTGAAAGTTTATATTGAATTGGTAGTATTTCTCCATACTGTTTGATAGAATTCACTGACAAATTCATACATGTTTATAGTTTCCTTTGTAGTAATTACAAACTCATCCTTTTCAAAAAGATATAACGTTTTATATACCTTCTTTATTAAGTTGTAGTAGATTTTCTAACCTAAGAAATATGTCCATTTTGGCCGGGCGCAGTGGCTCACGCCTGTAATCCCAGCACTTTGGGAGGCCGAGGCGGGCCGATCACGAGGTCAGGAGATCGAGACCATCCTGGCTAAAACGGTGAAACCCCGTCTCTACTAAAAATACAAAAAATTAGCCGGGCGTAGTGGCGGGTGCCTGTAGTCCCAGCTACTTGGGAGGCTGAGGCAGGAGAATGGCGTGAACCCGGGAGGCGGAGCTTGCAGTGAGCCGAGATCCCGCCACTGCACTCCAGCCTAGGCGACAGAGCGAGACTCCGTCTCAAAAAAAAAAAAAAAAAAAAAAAAAAGAAATATGTCCATTTTAACTAAGTTGTTGGATTTATTGGCATAATATTGTTCATAATATTCTTTTATATCTTTGAATCTGTAGTGCTGCAGAATCTGTAGTGCTGTTAGCCCTCACATTGTTCATATTTGTAATTTGAATTTTTTTCCTGATTAGTATAGTTATGAAAATTAATAACAGAAAAGCAATAAAAATTAATGAAAGTAAACTGTGGTTCTTCCCATCCAGTCAGTCTATAATTTTTAATGGAGGAACTTAAAAAGTTTTCATTCAAGTTTGTTACTGATGGATAAGGACTTACTCCTGTTGTTTTGTTAACCGTTTCCTCATTGTTTTGGATATTCTTTGTTTTTTTTCTTCTTTTGTTATTCTTTTATGATATGGTGGGTTTTGTAGTAATAACATTTGACTCATTTCTGTTTCTCATTTGTGTATCTTTTCTACCAGTGAATTTTATACCTTTGTGTGTTTTCAGGACGGTATGTATTATCCTTTAATTTCCCAGTGTAGGATCCCTTAAGCATATCTTGTAGAACCTGTCTAATGTTGATAAATTCCCTCAGTTTTTGCTTATCTGGGAAATACTTTTTCTCTTTCTTTTATTCATGAAGGATGGTTTTTCTGGGATAGGATTCTTGACTGCCAGTTTTTGTTGTTGTTGTTGTTTGTTTGTTTTTAAAAATTTTTAGTACTTTGACTATATCATTCCATTCTTCCTGGCCTACAGTGTTTCTGTTGGGAAATATACTGTTCATCTCATGGGAATTCCCTTATGCATGACTTGACACTTTTCTTTTCCTCTTTTTAAAATCCTATATTTGTCTTTGACTTTTGAAAGATTGAATATAACCTGCCTTGGAGGAGATCTTTTTGAATTTAAATCTACTTGCAGATTTGTGGGTTTCCTGTATTTAAATGTCTATATCTTTCATTAGACATAGGAAGTTTTCAGCTATTATTTTCTTAAATATGTTCTCTATCTTTGCTCATTTCTACTCCTTCTGAAACTCTCAAAATTCAAAATTTGCTTGCTTTATGGTGTCCCATATATCACAGAGGCTTTCTTTGTATTTTAAAATTGTTTTTCTTTTTTTTTTTTGTCTGACCTATTTATTATAGAAAACCTCTCTTTAAGTTCAGAAATTTCTCTTTCTGCTTGGTCTGCTCTATTGTTGAAGCTCTTAATACTATTTTTTTACTTTAGTCATTGTATTCTTTCATTCCAGGATTTCTGTTTAAGTTCTTTTTTTATGATAGCTATTTCTGTGTTAAATTGGCATACACATCATTAATTGTTTTTTTGGTATCTTTGTATTATCTGGGTTCTCATATATTCCACTAAGTTTCTTTAAGATCATTACTTTGAATTCTTTTTCATATGTTTCATGTTTTTTTCTTTGGCATATGTTACTGAGGAGTTATTACGTTCCTCTGGAAGTGTCATGTTTCATTGCTTTTTCATATTTCTTATGTTCTTAGGTTGGTATCTGTGCATCTGGTGTAACAGTTGCTTCTTCCTATTTTATGGCTTGGCTTTTGTAGGGAAATGCTTTTTCTTATAGGTGTATTTAGAGAGTTGGTTGGGTGGGGAACTTTGGCTTTGACTCTGGATGGTCACAGAACTGTAGTCTCTATACAATTTATTTTGCTGCAATCGATGTTATTGGTTTTGGTGAGTTCCTCAGAGGCTTAGGCTGTTTTTAGTAGAGGCTGTGGTGAGGCTTTGCTGGGGAGGGGGATGCCAGGTGGGCAAGTCCTCAGGCACTGGTGGTGGCAGTGGCAGGACAGGCATGCTTGACCTCAGGCTTCCCAATGGCAAATGTGGGTGTCAACAGAGAAGATGTATGGTTCAATGAGCCAGACATTGGGCTTCCAATTATCATGCTCAGAGAGTGACAGCATTGGCCAGAAAAGTAGGTCCTTGGGGCCCTGTGAAGCATATTTGGCTTTGGAAGTGGCAGTAGTGACAGTATGTTGGCCCTGAGGACCCTAGGGAGAGTGCGTTGGCACAAGCAGTGACAATATGGCACATGCAGATGGGTGCTAGGGTGGCAGTGTCAGGCTGGGCACGCCAGTCCCCAGGCCCTTGGGAGGCCATGTGGGAGCTGGTAGGAGCTGGTACTAGCAGTCGTGGGCCAAGTAGACTTGTCCTTATGCACCTGCTTGGCATGTGTGGGCACTGACAGTGGTGGTAACAGGTAAGAATTAGTCTTCAGGCTCCCAGATGGTGTACACATGTGTCAGTGGTGGCTAGCAGAGCATGTCAAGGGTCTAATCTCCATTCCTTTAAAAACATACATAGGCACTTGGCATGCTGGTAGGCAGAATGGACCTGTCCTTAGGTTACTCAATAGCATGTGGAAATGACAGCCATGACAATGGTACAGAAGACAGGCCTGTCTTCAGGTTCCTGGAAGGTGTGCTTGATTGGGCTGAGCCTTAGGCCCCTTGAAGGTGCATGCAGGTACACAATAGCCCTGCTACCTGAAAGGTGATCTAGGTTTTGATGGCAGTGGCCCCAGGCAGCTAACTCTCAAGCTCTAGAAAGCATGTGCTTTAGCTTCTTTTGTCCTGGTGGGTCAGCCTGCTTGGTATGCTATCCTGCCTGTTCCCGCTGGTATAGGACACTGCATGGGCTAGAGTTCTGGCAACCTGACCATGCCAGTGGATCAAACTGGCATTATGATGCTGCAGCCTTCTCAGTAGATGGGGGAATATCAGTGGGGCTCTAGGGATTTGGAGATGCAGAGACTGTTGTGCTGCAGGGTAGGATGTAGTCTGATGCAAACTTGCTCTTAAATAGCATTGTACTGCATTGTTTGGGTCTCAGAGCATGAGTGGGACCCAGTGTAAATTCCCTCTCTGGAACAATTTAGTCACGTGGATTCCAGACAGCTCTCTGTACTGGGTCAAGGGTCTCTCCCGTGGCTAGAATTGCAGGCATCAGTGGTTGAAATGGGAACTGCTGGAAATTTCTAACTTACCTTTCTCCTGCAATAGCGAGTTCCTCCTGGTTCTGAACCAATACCAGCTAGGCCAGTTGCCTCTTCACTCCGCTCTCCTTTCATGCTGCAGTTGTTCCTCACTTCCTTGCTGAATTTTTGATGCTCTGTTAGACATATCATTATCTACTTGCTATTTTTTTCATTTTCGTTATGTGAAAGAGTCAAGTCCCAAGTGTCTCTAGTCAGCCATCTTGATGACATGTCCCTTCTTCTTTATTTTCTAATATCGGTATTTAATGCTAATTTTTTTATCTAAGTACCACTTTAATTGCCATCCCGCTATCTTATTTCTACTTATTTCACCATCCTGTTTTTTTTCTTTTCATTCTTCTTTTGTATTTAGCGTTTTTAAAAATTTTATTTTATACCTGATGTGGGCTTATTAGCTATAATTTTTTTTATTGGTTTTGTAGTTTCCTTAGGTTTTATAGTATATCTATTTTACTTATCAATATACTTTCAAGTGTGATCAAACCACCTCATATATAGTGTAAGAACCTTACAATAATATACTTCTATTTCAATCTTTTAAGGTCATTGTTCTGCTATTGTCATACACTTTACTTCTGTGTATATTGCAAATGTTACAATATTTTGTAATTACTGTTGCCCTTAACTATTTTTTATTTTTTAAAAAGATTAAAAAGTCAGATGTATTTACCATTTCCAGTGCATTCTTTGAGAAGATTTGGTGCACATTTCCTTTGTTATCATTTTTCTTCTCCTTTTAGAATTTCCTCAGATATTTCTGTAGTGTGGATCTGCTTGTCATGAATTGTTTCAGGTTTTATATTTCTGTAGTCTTTATTTCATCTTTGTTTTACAAACTTTTTTTTTGATATTGTGGAGAAACCAAACTTAATTGAATCTCACTAAAATATGTTGAAAGATATAACTAAGTACATTAAGCACACTGTCAGGAGGAAATGTAGGAGGCACTAATAAAGATTTATGAAGAAAAAAACCTCAGAGCAAGCCTCATAAAAAATGATAAAAACAGGAGGACACAAGTGCTCAATATAAATACTATTGTAAAGTGTAGGCTG
The DNA here is from genome assembly GCF_000001405.40 of Homo sapiens. NCBI lineage: Eukaryota > Metazoa > Chordata > Mammalia > Primates > Hominidae > Homo > Homo sapiens. The sequence goes on along the minus strand of NC_000001.11, from coordinate 191,281,092 downwards.
AGAAGGAAGAGGAAAAGGAGAGGTTGGTTCTGCTGTCTTTGGGGTAACAGAAGTGAAGAAAATCCACATGAGAGTGCACCTGCACAATCTAAACCCATTAATAAATGTGTATACATATATTAATATATGTTATAATTAATGTACATTATATATAATTCATATATATAGTGGGAATAATAATTCAAGAAGAAATGATGTTACAAATAAATCATTACATTATTTTAAAATGAAAATATTTTAATTTGCATATGTTGGCTCTGTATACTTTGCTGTGATTTGGTTTGACTCCGTGTCTCCACTCAAATCGCACCTTGAATTGTAGTAATCCTCACGTGTCAAGGGCAGGGCCAGGTGGAGATAACTGAATCATGGCAGCGATTTCATGCTGTTTTTGTGACAGTGAAAAAGCCTCAGGAGGTCTGATGGTTTTATAAAAGGGAGATCCTCTGCACAGGCTCTCTTGCGTGCCGCCATATAAGACTTGATTTTGCTTCTCTTTTGCCTTCTGCCATGATTGTGAGGCTTCCCCAGCCATGTGGAACTTTTGAGACCATTAATCCTCTTTCCTTTATAAATTAGCCACTCTCTGGTATGTCTTTATTAGCAGCCTGAGAAGAGACTAATGTATCCTGTTTCCACATATGTATATAAAAATGTTACAGAATAATATATTTAAAAATTTATATGATGAAATTAATCTTCAAGTTTAATGAATAAAATATTATTGGTGTCACAATTTTTTTAATTTTTGGGTGTTTAGGTTACTATCGACTATTTTGGAATCATAAAGCATAAATTTCCTTTTTTCTCTTAATTTTAGGTTTGTAGCTTGCAAAATCTAGTAAAATTTAGTGCACCATCACAGCCGGCTTTTTTTTTTGTATTTTTAGTAGAAATGAGTTCTTGCTATGTTGCCCAGGCTGGTCTCCAACTCCTATACTCAAGCAATCCTCCTGCCTTGGCCTCCCAAAGTGCTAGGTTACAGGCATGAGCCACTGTGCCCAGCCCTTCTACTTTGTTTTTTCTTTTCCTTGACATAGGTGTGGTAACTGCCTGCTTCTATGGTTATTCATGACTGCTTCATCTCAGCAATCCTTTTTGTTCTTTCAGCCATCCAGTAATAGTGTAATCAATTATCTGTGTTATAATTAATTCTTTTTGGAATACCTAGCATTGTTCTTTCTTTCCAATTGGACCTTGCCGAATACACCTGTGAATTACTATGGTTTAAATGTGTCTCCTACAAAATTCAGGTGTTGTCACTGTGATTGTTTTAAGAGCTGAGAGCTTTAAGAGGTGAGTAGGTCATAAGGTCTTCTCCCTCAGGAAGGGGATGAAGGGTCTTCCAAAGGAAGCTTCAGGTGGCATTTGGCTCTCTTGCCCTTCCACCTTCTGCCATGTGAGAACACAGTGTCCTTCCCTCAGAGGATGCAGCCCTCACCAGATAACCAAACCTGCTTGTGCCTTGATCTTGAACTTCCCAGCTTCTGGAGCTGTGGGAATTTTCTGTCCTTTATGAATTACGCAATCTTAGGTGCAATCTTCTGTTATAGCTGCACAAATAGACTAAGACATGAATCCCTTGTCAAGTTAACTGTTGTTTGGATAGCATGAGTCATGAAATTATTCAAGTGATTTTTTTCAAATTATGCGTAGTGGTTACAATTATTTTTGATGGACTAACCTGTACCTACAGGTATGATGTATAAGTGTGCTTATGATGATGTACTTATCTAAAAGTCTGGAGGAAACATTAAATGCAAATGCCTTGAGTCAGCTACTATTTGAAATCCCAGACATTATGATACAATCACCACTGGAATTAAAAATATATTAAAAGATTCTTCTAATGTGTTTTCTCTGAACATACACAATTTTATTAAATTTCTTTGTTAGAATCTAAAAATGCCTTGAAATGTCATGCTTTTCATATGTGAACATCTTGATTTATATGTCTATAAGATGTATATTTTGTGGGAAATTTGCATCATTATTCCAGAAGTTACTCATTATATTAATGCACCCATACCATATGTAGCACAATCAGAAACCACTTTGCATGAAATCATCGACTTGAAAATCACATCTGCTGGTTTGAATGTGAATATAATATAAAATATAAATCTATTTATGCATAGGATGTGACCAGAAATTTCTAATTAAGGGCCTACATTGAATATATAAAGCTCATGCAACAAACTATCTGAAAAAGATGGAAAAGGCTACATACTGTATGATTTTGTTTATATGAAATGTCCAGAATAGGTAAATCCATACAGGTAGAAAGTTCATTAGTGGTTGTCAGGAGATGGAGGAGGGGGGAAAGGAGTGACTATCTAGAATATTATCACCATCTAGAATATAATACATTACTCAAATTGATGGGAAGTATGCTTATTTTACCACAGAATTTAATTCCATTAGCTGTGGACTAAACCCACATACCAAAACATCTGGATAACTTACCTAACATCTATGTTCCTTAATTTCTTTGCATGTAAAATGAGGATAATAAGAGTACTCAGATAATTGGCTTAATGTTAAAACTGATTTAGTTCCTTTGTATAAAGTATTGAGAATGTTGTCTATGTTTGGTAAGTACTAACTGTTAAAAGTTATTATTAGTAAGGTTAGTATCATTTTCACCGCCACTGTTGCCATTACTAAACAATATAACATTCATTTAGCTTGGAGATTGTTTAAAGAAAAATACTTTCTAAAGTTACACCACCTCATTTCCCATTAGAAAATATTCAAGCTTAATAATAATATGCAAATAACAGATGTCTTGAAAGAGAGAATGGGGACAAATTAGTCATTAAAAAAGTTTCATGTTACTTCGTGTATGTCTCCAAGTTCAACAAAAATTCTAAATCCTATTGAATCATTAATGTTATTCTATTTTGAGATTAAACAAAATTATTTTTCAACAAACATAAATTAAGACTAGGAAATATGGAGAACACATATTATGAGATGTAATAATTGGAAACTTCGTGTGTAGATATACAGTCAGCTCTCCGTATCTGTGGGTTCCTCATCTGTGGGATTCAACCAACCTTGGATGGAATATAGTTGGGAAAAGAGTCTACAGAGTTCCAAAAAAGCAAAACTTGAATTTGCTGAGTACTATATTGAATCCACAGGAATGAACTAATGTTTGGGTATTGAATCAGGTATTAGAAATAATCTAGAGATTATTTAAAGTATTGTATATGGGCCAGTGCACTATGTCATGCCTATAATCCTAGTACTTGAGAAAGCCAATGCAGGAAGATTGCTTAAGTCTGGGAGTTTGACATCATCCTGGACAACATAGTGAGACCCCATCATTACAAAAAATTAAAAAATTAGCCAGACATAGTGGCATGCACCTGTAGTCCCAGCTACTCAATAGGCTGAGGTGGGAGGATCACTTGAGCCTGAAAGATTGAGACTGCAGTGAACCTGATCATGCCACTGTACTTCAGCCTGGCAGACAATAACAGTCCATCTCTCAAAAAAAAAAAAAAAAGACGTATATGGAATGTGCATATGGAGGTGCATAGGTTATATGCAAATACTACATTTATATAAGGGACTTGAGCATGCTTGGAGTTTGGTATCCTATGAGGTGTCCTAGAATCAGTCCCCCATGGATACTGAGGGACCATACACTATCTGCACAGTATCCTCTTCTTTCTTAGTTCTAGAATACCAGCTAGAGCAATAGAAAGAGTGAGTAACAATTTGCTCAATTAAAAAACACTCATTCTTAGAAACACCTCAGCCTCCATGCTTGAATGTGTGTCAAAAATCTGTAATGAGATGTAAGCAAAGTCATTCATCAAAGTTTGTTAAAAGTGGTCAACTTGGCTACCATGAACATTTTCAGCATTCATTTTCATTTTGTTTCAGCTAAGATGTAGACAAGATGTCTGGACTTACAGGAAATGAAGTATTAAAGAATAGCTATCACTATATGGTTACAAGTATGTTAGTGAATATGGTAGGCACAATTTCAAAATATATACTCCAAGGTTTGTTATAGTTCCTAGAATGGTAAATATAATGAGATATTATATATATAAAAATATTATATTACATGATGAGATAATTTGTAGATATGATTAAAATTACTAATACATCGACTTTGTTATTATCAAAAGGAATATTTTCCAGATAGGCACCAGCTAATCATATCATCCTGTTAAAAGCAGAGTTTTCTTCAGCCCATTAAAAGCCAGTAATCCCTTCTGATTCTACTTACTAGAAGGAATGTCTGTTTTCTTCTTAAATATTTGGAGTATTTTCTTCTTAAATATTTGGAGTATTTTCTTCTCAAATATTTACCAGTAAAACCATATAGGCCTGTTTGAGGTTTTAGATTTTTGATTAAATTTTAATAGATACAGGACTAGTTATGTGATTAGAATAATAATCCCTTTGTGGAATTTAAAAGTTTGTGTCTTTCAAGTTATAACAATAAGACTTAATTGTGTTTCCTGTACCCTGCCATACTGAAGTAAATAGACTTTTGCATAGGTGGAATTGCCTATTGAAGATTCAGTTATGACATTGCTCTAAGCAACACATTGTGGTATTAAAATGCCACATTAAAAAATGTGACCAACAAATATATATTAAAACAAAGCTCAACATCACTGATCGTCAGAGAACAGCAAATCAAAACCACAATGAGATACCATCACATGCCAGTCAGAATGGCAATTATTAAAAAGTCAAGAAACAACAGATGCTGGCGAGGCTGCAGAAAAATAGGAATGCTTTTACACTGTTGGTGGGAATGTAAATTAGCTCAACCATTGTGGAAGACAGTGTGGTGATTCCTCAAAGATCTAGAACCAGAAATACCATTTGACCCAGCAATCCTGTTACTGGGTATATACCCAAAGGAATATAAATCATTCTATTATAAAGATACATGCATGCTTATGTTCATTACAGCACTATTCACAATAGCAAAGACATAGAGTCAAGCCAAATTCCCATCAATGATAGACTGGATAAAGAAAATGTTGTACACATACACCATGAAATACTATGCAGCCATAAAAAGGAATGAGGTCATGTTCTTTGCAGGGACATGGATGGAGTTGGAAGCTGTTATCCTCAGCAAAGTAACACAGGAACAGAAAACCAAACACCATATGTTCTCACTTATAAGTGGGAGCTGAACAATGAGAACACATGGACATATGGCGAGGAAAACACAACAGAGCCTGCGGAGAGGTTGTGGGAAGAGTAGAGCATCAGGAAGAATAGCTAATGGATACCGGGATTAATATCTACATGATGAGGTGATCAGTGCAGCAAAACCTCATGGCACACATTTACCTATGTCGCAAACCTGCATGTCCTGCACAAGTATTCCAGAAGTTAAAATAAAATAAAATACACACATCACACTGTATACACAGTCTAGATGTCAGAACATGGGGACACCACCAATGTCTGGACCCACTGGAAGCTACTGACAGCTTTTGCAGGCAAATTGAAGCATTAGTCACAGCAGCAGAAAGTTAGCCAGTGTCACGACGCTTTGCCTTTCTTAATCTCATCGGAATGTCTGGTACATCTATGTAGTGACAAGCAATACAATGTAGCCTATTGTCCTTCCATTAAGTATTAAAAATGCCACTACAATCCATAATTCAAAAAATACAATACTCCCTTCCTCTATTTCCCCAATTTATACAAGTCAAGCTCATATTCCATAAAAAATATTTCTACTATGTTTTAATATATAATTCTTAAAAAGTCTGTAACCATTTTAAACATAATCCCTTTAATCATTTAAATTTATTAAGCAACCTATCTTGTAAGTCCCCTGAGGTTTCTTGAAGAAATGAGAGTAAAACTGTCTTGTGATACTTTTGCATTTTTCTACTTTATTGTTATAATTATCTTATTTCTACATGTGTATTTATATACTTAAAATAGACCATTTAAGAGTGAACAGTGTTAAGGAGTTTATTAAAAACGGCAGTAAAATAGCCAAATATGTTTAATAAACTGGTTAAATTCTGTTAAATTAAAAATTATTCCCATAGTTTTAATACATTTTCATCTTTCTATGTTCTTTGCCTGTTTTTTTCCACAAAAGAACTTTTAAATGACTTCTAATTGATACTTTTTCTTATCATAAAGAAGACATATTTTAATAATGAAAAAAATTAAAATTTGTGACCCATGTTTTAATCTGACGGTTAAGCTCCTTTAAAAACATTGTATTTCCAAGATTGCTATTGGGCTAAAATAGTGGTTGGCAAATTCTGCAACTTGGCCAAATTGGGAAGTTTAATTGAAATGGAACCAAGTCTGTGGCAGTTTTCAAGCTGCAATGGAAGCATTAAGTGGTTCCAATAGAGACGCCTGGCTAGCAAAGACTAAAATTTACTGTGTGGATCTTCATACACACACGAAAAAACTTTGGTAACCTCTAGGCTGTAGTATCTCTTCTTTTATTTGACAATTTGTGCCTATTTCTGTGAATTGTCTATTTTTATCATATGTTCATTTTTAAATTGGGATCATTATCCTTTTCTCATTGATTGGTGAAAGCCAGTTATTACTGTACATATGACAAATATTTTTCCTCATCTATTCCTTTTCTTTTTAAACATTTGCTTTTGGTGATTTTTTGGTAGCTAAGTTTAAAATACTGAACGTATAGAAAAATACATCCACATTTTATTTTCTTTTATTGCTTCTAGGATATGTACCTCTCCTAGGAAACCTTTTTAGATTCCTAAATAAGTGATATTTGACCACATTAATTTTTTGTATTCTATAATTTTCAAGTTATGTTCTATTTTATCTATTCTCTTTTGCATGGAGTATGCAGTAAAAATCTTTGTTCTTTGTTCATTTGATAAATAAAGGTCAGTTACCCCAATATTACATACTAAATGTTTATCTTTTTTTACTAATTTAATGTGTTATATATTAACTGCTATTAACTGCTCCCATTGCTGAGATGATTTCTCACCTCTCTCTCTTTTTTTTTTTTTTTCATACAGTGTCTCACTCTGTCACCCAGGCTGGAGCGCAGTGGTGCCATCTCAGCTAATTGCAAACTCTGCCAGGTTTAAGCAATCTTGCCTCAGCCTCCAGAGTAGCTGGGATTATAGGTGCCCACCACCATGACTGGCTAATTTTTGTATATTTAGTAGAGACGGGGTTTTGCCATGTTGCCCAGGCTAGTCTTGAGCTCCTGGCTTCAAGCTATCTGCTCACCTCAGCCTCCCAAAGTGCTGGGATTACACATGTGAGCCACCATGCCCAGCAGGTTTCTAATCTCAATATTATTTTATGCTAAATAATTTTATTAATAAAGCAACATGAATTCTCCTTTACATTTTGAGATAAACAGTAGAATAACTTTCCTAAGTCAAATAAAATATTTCTTTCCTATTTGTTGTGATTACATTGAATTTATAAGTCAAAATGTTGCAGTATGAAGTCCTTCTAATTAGAAAAATGATATTATTTATTGTAATGTTATTTTATGATTTTCATTTTTGAAGTTTATTAATTTTCTCAATTTTAGATTTGGGAACTTATTCATAAGTTTATTTTTGGAATTTATATTTATCTTATTGATTGTTATTGTTTGTATTTATGGGAATAATTAGTGTGTTTATCTTGTATTGAGAGAGCTTTGGGTTCCTTTTTAGTTTTACTGTTATTAGTTGATTATATTAAATTCTTTAGATGACATTTACTTAATTATATATTAATTTCCCATGTGTTTTTTTCTTCCTTCATTGCATTCTATTACATCAGTGTGGCATGCTAATCTAATCATCTATCTCACACTTCATCTTTTTTATTTATTTACTTACTTTAATACAGGGTCTTGCTCTGTCAACCATGCTAGATGTAGTGGCATGATTACAGATAGCTCCAATCTTGACCTGGTGGTCTTAAGAAGTCATCCCTCCTCAGACACCGGAGTAGCTGGGACTATAGGTAGGTACCACCACACTCAGCTAATTTTTTAAATTTTTGGTAGCGTCGAGGTCTCACTATATTTCCCAGGCTGGTCTTAAACTCCTGACCTCAAGCAATTCTCCTGTCTTGGCTTCCCAAAGCGCTAGAATTGCAGACTTGAGCCACCATGCCTGGCTGACACTTCATTGTTGCTAACAGAAACACAACTTGCAACTCTAAGATCATCCTTTATTCAAGCTCTACAAACATATTCAGATTGCTCTAAGCAAATCATAGTGTTCCCCTTTTCCTTGCAGTAAATGACTTAAATATGGGCAATTAATGACACCTAATGAGTGCTATACTTGGAGCTTCTGGAAGATTAATTTTTCACTGCTAACGAAACATCAACTACCTTAAATATGGGTGTATTTGTTGATGATTCCTAGAACTGTTGCATGCATGTTGTAGCCATGGGGTGACCGTACCTGAGAGCAAAGAACAAAGATGACATTCTGAAGAAGGCAGAGTAAAAAAATTAATTTATTAATTAAAAGGATTAGGCTGGCACGGTGGCTCACGCCTGTAATCCCAGCACTTTGGGATGCTGAGGTGGGCAGATCACGAGGTCAGGAGATAGAGACCATCCTGGCTAACACGGTGAGACCCCGTCTCTACTAAAAACACAAAAAATTAGCCAGGTGTGGTGGCGGGCACTTGTAGTCCCAGCTACTCGGGAGGCTGAGGCAGGAGAATGGCATGAACCCGGGAGGCAGAGCTTGCAGTGAGCCGAGATGGTGCCATTGCACTCCAGCCTGGTCTACAGAGCAAGACTCTGTCTCAAAAAAAAAAAAATAAAATAAATTAAAATTATTAAAGCTTAGTCTTTAAGTAGCTGAGTGAATTATTCAAAGCGCCTTATTTCTGAAAGAATGACATTCAATAGAGTTTAAAGCATTTGATTTGCAATTTTCTTTTACTTTCAGCCAAAAATATTTCACTTATAATTGATGGGCTAAATCATTTAGAAGAATATTAATTATCGTCAGTAACAGAAGCCATTCTTGTATCCCTTCAAACAGTCTCATAAGAGTTATTAATCAGAGGTGGATGTCAAAATTTAGAAGTTATGTTCTTGTTTCTATTAAAATTATCAAATATTTTGAATTTACTCATCCATTGTATTATTTCAAGAGATATCACAATGTTGAATCATATTGCTGAGGTAAACCAATTTTTTATACTATCTATACCTAATTATATAAAATGCATCACGATGTTGTATTTTTTTTTAGTCTTTAATGTCTTTAATTAAAGACATTTAATGTCTACATGAAAAACAAACCTATGACTTTTTGAATGATAATTTTGGTGTAAAGTTAATATGCAAAAACATCTTTATGTCTACAAAATTCATATTCTAGTGATACATGGATAAAACCTCAAGGTCATTAAAATTAATAGAATATCATTATTTACTTTAGATATTCTTAAATTAGGCATAGTTTACATAGAATGAAATTCATACTTTTTAAGTGTATAGTTTGAAAATTTTGACAAACTTACACACTCATAACCAGCAACCAAATTAAGATACAGAATATCTTAATCACCCCAGGAGGCTCCTTAATTTCCCTTTGCCATCAGTTCACTCGCCACTTGCCTTGGACAATCATCATCCTTTCTATCTCTATAGATCCATTTTGCCTCTTCAAGATCTTCATGTAAATTTTAAAAATACAATAAGAACTCTTTTATGTCTGACTTCAATCCTTCACCATAATACTTTAAAAGTCATTCATATTGTTTCAGGTATAAATGGTTTGTTCTGTTTTGTTGCCAAGTAGTATTACATTGTATTCAGATACCTCAATTTACTTATTCATTCACCTGTTGAAGCTCCCTGGATTGTTATCAGTTTTTTGTTACATAAATCTGCTGTTAACAATTATGTATAAGTTTTATGGATTTATATTTTTATTTATCTTAAATAAATACCTGGAAGTGGAATTGTTGAATTCCATTGACTGGCATGCCAGTCATCAATTTATTGTTTCCTAGTTCCAAATTTACCTTCCTTTGTTTGCTCTGTATAAATGAATCTAAATGATATAAAACTTTTCTTCTGCCTGTTGGCATAAGGTTAAGTTTTGTCGGTAGAGGATTCTGGGAAAAAAATTATTGCAGGGAAAAGGAATTTTCTTTTCGGTTCAAATGTGCTCCCTTGACAGATTCCCACAGCACAAACAGAGCATTAGGCTCTTTCAGCAGGAGTAAATTCTATAGTGCCTAGATTCTTCAGTGCAGGTGTTTCTCCACCACCTAGCTCCCGCTGAACAGAAAGAGATTCTTCCATACCCAGGGCTTGCAATACATCATAATTAGCATTATCTGGGGACTTGTGGCTTCCCTTGACAACCCCCCAGGTAGTTTTATAGTGCCTCCAGTGCCATGCATACTGGAGGACATATTTTTTAACAAGATCTACTAGCAAAGCATCTCTGCGACCTAGAGAGCCACAATTATGTCTTCTTCAGTATGCAGCGTACTTCCTTACAAAATTACTCAAGCTGAAAAACTGCTTTTGATATTATTCCTATATGCAGTCAATCACAGTGTTATATATGTTACACGATCTTTGGATTTTTTTATATCATCCATGACTTTCCTGCCAACACTTATTTAACTAGGATTCTCATTATAACCCTCATTGTATTGCTGGTCCCTCACCATTCTTCCAATGTTTCCAGAGTAATATTTCCAAATGAAATGTTACCATATAATTTTTCCTTCCCAAGTAGTTATTGGAATAAAAATTCACACTTCTTAAATAAAAATATCAATTCAAAATGTGGTACTTGATTTATTTTTTCTTCTCATCATGTCTTATTCAACTGCACACTGAGATTTAAAAAAGTTCTCAAAATGTTTTATAATTTCTCAATCTTCTGGCTTATTAGCATGCATCTTCTCTGATACAATAGCCTTCTGAAACTTCTTGCTGTTGTTAAACTCTACTCTTATGGATTTAATTTAAAGTTGTACCAGTCACAAAAAAAGCTTGTCCTATCCACCTCTTTTTTGAGATTCTATGTCCATTTTAAAGAGGTAATATCACCTAGTGATAGATATATTAGAGTACTTATCAAAGAATATTTATTACAATTTTCCATTTAAATGTCTCCTTACCTTCATATTTGATCATCTTTAAGAAGAAGCAATTTTAATAGACTTTGAAATGCTGGCATTTAACAAAATATATTTCACACAGTATGCCATGGTTTAAAAATAATATTTTAATGAATAATCTAAAAAGACTTACAGACATCATAACACAACATATCAAATGTACAGTAATATTTTCAGCCTATACACCAAAATAACTAGAAGTGTATTTAATGTGTCTTAATACATGCACTCTACTATATTTAGTCACTATTAAACAGTTAGGCTTTAAAATAATCCTCCATAGAGAAGATAAATAAGACAGTGGAAGACTCCCGTAGGGCCCTAAGGTGCCATAAAATAGATTAATTGAGAGACAAACTTTCAAAGAACATAGAAGGTGAAGGACAGTACTAAGATTTGAAAAGAAATAAACCGCTGTAGTTTATTTGTCACAATATATTTCCTGGAGACAATAAAAAATCTCAAGCTTGATCTATATATTAGGGAGAAAGAAATAGAAACTACATGCTCATGGGAATTTAGCTATAAACAAATACATCAGGGATGTTTATTTTAAAACACATTTTCTATCTTTTTGGTGGGTCTTTGATTCCTATTATAATACAAATGGTAGTTTGCAACTTTTCAGCAAGTGACCTCAAATTACACAGATCATGCATGTAAGAACAGAAAGATTTTAAAAAGCCTTGCTCTCTATAGCCTCATATTAACTATAAATAAATATATGCAAAAGCACTTCTTTCTGTATTTTGTCTCAACTCACTGATCTTCCTTACATGCCCCATATACTAGGTAAGAGAGAAAAAAACTAATTTTGTATCAACAATTTTAAATTTAATGGAGACAGATATAATCATTTAAATATTCTTATACTACTTGGGATTATATTTATCTATAAAGACAAAACAAAACAAAGCAAAATTCACAGATATGAACAGCATAGCAATTTCTTTTTCATCTATACAAAGTCAGAAAGTAAAGTGGCTAATATTTATGGTGGTGCCTTGATTCTCAGGGACCTGGACTCCTTCTATCTATCCTGAGGCTCTTCCAGTTTTCGAACTTGGGCACGTGGCCTTCTCAGGTAGAAAGGATTGGAAATTGTAGGAGTTTTGTTATTTTTGTGATTTTTTTTTAATGTGTATTTTTTTGGCTGTATGCAACATTAATAGTCAGAGACTCTATTTTAAAGGAGGGAAGAGTGGGTAGTGAAAGACAAATTGTATTTAGGTTCTCTAGGCAAGCATGTTTCTTCCCTTTGAGTTCATATTTATTTTCCCTTCCTTTCTGCAAAATAGGTATATATTTGAGTATGGGAGAAAAATCCAACTTAGGTCATCTTATAAAGACGAGACTATTTCTTTGACTACCATGTTAATGAGATGGAAAAGCTTTAAATTGCATGACAAATTTGATCTTAATGTGAAATGTCAACTGCTTTGTTCTAGTCAATGTAAACCCTCTCTGACTCCTATATACACAAAAAGCAAAGAAAAACGTGTTTTAACAAAGAGATTACAATACAATAGTTTAATATTTATAAAACTTACACCTGAAGCATATATAGTAGAATACATTTATACATTTAAGTATTAACTAATTCACAGTATCATTTTCCATTCATGTATTCAGTAAATAATTTTTCCTATTTTTATCAACATTTTTCAAATTGTTTTAATTTTGAACTACTTTTATTAATATATTACATTTATGAAAATACATATAAAATTGCCTAATAAAAAGGAACTTCTTAGGAAAGTTAACTACATGCTCCCGAAGAAAGTAATTTTGTTGATTCAAAATTCTGCTTTTAAAAAACCTTTAGATTATATATATGTTTATGTATATTACATATATATACAAATTTAAATTGTAATTATTATCCCTATCTCTAAAATGTATCTTTCCAAAATGTGCTAAATTCTAAAACTTTTTTCTTAATTATTATGTACTCAATTACATAAAGTGAGAGAAAGCTGATGAATATGAAAGGAATTGGGTCTACCCAAACTATCGATAAATTAATATATGAAAATTTTTCTGTAAGACAGTCCTGAAATTATTGAACAAAAATTAGAAAACACGTTCTTACTTTAAAAAAAACTTACTTGCATGTATATGTTATATATAGTTGTCGATTCATGAATGTCTGACTACAATTATGTTTTAGCAAATGATTTTTAAACATTATGCTTTTATTTTACATTTTTAAGATTTATTTTGTCATACATTTTTATCTTCTTACATTGAAAGTTTAATGTTTTATTTTCAATCTTTCTTGATTATTAAACATGAAAAGTATTCTGGCCACATTCCACTTTTTGATGAATGTAAACTCCCTTGTTTAGTCAATAATATCCTATAATTTCGATTTTGATTTATTCCAATAAATAGCAGTTTAGAAGCAGATGTAAAACTTACGTTTTCTGGTATGTGGATTTTTTTTTTCTATTTTTATTAGCTTTTGGTCACTGATAATGACCCATACAATGCCAACCCTTTGAATTTGTGTAGATTGTCAGATCTTTTATTAATGGTAATTATGTGTCAATCACTGTGTCATGTGTGTTTGAAAAGAGCACATTATTTTTGGTGGGAAGGTTGGATACAAACAGTACATGTTAATCGTAATTTTTTAAATGTTTTATATTTTGAGCCAGGCATGTTGGCTCAGGCCTGTTATCCCAGCACTTTGGGAGGCCGAGGTGGGTGGATCACCTGAGGTCAGGAGTTCAAGACCAGCCTGGCCAACATGGCAAAACACTGTATCTACTAGAAATACAAAAAATTAGCCAGGTGTGGTGGTGCTTGCCTGTAATCCCAGCTACTCAGGAGGCTGAGGCAAGAGAATCACTTGAACCGAAGAGGCAAAAGCTGAAGTGAGCCGAGATCATGCCACTCACTACACCCCAGCCTGGGTGACAGAGTCAGACTCCGTCTCAAAAAGTAAAATAAAACAAAATAAAATATATTTCCTATTTTGATTTTTGCTTAGCTACTTTATGACTGTTGAGGAAGTTATTTTAAATTTGCACACTTTATGAACTTAAGACTATCTCATTAAATTCTGTCTGTTTTGTTTAAGCTGTGGTGTGTGAAGACAAACTGTAGCATTGAGAATGAACACACAGACACTGGGTCAATACCATAAGCATCTAAAGACCTGTTGTACTATTCAAATTGGCAGCAAAATCACATACTTATTTTCTCAGTTTTCCTCTCTTCAAAGTAGGGATGATCATAGTAAGATCTAAATCATAGTGGTGATATGAAGACTAAATAAGTTGTTATTACTAAGGAACATAAAATAGGGCTTACACATAAAATGTGCTACGTAAATATTTATTAAATACAAGTATTAACAGTGCACTTGATTATCAATATTAATGATTGAAATAAACATTACATGGTGAGTTCCATTTCCTGGAAGATGGAATAGGTGTATTTATTCTATTCCTGCCACTAATTACATCTAAAACTCCTGGACAAAATATATAAACAAACATAGAAAGACTCTGAAAGATGGGATATAGTCAGCAGTTTGATAGGTATCTTGTTATTCAAAGAACAGAATACTGGTGATTTCCTTGGATTTTCTTTTGGCCTCATATACATTAGCCTGGTAGCTGCAGAAGCTGGCAATGCGAAAATGCCAACAGGCACAGACTAAAAAACTCCCCAACAAAACTTTCTCCCTCTTGGCAAAGACCAAAAAAGGGGCAGCCTACCACGATGGACAATGATAATATGGTTCACGCACACAGTGTCAATGGAAGCCTCTTGGGGAACCAGAAGTCCCACTCCTGCTTGGCAGTGACGAAATGATCCTGCCCCCTACCTTGGGTGTCAATGGCAGCTGGGTGGGAAACCTGAACTTCACCCTCCACTTGGACCAACGAAACAGCACACATATCCCTCTTCCCCTTCCCCTATTAGAGCAGTGTCAGAATCCAGCTCAAATGAAAGGTTTAGATAAGATCCATGACTTATAACTCATTTCCGTATTTCAATAAAAGTCACTTTTCATATCAAGACCCAGAAAGTTCTCAAAGTGAAAGAAAAAAAGCTAGCAATAGAACACCAAAATGACAGAGATAGTAGCTTTTTCTCATGAATGTGTTATATCGGTCATAAAAATGTTTCAAGGAGCAACCACAAACAGGCTTGAAACAAATGAAAAAAATAGAATGTCTCAGTCCAAAAAGTATCAGCCCCAAAATAGAGACATAAACAAGGGAAATAAAAAAATTTAAATTTATACAAAATACAAAAATTAAAATTAAAACAATACAACAGTGGATGGGCTTAAAAAAACAATGGGCAGGACAGAGGTAAGAATCAGTAAATAGGAAGACAGAAAAATAGAAATTACTCAATCTTAACTGAGAGAAAATAGACTAAAAAAGTATAATAAGCAGTACTTCAAGGACCTGGGAATGATAACAAAAAGCTAACTTTCGTATTATTGGAGCCCCATAGGAAAAAATAAATAAAAAGAAAGCAGGTAGGGCTGAGAAAATACTCAAAACCAATAATACTGACAGTGTCAAAAATTTAGCAAAGATATAAACCAGTGTTTTCAAGAAGCTAAGTAAACCCCAAATAGAACACACCCAAAGAAATACGAAACAAGGCAAATCATATGTAAACTTCTGAAAACTAAGAAAAAACACCACCAACGGAACAACACAATAGGAAACAGATCATAGATCCTATGACTATTAATAAAATGTAATTTGTAATTTTAAACCTACCAAAAAGGAAGTCTGTAGGCCCAGATGTTTCACTGGAGAATACTACTAAACACTTAAGAAAGAATTAATACCAATTTTATACATTTCTTTCAGAAAATAGAAGAAAAATACTTTACAATTTATTTCATAACATTAGTATTACCCTGATACAAAAACCAGATGAAGATGGTACATAATAAAATACAAATTAATATCCTTTAGAAATATAGATGCAAGCATCCTATAAAATGTAGCAAAAAGAATTCAACAATATATAAAAAGAATGATATACTGTGAAATTACGTACTGTGACCAAGTAGAATTTATTTCAGGAATGCAAAGCTGGTTCAATATTTGAAAATCAGTTAATGTAATCCACTGGGAAACAGGCTAAAGAAGAAAAATAATATCAACATATAAATTGATAAAGGAGAAGCATTCTACAAAATTTAAGATTCATTAATAATAAAAACTTTCAGAAAACTAGTAGATGGAAACTTCCTCAACGTAAATAAAGACCATCCACAAAAACCTAAATTATAACATTATCCTAATGGTGAGATACGGAACGCTTTTTCCCCTAAGATTGAGAACAGGGTCAGGATATTTATGTTTACCACTCCTATTTATGTTCACCACTTATATTATAGTGTGTGAGAGGTAACATATAAATACATGCATACATACATACAGATGAGACAGAATAAAAGCAAACTTTCTCTGTTTGCAGATGACATGATAATCTACGTAGAAAACACTGAAGAATCTAAAATCAAAACAAAACAAAACAAAAACCCAAAATGTTTGAGCTCATAAATGATTTTAGCAATGTCACAGGACATGCAAAAATCAGTTGTATGTATCTACACTAATGTAAAACTCATAGACACTGAAATTAAAAACATAATGCCATAGGTCATCATTCAAAAACAAAGAAATAACTGGGTGTAAAACTAACAAAACTCATACAAAACTTGTATGTAAAACTACAAAACACTGAGATAGTAAATCAAAGCTGATATAAGCAAATTGAGAGACATATGCTTACAGATTGGAAGATTAAA
Organism: Homo sapiens; assembly: GCF_000001405.40. Lineage (NCBI taxonomy): Eukaryota > Metazoa > Chordata > Mammalia > Primates > Hominidae > Homo > Homo sapiens. Next base: position 191,264,171 of record NC_000001.11, on the reverse strand, counting down.
AGACAACAGAGGTGAAAATTTTCTCCCAAATCAACATTCTGGTTTAACACAATTTCTGTAAAATATCTCATCATGATTTTTGTAGATACAGACAAAAATATTATAAAATATACATGGAAATACAAAGAAAGTAAAGTAGCTAAAACAGTGTTGAAAAAATTAAAGTGGGAGGAAGTAGTCTGATTTAAAGACTTATTCTATACTATAATAATTAAGACAAGATAGTATAGGTGGAAGCAAAGACACACAAATCAGTGCCACTGTATAGGGAACCCAGAAATGGACCCACACAAATGTACCAAAATGATTTATGACAAATGTGCAAAAATAAGTCAGTGGAGGAAAGATATCCTTTCAACAAATGGTGGTGGAGCAAATGAATATCAATAAGCAAAAAATAATAATAAGTAAAAATGAGAGAAAAAGTGAAAAAAAGAAAGAGAGAGAGAAAGAAAGAAAATAAATTTTAAAAAGACAGAGCTTAACCTAAGTTACATAGCCTATACAATAATCAATTCAAAATTGATTCTGGATAAAATATAAAACTATAAAACTTTTAGAACAAAAAAAAGAGAGAGAAAATATTTAGTATCTAGGACTAGTCACACTTCTTAGACTTGGTACTAAAATCACAAACCATAATAAAGATAAACGGACCTCATCAAAATTAAAAACTTCTACTCTGTAACTATGAAAACTAAACCATTTAACTTGAAAATTAGGCAAATACAGGAAAAGACATGTCACCAAGTAAGATATACAGAAGGCAAATAAACACATAAAGAGTAATCCAACATCATTAGTTATTAGGGAAATGCAAATTAAAATCACAATGACATATCACTATGCACTTATCAGAATAGTTAAAATTAGATACAAAAACACCAGCAATTAATGTTTAAATGCTGTTCAGGATGTAGAGAAACTGCTTATAAGGAAGTAAAATAGTACAGCAAAGCTGGCAGTTCCTTGAAAACAAACAAACAAACCTGCAACTCCCCTATGATCCAGCAGTTGTATTTCTGGGCATTTATTCTGGTAAAATTGAATCTTATGTTCACATAAAAACTTGTAAATGAATGTTTATGGAAACTTTATTTATAATAGTCAAAAGCCATAAACAAACCAAACGTCTTCTAAAAGATGAATGGTTGAAGAAAATGTGATACATCAATACCGTGGAAGGCTGCGGGACAATAAAAAGAACAAACTAAACAACACTCTACCTACATCACCAGGGAAATAGTTTCAGTAAAAACACAAACAAACAAAAACAGTGTTATCATTCTCATGCCTTTGCATCCTCATAGCTTAGCTCCCACATGTAAGTGAGAACATAAGATGTTTGGTTTTCCATGCCTGAGTTACTTCACTTAGAATAATAGTCTCCAGTTCCATCCAGGCTGCTGAGAATAGCATTATTTCATTCTTTTTTATGGCTGAGTTGTATTCCATGGTGGGTGTGTGTGTATGTGTATATATATATAGTGTATATCTAGTTATCTATCTCTCTATGTACACATATACATACCACATTTTCTTTATCCACTCATTGATGGGCATTTGGGCTTTGGGAACTTAGAGGAAAGGGTGGAGAGTGGATAGGGATAAAAGAATACACATTGGGTACCGTGTACACTGCTCAGGTAATGGGTGCACCAAAATCTCAGAAATCACCACTAAAGAACTTATTCATGTAACCAAACACCAGCTGTTCCCCAAAACCTATTAACATTTAAAAAAATTAAAAAATATTAATCACAATGTTTGATACCTTTATTTCCAGAATATAGAACATAACATATTGACCAAGTGTCTGGAGAAGCACATACTGGTTATCTCTATGTGGATTCACTCATCACTCATCAGCATTATCACTGCAGAATGTGTGAGCATCAGCATGGAAACAGGAAAAAAAAATAACTCTGAGACACATCAAATATTCCATGAGTTAACCTGTGAACTTCATTATCATTTCTCATTTCTCATTACTAGAGGGAATCTCAGACTCAGAATTTTAGAGACAGATCCTAAGACTTATCTAGTACCGGAATGGCAAAAAGATCTTGTCCCTTGTTCCAATGTTGAACTATTGGTAGCTGTTGGGTGGGTTCTTGTGTTGAGAAAGATGGCGACACAATGCCTAGACTAAGCAGACTGGGCACTGCTATCAATAGTGATGTCCATAATGGATGTGTGAGAGGAAGGCTATGACAGAAGATGGGTCAGTAATTGTTGTGCCTTATCTAGTCCCTTATAACAGTGGTTGTCAACATAGGTGTAAAAAAAAGCTGACATCAAAAGGCTACTTATTGTATAATCTCGTTCTGTCAGTCTTGGAGTAAGATTTGTAGAAATGAAGAATAGATTAGTGGTTGCCAAGAGTTAAGAGAAACACAGAAGAACTTTTTGGTAAAAAATATTTCTGTATTTTAATTGCATCAATATCAATATGCTGCTTGTGATATTATACTAGGTTTTACAAAATGCTACCTTTGGAAGAAATTGACTAAAGGGTGCATGGGATATATCTTTAGTAATTCCTACTACTGCACCTGCATCTACAATTATTACAAAATAAAATGTTTAGTAAAAAAAAGAAAAAAGTAAGCAAGAAGAGTAGATGAAAGGTGAGAGAAGAAATTATTTATAATCAATTATGTCAGATACTGCCGATAATTTCACTAGAACAAGGAAGGAGAAATAACAATTTTACTTATCATCAGGTAGGTCATTAATAACAATGAAAATACAATGACAATAAAAGTTTTTATAAAGTGATAACCAAAGTCTAATTGTAGTGATCGTAGTGTAAAACAGGAGAGGAACTGGAAGTTAGATCTATAAATAACTAATTTGAGGATGTCTGATGCAAAGTGAAACAAGAAGTCATAAGTGACAGGATAAGTGATATGAAGATAAATAAATATTTTTAAGACTAAAGAAATTATTGCCACTTTTTTTCTGATGGTTTTATTTAGAAGAGAATCAAAAATAGGGCCGGGAGTAGTGGCTCACATCTGTAATACCAGAACTTTGGGAGGCCGAAGTGAGTGGATTGTCTGAGGCCAGGAGTTTGAGACCAGCCTGGCCAACATGCTGAAACCCATCTCTACTACGAATACGAAAATTAGCCAGGTGTGGTGTCATGCAACTACAGTCTCAGCTACTCAGGAGGTGGAGGCAAGAGAATCTCTTCAACCTGGGAGGCAAAAGTTGCAGTGAGCTGAGATGGCTTCACTATATACTATGCACTCTAGCCTGGGTGATAGGGCAAGACTCTGTCTCAAAAAAAAATAAAAATTAAAAAAAAAAAAAAAATATATATATATATATATATATATATGGAGAGAATCAAGAACAGATTGAGAAATATCAGAGAGTAGAAAATGAGATCTGGGAACAAGTGTTCTTGAATGGATGCTCTTCAGCTGGAAGCATAGAATGTTCATTTATAAGTAGCAAGAAAAATTCCAGAAGAGGATGTGGGTACAAATGCTGGTTAGGGTGCAATTGGTATTGGAATCTATTTCAACATTCTCACTCATACAGGAATAAACAGCATCAGCAGATAGTGGCGACTGTGTCGGGAAAGACTGAAGAGAGAGATGGCAGTGTGAAAATATTATTTAAGAGAATAAGGGAATAAATTGACTATGAAAGTATAGAGAAATTATAATGTAGGATACTAATATAGTACTTTAAAGTTCTGTTCTGATTGAGCTAATAACTCTTTTACAGGTAGAAATACTTCATCTGGTTGAGATTATCTCTCTTTTATGGTGTCCATTTTTCTCAGATATTTGATGATTTTTTTGATTAGGCACTCATTTATGCATTTGAAATTAGCTAGTAGACTGCCTGCATTTTGACGGTAAATGTCTTTTATGTTCCATAACAACAGTAGCAGATGTCCTCTGGAGATAAGCTTTGGATATTTTTAAACTACTTAAAAAGATGTTAAGTCTTGCTTAGGGCAAAACTGCCTTTGAAATATAGTGTCACTCTGTCACAATTGTTGAAATGGTACATGCTTATAAGAATGAAGAGATATTTTATGTTATTAGAAAACTGGTAATGCACATTATGCTAATGTCATCCAGTAAATGAAATAAATAGCATTTTAATTATTCAGGTAAAATATTACCTCTCTGCTGAGAAGTGTTGTCAGCCATATGTTGAATTACCAGCCTTAGTTTTACGTGCAAGTAACACAGTTGAAGCTAAAAAAAAAAAAAAAGAAGTTTTTTGAAGTGAAATCTAGTCAAATTGATTTTTAACTTAAAGATGTTAATCTAACATTTATGTCATTGCTGCAAGAGTTAAAGGCATAATTCTATTCAGCTTTTCTCAAATATTGAGAAATATTCAATTGACTTTTTATTCAACCTCTGCACTGCCAATAACTATCCAAAGGTAATCCTTATCATCATCTTAAGAGCAGAATGGCTTGAACTGGTTGTTTATGCTGACAGAATTGCAATATTTTTAGGTGGAAGAGTTTTAGAGATGACTCAATTCAACTTCATACATTTATGGGGAAAAAATAAGTTTGTGTAATCATTTGGCCAGTTAGCAATGGGAAAATGAAAAAAGCCCGTAAGAAATTCTACTTTATCTCTTCTTTAATCAATTCTATAGGCTCAGCTGTTGCAAAATGGCATTACATTAATTTTGATCGGGGGACTCAAGAAATCGTGCAACTTTTACTCTCACTATGATAACAAATGCTTCCCCTGTAAAGGAGTCTCTTTGAAAACACAAAAACAAAATTTTCTAACATATACATGAGATTGGGCTATTGTGCAGGTAGATACAAATCCTTTTGGAAAATGAAGATACCTCAACATATGAACAGCCAACTTCCAGACATGACTGAAGTCATGTGGACCAGACAATCCCCAGCTAACTGAAAAGACCATAGACATAAGAGGAAAATTTTCTTTTCCTTTTTTTTTTTTTTTTTTTTTTGCCAAGAAAGATGAGAATTTATTCTTTTCTTTTTTCTACTTTGAGGGTTTTCTTTCTTTTTTTAAATTATTATTATACTTTAAGTTTTAGGGTACATGTACACAACGTGCAGGTTTGTTACCTATGTATACATGTGCCATGTTGGTGTGCTGCACCCATTAACTCATCATTTAGCATTAGGTATATCACCTAATGCTATCCCTCCCCCCTCCCCCCACCCCACAACAGTCCCTGCTGTGTGATGTTCCCCTTCCTGTGTCCATGTGTTCTCATGGTTCAATTCCCACCTGTGAGTGAGAACATGCGGTGTTTGTTTTTTTGTCCTTGTGATAGTTTGCTGAGAATGATGGTTTCTAGCTTCATCCATGTCCCTACAAGGGACATGAACTCATCATTTTTTATGACTGCATAGTATTCCATGGTGTATATGTGCCACATTTTCTTAATCCAGTCTATCATTGTGGGACATTTGGGTTGGTTCCAAGTATTTGCTATTGTGAATAGTGCTGCAATAATCGTATGTGTGCATGTGTCTTTATAACAGCATGATTTATAATCCTTTGGGTATATACCCAGTAATGGGATGGCTGGGTCAAATGGTATTTCTAGTTCTAGATCCCTGAGAAATCGCCACACTGACTTCCACGATGGTTGAACTAGTTTACAGTCCCACCAACAGTGTAAAAGTGTTCCTGTTTCTCCACATCCTCTCCAGCAACTGTTGTTTCCTGACTTTTTAATGATCGCCTTTCTAACTGGTGTGAGATGGTATCTCATTGTGGTTTTGATTTGCATTTCTCTGATGGCCAATGATGACGAGCATTAACCTACTCATCTGACAAAGGGCTAATATCCAGAATCTACAATGAACTCAGACAAATTTACAAGAAAAAACAAACAACCCCATCAAAAAGTGGGCGAAGGTTATGAACAGACACTTCTCAAAAGAAGACATTTATGCAGCCAAAAAACACATGAAAAAATGCTCATCATCACTGGCCATAAGAGCAAAATTTTCTAAGATCAGGTGGAGCCTGTCTAGATCAGAATTACTCAACAAAATCAGAAGCCAAATAAATGCATTTTGCTTTAAGAGACTACATTTTGTAGATTTTTTTAATGCAACAATAGAAAATTGAAAGCAATTTCTTACATATAAGTAAATATAATTAGCAATAAATGTTGGGCACAATTAGTCTAAAATACAGTGAACTTTTTGGAGGATAAACATTGTCACTCAAGAACATAGTAGTATTATAGTAGAAGACTGGTATTAATAGCTTGCCTGAGATAGTGTGAGGCAGTAATATATATCAGGCTAGAATTCTACAATCATCAGAAAATCTAAATGTATTTTTAAAACTCATGAAAAATAAACCAGTTTTCAGATAAATTGAAACAGAGAAAATTTATTGCCAGCAAAAATACTTTATGGGAAATATTTTTAAAAGTTATGTAGGTAGCTTGGCTTCACAAAAAGAAATAAATAATTCTGGAGATAAAACAAAAAATAAAGTAAAATAAAGCTTTTATTGTTTTAATTGTTCTAAAATATAACTGTTAAAGCAAAAATAGTAGCGCTATATCGTGTTTATAGAATATGTGAAAGTAAAATGTAAGACAACAATAAAAAAGAATGGGAGAAGAGAATTTGCTATACAGATTTATAAGGTTTTTACACTACTAGTGAAATGGTATAATAAAATTTCAAGATCAACCCCAATTTATGAAGTTATTGTCATACATTGCAAGCCCCAAATAAAACATTTTTAAAAGAGGTATAAAGTATAAAGATAAAATGGAATTTTAAAAGCTCCATTAACACAAAGGATGGCAAAAGACAGGAAATTAAAAAATTGGACAGAAAAAAAGAGAAAATGGGTAATAAGATGGTATATTTTAATTCAATCATGTTAAAAAATCACCATGTAAATGGTTAAAAGACATAGATTATATGGTAGAATGAAAAAGATAAATTATCTCTAGAAACACATTTTTATTGTGTTGAAATATACGTAACATAAATTTATGATTTTAACCATTTATAACTTCACAGATCAGTGGTATTAAGTGCATTCACATTGTTGTGCAATCATAGCCACCATGCATCTCCAGAATTTGTATCATCTCCCCAAACTAAAACTCAATGCCCATGAAATACAACTTCCCTTCTCTGCCCCTAGGCTCTGAAAACCACCCTTCTACTTTCTGTCTCTATAAATTTGGCTAAACTAGAAACCTCATATTAGTGGAATCATACAATATCTAGGGTTTTATTGTGACTGTCTGAATTCACTTAGTATAATGTCTTCAAAGTCCATCCATTTGTAACATGTATCAGAGTTGCCTTCCTCTTTAAGAATGAATAATACCCCATTGGATTTAAATACTACATTTTCTTATACATCAATCCTTAAATGGACACTTGGGTTTCTTTTCCTTTCTGGCTATAATGAATAATGCTGGTATAAACATAAATGTACAAATATTTGAGTCCCTGCTTTCAACTATTGTAAGTCTATCTACCCAGCAGTAAAACTGTTGTATCATATGGTAATTCTGTTTATTTTTTGAGGCACTGCCATAGTTTTTCACATAGTGACTGCAGCATTTCACATTTTCACCAGCAATGCATAGGAGTTCCAATTTCTCCATATCCTTCCCAGCACTTTTCATTTTCTGTTTGTTTGTTTTTGATAATAGTCTTTCTAATGGGTATCTCATGGTATGTCATCATAATTTTGATTTGCATTCCTCTAATTATTGGGATGCTGACCTTTTGTTGATATATTTATTGGCCATTTTCCTATCTTGTTTGGATATGCATCTACTTAAATGCTATGTCTACATTTTAATACGGTTGTTTAGTCATTTATTTGAAGAGATTTTTATGTAGTCTGAATATTGATCCTTTATTATATATACAACTGTCCCTCAGTGTCCATGGGGGATTGGTTCCAAAATCCATGGATACAAAAATCTACAGAAGCTCAAGTCCCTTATAAAATAGTGTAGTCCAAAGGAGATGACTGAATAGAACCTTCCAGTGATTTCCCCACACAGGAAAACAAATTAAACAGCATTTAAACAACTATCCATAAAACAAAGCATCTTCATAAAACCAAAAATAATGTGAGCAATCATAGAACCTGGTTTAACATAATAACAAGAAAAGATGCATTGAACAGAGGAGGAAGAACAGTCTTGCGTTGTCTATAACCACTCCTCTTGCAACCCAAGACAGCACAGCCTGTAGAAAGAATCTATGTGTTTGGGAGAGGGAGAGAAAAGTGAGTGTGGTACTTTGCATTGAAACTCAATGATGCATGGTCAAAGTAGAACACAATACTGAATAGAATTCTGCAGTGTCCAAGAAGGGAGCATTTAGACCTGCCTGGGCCAGAGAGGAATCCTTTGTCTCAGCAGGAGGCACTCAAGTTGAAGATGCCTCACAACCAACTAACTAAAGTGGCTGGTTTTTAATTTACTGTGGCGGAGCTGGGACTCACATTGCAAGACTGAGTCCTCTGTTCTTTTTCTTCTCCTTCACCCAGATAAAAAATATCTCTTACTGTGCTGTACCACCTGTAGCTGGAAATGAGGTAATGCAGACACACACATAGCCACAGAAACTGGTGTCACAGTGGATTGCATACCATAACCACTTCCTCTGAGAGCAGCACAGCACTAGAGCTTGCCCACAGAATGCATTTTTGGGCTTAGGGTACCGCCTAATGCTAAAATGGATGGAGTGACCACAGGCTTATGTCACAAAAACAATGTCTCTTGAATTATTGAATAGCCCTCTCAAGAGGAATGAGTACACACAAGCCCAGATGGCAATAATGGAATAAATACCCAATGTTTCAGTGCCCAGATCTTGATGCATATCCACAAGTGTCAAAAACATTCAGGAAAATATGACCTCACCAAACAGACTAGATATGACACCAGTGACTAATCCTGAAGTGCGGAAAATAGATGATCTCTCAGACAGGGAATTTAAAATTTCTGCCTAAAGGAACTCAACAAACCAAGATAGCAGAGAGAATTCAGAATTCTATTAGAGCAATTTTACAAAGAGATTAAAATAATTTTTAAAAAGCAAGCAGAAACTATGGAGCTAAAAATTCAATTGATAAATTTAAAAATGCATTAAAGTATCTCAACAGCAGAATTGTTCAAGCAAAAGAAACAATTAGTAAGCTAAAGATGGTCTATATGAAGAATCACAAAAGAAAAATAAGAAAAAAGAATGAAGTACACCTACAAAATCCAGAGAATAGCCTCAAGAGGGCAATCTAAGGGTTATTGTCCTTAAAGAGGATGTAGCAAAAGAGATCAATGTAGACAGTTTATTTGAACAAAGGCTAACAGAGAAATTCCCAAACCTAGAGAAAGAGATGACTATCGAGGTATAAGAAGGTCAAAGAAAGCTAAAAGGATTCAAACCAAATAAGACTACTCAAAATGTATAATAATCAAACTCTCAAGGGTCAAGGATAATGAAAGGATCCTAAGAGCAGTGAAAGAAAAGGAGCAAATAATATATAAAGTAGCTTTGATACATCTGACAGCAGACTTCTAGACAGAAACCTTAAGGGCAGGAGGGAGTGTGATGATATATTCAAAGTGCTGGGGGACAAACAAACAAAAAAACAAAAAACCTTCCAACATAGAATATTAAAACCAACAAGGAAATCTTCAAACATAAAAGTGAAATACTTTTCCAGACCAAAGAAAAAAAGCTGAATGATTTTATCAGCATTAAACCTTACAAGAAATGCTAAAGGAATTATTCGATTATAAAAAAGGAAGCTAACATGAAAGAATAAGTGATTTGAAGTTATAAAACTCACTGATAAAAAATAATTACACATAAAATACATAATAACCCAGTAATTTCAGTGTGTAAACCATTCATATCTTTAGTAGGAAGACTAAAAGCAAAAGCAATCAAAAATTATAACTACAACAATTTGTAAAGAGATGGACAAAATGAAGAGACAACAAAAAGAAAAAAATAGGAAGGGAATGGAGAATTGAGTTAAAAAGTAGAGATTTTTAGTTTTCTTTTTGCTTGTTTTCTTTCTATTTTTCCTTTTCTTTGTGATCAGAACTAAGTTTGTCACCAGTTTAAAATAACTGACTACAAAATGTCATTTGTAAGTGTCATGGAAGCAACAAAGCAAAAAACCTATAATAGATATGAAAATATAAAAAAACAAGAAGTTAAAACATACTATCAGACAAACTTACACACAAAGGAACACAGGAAGGGCAGAATAAAGACTAGCAATACGACCAGCAGACAAATAACAAAATGGCAATAGTGAGTCATTACCTATTAATAATTACCTTAAATATAAATAGGCTAAATTCTCCAGTTGAAAGGCATACGGTGGCTGCATAGATTAAAAAAAATAAGAAATTTTTTAAAAACAAGGCTTAACTGTACGTATGCTGCCTACAAGAAACTCACTTCACCCTTAAAGACACACATAGACTGAAAATGAAAGGATGCAAAAAGATAGTCCGTGCAAATGGAAACCAAAAACAAGTAGCTATACTTACATCAAATAAAATAGATTTAAAGACAAAAACAGTAAAAAAAAGACAAAGAAGGTCATTGTAGAATGATAAAGGGGTCAATCTGGCAAGAGAATTTAACAATTGTAAATATATGTGTACCTAACACTGGAGAACTCAGATATATAAAAAAGTATTATTAGGGCTAAAGAGAGATATCTACCCCAGTACAGTAATAGATGGGGACTTCAACACTCCTCTTTGAGCTCTGGTTAGATCCATCTAGACAGAAAATTGACACAGAAACATTGGACTTAATCTTCACTTAGAACAAATGGATGTAGTAGACATGTACAGAATATAACATCCAATTGCTATGGAATAAACATTCTCCTCAGCAAAAGGAAGATTGCCAAAGATAGACCACATGTTAATCCATAAAACAAGTTTCAAAAAAGTGAAATCATATTAAGTATTTTTTTCTGAGCCCAGTGAAATAAAACTAGATATTAATAATAACAGGAACTTAGGAAACTATACAAATACATAGAAATTCAACAATATGTTCTTGAATGACCATTGAATCAATGAAAAAAATTAAGAAGAATATTTACATAAAATTACTGAAACAAATGAAAATGAAAACACAACATACAAAAACCTATATATGCAGCAAACTCAGTACTAACCAGGAAGGTTTTAGCAATGCCTACATCAAAAAAGGAGGAGGATTTCAAATAACATAACAATGCATCTTAAAGAAGTAGAAGAGCAAGAGCAAACCAAATCAAAAGTTAATGGAATAAAAGAAATAAGATCAGAGCAGCAATATATGAAATGAATACAAAAATTATACAAAAGATCTGTTATGTGAAAAGTTGTTTTTTTTTAAGATAAACAAAATCGACCAACCATTAGCCAACCTAAGAGAAAAAGAGAGGAGATCCAAATAAAACAAGAGGCAAGAAAGGAGGCATTACAATTGATATCACAGAAATTCAAAGAATCATTAGAGACTACCATTAGCAACTATGTACCACTAAATTTGAAAACTTAGAGGTAATGGATAAATTTCTAAACACATACCACCTACCAAGAATGAACCATGAAGAAATATAAAACCTGAATCGATCAATATTAAGTAACAAGATAGAACTATGAATAAAATGTCTCCCATCAAAGAATAGCCAAGGACCTGGTGAATTTACTGCTGAATTTTACCAAATACTTAAAGAAGAACTAATATCATTTCTACTGACGCTATTAAAAAATCCAGGAGGAGGAAATACTTCCAAACTAATTATATGAGGTCAGTATTACACTGATAATGAAAGCAGACAAAGACATAACAAAAAAAGAAATCTACAAGCTGATATTACTGATGAACAAATATGCAAATATCCTCAACAAAATACTAGCAAACCAAATTCAACAACACATTAAAAGATCATTAAAAATGACCAGTGGGATTTATTCATGGGATTTAAGGTCTGTTAAACATACACAAATCAACAAATGTGATCCGTTACATGAACAACCTGAAGGACAAAAATGATATGATCATTTCAATAGTTGCTAAACAAAAACATTCAATAAAACTCAGCATCTTCTTATGATAAAAACTCTCAATATACTGGGTGTAGGAGGAACATACCTCAACCTGATACAGGCCAGATGTGACAAACCCACAGCTAGTAAACTGACCAGGAAAAAACGGAGTCTTTCCTGTAAGATCTGGAACAAGACAAGAATGTCCACTTTCACCACTTTTATTCAACGTTGTACTAGAAGTCAGAACCAGAGCAATTAGACAAGAGAAAGAAATGAAAGGAATTCAAATTGGGAAAGAAGACATCAAATTATCCTTATTGCAATGATCTTATATTTAGGAAAACATAAAGACTCCACCAAAACAGCCAGTAGAACCGATAAAGTCAGTCAAGTTGTAAGATACAAAATCAACATATGAAAATCCATACCATTTTATATACCAACAGTGAACAATCTGAGAAAGAAACCAATAAAGTAATCTAATTTATGATAGCTACAGGTAAATAAAATACCTCACAATAAACATAAGCAAAGGAGTAAAGTATTTCTACAATAAAATCTATAAAACACTTATATAAGAAATTGAAAAGGATATAAAAAATGGAAAGATATTCTCTTTCATGAATTGAAAGGATCGATATGGTTAAACTGTCCATAGTACCCAAATTGTTCTACAGAGTCAGTGTACTCCATATCAAAATGTCAATGACATTTTCACAGAAATAGAAAAAAAAATTCTAAAATACATATGAAAACACAATTGACCCAGAATAGCCAAAGCAATTTTGGGCCAAAAGAAGAAAGCTGGAGGCATCACGTTACCTAACCTCAAATTATACTAGAAAGTTACAGTGACCAAAACAGCACGATACTGGCAATACAATGGACATACAGGCTAATGAAACAGAATAGAGAACTTAAATAAATCTGCACGCCTAAAATGCACTAATTTTTGACAAAGGCGCCAAGAGCATACTTTGGGGAAAGAGCAGTCTCTTCAGTAAATGATATTAGGAAAAGTGGATATCCATCTGCAGAGAACGAAACTGGGTTTCTATCTCTCACCATACACAAAAATCAAATCAAAGTAGATTAAAGATTTAAATATAAGATTTGTAACTCTAAAAATTCTAGAAGAAAACATTGGGGAACACTCCAGTACATTGGTCTGGGCAAAGAGTTTTTGTGTAAGATCTCAAAAACACAGATAAAGCAAAAATTGACCAATGTGATCACATCAAGAGAAAATCTCCAAACAGAGAAACAATTAACAAAGCTGCAGACGGAATCTACATAATGGGAGAAAATATTTGCAAACTGCTCGTCTGAAAAAGGATTAATAATCCGAATATATGAGAAACAAACAACTCAATAGCAGAAAAAAATAATTTGGTTAAAAATGTCCCAGAAATCTAAACAAACATTTCTCTCTCTAAAAAAAAATGCAAACTGCCAACAGGTATATAAAAAATTTTCAAAATTAGTAATCATCAGAAAAATGAAAATTAGGAAAACAATGTGATATTACCTCACCCAGTTAAAATGGCTCTTACCAAAAAGACAAGAAGTAATTAATGTTGGTGAAGATGAGAAGAAAAGGAAACTCTCCTACACTGTTGGTAGAAATGTGAATTAGTATAGCCACTATGGTAAACAATATAGAGGTTCCAGAAAAAACTTAACATAGAACTGCCATATGATCCAGCAATCCCACTGATGGGTATATATCTGAAATAAAGGAAATCTGTATATCAAAGAGATATTTGCACTCCCATGTTTATTGCCTTACTTTCACAATAGTAAAGATATGGAAGTAACTTTAGTGTCCATCAATGAAGGACACTTTATCAATGAATGGATAAAGAAAATATGGTACACATACACAATAGAATACTATTCAGCCATAAAAGTAATGAAATTCTGTCATTTGCAACAACGTAGATCAACCTGGAAGACATTATGTTAAGTGAAATAAGTCAGGCACAGAAAGACAAATATCCTATATCTCATGTTCTCACTCATACATGGGAGCTAAAAAAAAATGACCTCATGGATATAGAGAGTAGAATGATGGTCACCAGGAACTCTGAAGAATAGTGGGAATGTGAAATAAAGAGGGCTTAATTAATGAGTATAAAAATAGTTAGAAGGAAAAAGATCCAATGTTCAGTTGCACAATAGTACTGCTATAGCTAACATGTTATGGCATATTTAAAAATAACTAGAAGAGGGGAAATGGAAAGTTTCAAATACAAATAAATGATAAACGTTTGAAGTTACATATATCCCAATTACCCTCGTTTTATCATTATATATTGTATGCTAGTATCACAATATCAAATATACTCCATAAATATTTACAACTGTTATGCTGCCATAAAATAAAAAAAATGAAGAACTACCTCAAAAAGTAAAGTTGTGTGATATTTGAATATATACTACACACATCTTTCCATACACTTAATCTCTAAATTACTGATAATGCCTAATATCATGTAAATGCCATGCAAATATTGTTATACTGTATTGTTTATAAAACAATGACAAGAGAAAACAAGTCTGAACAAGTTAAGTACAACACATAATAAAACATATATTTTCAACATGTGGTTGGTCGTAGAAGGCCAACCACAAGTGATTTGCAATTTTTTTCTCTTGCCATGCATTGTCCTTTCCCTGTTAATCGATTCCTTTGATGTATAATTTTAAATTTGAAATTCTGTTACCCACTTTTTAAAATTCTATTGCGTGTGCTTTTAATGTCATATTTAAGAAATCATTGCTAAATCCAATGTCGTGAAGGTTTTTTCATTATATTTTCTTTTAAGAATTTATATTTCAAGACTTGGATATATTTAGAGTTAATATTTGCATATGGTGTAAATTGAGGATCCAGCCTGTATTCTCTGTGTATAACTGGTTTCCTCAACACCATGAGTTGAATAAAATGTATTTTTCCACTGAATAGTCTTGGATCTCTTGTAAAAAATTATTTAACCACATATGTGAGGGTTTATTTTGTGATGTCTATTATATCCCATAGATCTGTATGTCTGTCTTTATCCCAATACCACGCTGTTATGATTACTGTATACTTTTGTAGTACAATTTGAATTCAGAAAGTGTAAGACATCCAATTTTTTCTTCTTTTTCAATGCTTTTGGTTAAAACCCAATTTTTAATGTATAAACATAGATAGTTTAAAAAAAAAGAAAAGGAGGGAGAAAGAATTATCATACCAACACAACCAAATGAAAACTGGAATAGCTACATTACTATCCAAAAGTAGACTTTATTAAAAATATGAAGGATAAAGAAGAATATAGCACAAAGAATGAGGGATCAATTCTCCAAGAAGAAATAAGAATGCTATATGTGTGTGGAACTAACAACAAAAGACTTGAAAACAATTTTAGATGAACTATACATAGATGAAATTAATACCACAAAATGCGCAAAACCAGGAGGAAAATCTATATGTCTTAAGTACACATGTAACATTCACCAAGATAGGCTATATTCTAGGGCATAAATAAGATTTTTCACAATTTTAAATAATTAAAATTATGCAAAGTATATTTGCAGGTGAAAAAGGAATTTAAATCATTGAGTAAAGGGTATATTTATAATATAAAAACACTTGAAAATTAAGTACACACTTCTAATTATTCTCTGGCTTGAAGTCACAAGAACATCATAAAATATTTTATAATAATTAAAAATGAAAACAGCATATTAAAATTTTTAAGAATCAGCTAGAGCAGTGCTAAGAGGGCAATTTTAAAAGTAATGCTTATATTTGAAAAAGTAATGTCTTAAATCAATAAGCAAAGTTTTACTTTGAAAATAGAAAAAGAAGAAAAATTTACCCTAAAGCAAGCAGAAAAAAATGGAGAAATAAAAAATTAAGAACAAAAAAAAAACATAGTTGTGAACAAAACACAAATTACAAATGTAGGTAATTCAATACATAGTATCACCACTGACCCTAAAGTTGCTACAAAAGTCATTATTATGAGGTACTGAAAACAAATCTATACCCACAAATTGATGACTTTGATAAAATGGACACATCTGTTGAAAGACCCACCCTTCTAAAGATAACTCAAAAAGAAAGAGACATTTGAATAGTCCCATATCTATTAAAGCAAGTAAATCGATACTAGAAACTTTCCAGCAGGGAAAACTGCAGGCTCAGATGGCTTCACTTGCAAATTCTACCAGTCATTTAAAAAAAATATCAATTTTGCACATTTTGTTTCAGAACAAAGGAAAGTAGTCTAACTCATTTCAGGAGACTAGCATTACTTTGATGTGAAAAATGAAAACAATATATTAGAAAAGCAAATTTCCATGCACTTGAGTGGTTTTGAGTGAGTTTCTTAATATTGTGTTCTAATTTGACTGTGCTGTGATCTGAGAGACTTTTTGTTATTATTTTAGTTCCTTTGCATTTGCTGAGGAGTGTTTTCCTTCCAGTTATGTAATCAATTTTAGAGTATGTGCTATGTGCCAATGAGAAGAATATATATTCTGTTGTTTTGGCAGGGAGAGTTCTGTAGATATCTGTCATGTCCACTTGATTTCAGAACTGAGTTCAGGTCCTGCACATCTCTCTTAATTTTCTGTCTTGACGATCTGTCTCATGTTGTTAGTGGGCTGTTAAGCTCTTCCACTATTATTGTGTGGAAGTCCAAGTCTCTTTGAAGGTCTCTAAGAACTTGATTTATGAATCTGGGTGCTCCTGGGTTCATGTACATTTGGGATAGTTAGCTCTTCTTGTTGAATTGAACCCTTTCCCATTATATAATGTCCTTCTTTGACTTTTTGTTTTTTAATCTTTTTTGGTTTAAAGTCTGTTTTGTCAGAAACTAGGATTTCAACCCCTGCTTTTGTCTGTTTTCCATTTGTTTGGTAAATTTTCCTCCATCCCTTTATTTTGAGTCTATTGGTATTTTTGCATGTGAGGTGTATCTCTTGAAGACAACACATTGATGGAACTTTACTCTTTATCTAGCTTGCCATTCTGTGTATTTTAATTGAGCATTTAGCCCATTTATATTTAAGGTTAATATTGATATGTGTGAATTTGATCTTGTCATCATGATGCTGGCTGGTTATATTTGCGGGCTTGTATCCTTTGTGTGTTTTTATAGTGGCTGGTAATAGTTTTGCCTTTCCATATTTAGTGCTTCCTTCAGCAGCTCTTGCAAGGCAGGCCTGTTGGTGATGAATTCGAATTCCCTCAACATTTGCTTGTCTGAAAAAGATCTTTTTCCTTCACTTACGCAGCTTAGTTTGCCAGATATGGAAATCTGGGTTGGAAAGTCTTTTCTTTAAGAAGGTTGAATATTGGCCCCCAATCTCCTCTGGCTTGTAGGGTTTCCAATGAGCAGTCCACTGTTTGTCTGATGGGCTTCCCTTTGCAGGTGACCTGGCCTTTCTCTCTGGCTGCCCTTAACATTTTTTCCTTCATTTCAACCTTAGAGAATCTGCTGATTATGTGTCTTGGGTGTGATCTTCTCACAGAGTATGGAGTATCTTACTAAGGTTCTTTGCTAGCATTCCTACACACCAACAATAGGCACACAGAGAGCCAAATTATGCATGAACTTTTATTCACATTTTCTACAAAGAGAATAAAATACCTAGGAATACATCTAACAAGGGAAGTGAAGGATCTCTTCAAGGAGATCTACAAACCACTGCTCAAGGAAATCAGAGGGGACACAAACAAATGGAAAAATATTTCCTGCTTATGGATATGAAGAATCAATATTGTGAAAATAGTCATAATGCTCAAAGTAATTGATAGATTCAATGCTATTCCTATTAAACTACCAGTAACATTCTTCATAGAATTAGAAAACACTATTTTAAAATTTATATGCAACTAAACAAGAGCCTGAATAGCCAAGACAACCTTAAACAAAATGAACAAAGCTGGAGTATCATGCTACCTAACTTCAAACTATACCACAAGGCTACAGTAACCAAAACAGTATGGTAATGGTACCAAAACAGGCATATAGACTTATGAAACAGAATAGAGAACTCCGAGATAAGACTACACACCTACAACCATCTGATCTTCAACAAACCTGACAAAAACAAGCAACGGGGAAATAATTCCCTATTTAATAAATGGTGCTTCCTATTTAATAAACAGTTCTCATAAGAGAACTAACTATATGTAGAAAATTGAAACTGGACTCCTCCCTTACTCCTTACACAAAAATTAACTCAGGATAGATTAAAGACTTTAATATAAAAAACCCAAAACTATAAAAACCCTAGAAGAAAATTTAGACAATATCATTCAGGACATAGGCATGGGCAAAGATTTTATACAAAAATGCCAAAGGCAATAACAACAAAAGCAAAAATTGGCAAATGGGATCTAATTAAACTAAAGAGCTTCTGCACAGCAAAAGAAACTGTCATCAGAGTGAACAGACATCCTACAGATTGGGAGAAAAGTTTTGCAATCTACCCATCTGAGAAAGGTCTAACATCCAGAGGATATAGGAACTTATTCTACAACAAACTTAAATAAATTTACAAGAAAAAACAAATAACCCCATTAAAAAGTGGGCAAAGGACATGAAGAGACACTTCTCACAAAAGACATACATGCAGCAAACAAACATGAAAAAAAGCTCAATATCACTGAGCATTGGAGAAATGCAAATCAAAACCACAAGGAGATACACCATCTCATGCTAGTCAGAATGGCAATTATTAAAAAGTCAAGAAACAGCAGAAGATGGCAAGGTTGCTGAGCAAAGGGAATGCTTTTACAATATTGGTGGGAAATTAGTTCAACAATTGTGGAAGACAGTGTGGTGATTCCTCAAAGATCTGGAAGCAGAAATATCATTTGACCCACAATCTCATTACTGAGTATATAGCCAAAGCAGTATAAATCATTCTATTATAATGCTACATGCATGCATATATTCATTGCAGCACTATTCACAATAGCAAAGACCAGGAATCAACCTAGGTGTCCACCAATGGTGAACTGGATAAAGAAAATGTGGTACCTATACACCATGGAATACTATGCAGCCATAAAACTGAATGAGGTCATGCCTTTTGCAGGGACATGGGTGCAGCTGGAAGCCATTATCCTCAGCAAAGTAACACAGGAACAGAAAACCAAACACCACTTGTTTTCATTTATAAGTGGGAGCTGAACGATGAGAATACATGAACACATGGTCGGGAACAACACACACTGGGACCTGTGGAGCAGGGCGGTGGGAGGGAGACAATCAGGAAGAATAGCTAACGGTTGGTGGGCTTAAAACCTAGGGGATGAGTTCGTCTGTGCAGCAAACAACAATGGCACACGTTTACCTATGTAACAAACCTGCACATCCTGCACATGTACCCCAGAACTTAAAATAAAGTTATTTTTTTAAAAAAAAAAAAAGAAACCACAGAGAGAGCAATAATAATCATGGACAAAGATGAAAAATTTGTCAGTGAAATATTTGAAAATCAAATCTGACAATATATGCAAATGACAATATGTCATGATCACACAAGATTTATACTTAGGAATGCAAAGCTGTTTTCACAATCAAATGTCAATGACTTCCATTTTCACAATGTTAAAACAAAGAGATAAAGCCTTTCATTCCTCTTGTTGGAGGTAGAAATAGCATTTGATGCAATTTAAAATCCATTAATGGTTAAAAAAATGCATAAAGCTAGAAGGAAAGGGAATACAGTTATCCTAATGAAGACATTCACTAAAAAACAAAAATAAAAATCCACAGCTAACATTACGCTTATTGGGGAGAACTTAATGCTTTCATATTAAAATTGGAAATAACAACATAGTGTCTGTTTTCATCATTCCTATTCAAAATCATACTTGATGATCTACACAGGCAAGAAAAAAGTAATGTTTTTGTAAAAAAAATAGAAAATTTTTTTAGGAAAATATAGAAATAATACTATTTCTATATACAAATCAAATGTCTACAAAAGCAATCTCAAAACATCTAAACAACAAAAGTTAATATGAATTTAGCCATCTCTCAAATATAAGGTCAATATATAAGAAATGATTATAATTTGATATAGTATTGATAAACAATAGTAATTAAAATTTAATAAAATTTCAGTTATAAAACTTGAAATGCTTAGGTTTAAACACAGCAAAACATGTAAAATATTCACATATTTAAAATTGCTAAACGTTAATGGGAGACATCAAAGAAATAAGTGGAGGACACATTGTGTTTGTGGATTAGTAGACTCAATATCCTCATGATGTCAGTTCTCCTTAAAGTGATCTGTCAATTCAATATAGTTCTAATCAAAATCCCAGAAGGATTTTTTTACTTTTTAAGAAATTGACAAAGTCATTAAAAAAATTTTATGGCCAGACAAAATAATTGCAAGAGCCACAAGAAATTTGAAACATAAAAAACAAGTTTGGAGCACTTGCCTTTCAATGCCTG
Organism: Homo sapiens; assembly: GCF_000001405.40. Lineage (NCBI taxonomy): Eukaryota > Metazoa > Chordata > Mammalia > Primates > Hominidae > Homo > Homo sapiens. The sequence continues at coordinate 191,243,643 of NC_000001.11, read as the reverse complement.
GCATCAAGCTTTAAATAAAGTCATAGTAATCAAGCAGTGGTTTTGGAAAGGAGACACATATATTAAAGGGTGGAGCAGAATAGAGCCCAAATATAGGCCATATTTGGTCAAAGAAACTATAGAATTTTTCTTTCAATTTTTAAGTTTAGAGGTACATGTGCAGGTTTTTTACATAGGTAAATGTGTGCCATGGTGATTTGCTGCACAGATCATCTCATCACCTAGGTACTAAGCCCAGTATCTCATCTCTTAACTATTTTCCTCTCCCTCCCATAACCAACCTCCTCCAACAGGCACCAGTGTGTATTGTTCCCCCCATGCGTCCATGTGTTCTCATCATTCAGCTCCCACTTATGAGAACATACATTGTTTGGTTTTCTGTTCCGGCATTAGAAACTACAGAATTTTCAACAAACTATGCTAGCGTAATTGGACATCAACGTGCAAAAAATAAGTTTCCATATCTACCAGCCACTATATATGATAATTAACTCCATATGAGCTCTAGACCTTAATATGAAACCAAAGACTATAAATCACAGTATAATAATCATGAAGAAAAATCTTTGCTGTCAGGGGAAGAAAAAAACATTTATAGGAAACCTCAGAAGCACAATATGTAAGAGAAGAAAATTATAAATTTAATTCATAATTTATCAAAATAAAAAATGTTTACTCTTTGAAATCCATTGCTACTATAATAAAAAGAAGCCAGAGAGTCAGACAATACATTTTCAAATTATATATTTGATAAAGGACTTATAACCAGAATATACCAAATACATACAAATATTAAACATTTAAATAATAATGACATTCCCTCAATATGTGTGACATGGGCTTATCAGTAGGGTAGCAGATACTAAGAAGCAGATATTATATCCTGAAAAAATGGTGGAACATACATATTATGTCATGGAAAACATTTGAGAAAACAATAAAACATTTGAGAAAACATTTTCTGCAATAATAGAAAACCATACCAAGTGCCTACTGAGTCTGCAGTCTCTAGAAGTCTTGAAAAGAGCCAATATATAGGCCGGGCGCGGTGGCTCATGCCTGTAATCCCAGCACTTTGGGAGGCTGAGGAGGGCGGATCACGATGTGAGGAAGGCGGATCACGAGGTCAGGAGATCGAGACCATCCTGGCTAACACGGTGAAACCCCGTCTCTACTAAAAATACAAAAAATTATCCGGGCTAGGTGGCAGGCGCCTGTAGTCCCAGCTACTCTGGAGGCTGAGGCAGGAGAATGGCGTGAACCCGGGAGGCGGAGCTTGCAGTGAGCCGAGATTGCGCCACTGCACTCCAGCCTAGGCGACAGAGCAAGACTCAATCTCAAAAAAAAAAAAAAAAAAAAAAAAAAAACATATATAATGTTACTGTGTGTTGGCTTTGTGTATTGCTTATAGGAATATACAGGTGGAAAGAAATATTTCATGTAAAATTAGGGGTATGAAAGAAAAGAGTAATGGTCTGGAAAGGTTGGAGAAGGTGACTATCTGGATTTCGAACGATAGGCTATAAAACTGACATAGGCTTTAAGTGGCAAAGAATGTTTTCCATTTCTCAGACACAGAAACTTTGTCCCGCAATATAGATTAAATTAAGTATGTTGCCTTCCCCAAAAGTCTTCTGTTTCAGATGCCTTAGAGAAAGTTCATATTCAGTTTATATAGAGAGGCAGAAGGGTGTATAAGAAAAGAAACAAAGCATATAAAAACTATGGATCCCAAAGAACTCTGGATGTTGTTACAAAAATAGAGGACTACCTAGAAGCAAATACATCAATGTTACTTAAGAAAATAGCATTGATTAAAAACACCATGAGCACACCTTAGAAATATTTTTAACTGTAAAAAAAGTATTTAAAAATATTAGTAATAAAATAACTTGCAAATATAAATATTTTATTTTTAAAACTATATTATATAAAACAAGGCTACTGAGAATGTCATTATATTACATTTAAAAGATCGTTTTTGAGATATGATTTGAAATAGAAAAACATGAAATTGTTTTAAAGTGGTTTGTCTTACTTGTATTGCGTTACCCAATCATTATCACATTTAAATTTTAAGGCATCTCATCACTCAAAAGAGAAACCCTGTACCAATTAGAAGTCATTCTTTATTCCCTCAGACCCTGGAAACTGATGATGCACTTTCTTTTTGAATATCTGTGTTTATTCTGAACATTTTATATATTGGAATCCTTCTTTCACTTATCACAATTTTTTCAAATTTTATTCATGTGGCATGTCTCAGTACTTCCTTTTTATTTCTGAGCAATATTCCATTTTATGGCTACATCCCATTTTATTTATTCATTCATGAACTGAGGAACATTTGATTTTTTTACACTATTATGCATAATGCTTCTAAAGACATTCACGTAGAAGTTTTTATGAGATTTTTTATTTTATTAGAGTGTGGACCTAGGAATAGAATTGTTTAGTCATATGGTAATTATGTTTACCTTTTGAAGAACTGCCAAACCGTTTTTTTGAAACAGCTGCATCAGTTTATACTCCTACCAGCAATGCATGAGAATTCCTATTTCTCCATATCTTCACCGACATCTGTTTTGTATTTTTGCTTATAGTCATCCTAGTGGGTATGAAATGGTATCTTGTGGTTTTCATTTGCATTTCCTTAATATATCATTGGAATAATTTCTATTTAAAGTTGATTTTTAACTGGGTTATCTTTCATTCTCCATTTGTAAGAATTATTTACATATTCCAGATATACATGTTTTATCAGATATAAGATTTGCAAATATTTTCTTTTATTTTTGAGTTTTTTTAACTTTTTAATGTCTTTTTAAGTACAAAATTTTCAAATTTTAATCTAGTCAATATTCCTTATCGTATTAGGGTTATCTTAGAGGGACAGAAATAATTGGAGTTTTATATATATATATATATATATATATGAGTTTATTAAGTGTTTATTAAGCATTAACACAGTCACAAGGTCCCACAATAGGCTGTCTGCAAGCTGAGGAGCAAGGAAAGCAAGTCCGAGTCCCAAAACTGAAGAACCTGGAGTCTGAGGTTGGAGGGCAGGAAGCATCCAGCATGGGAGAAAGATGTAGGCTGGGAGGCTGGGCCCATCTCTCCTTTTCACGTTTTTCTGCCTACTTTATATTCATTGGCAGCTGATTAGATTGTTCCCACCAGATTAAGAGTCAATCTGCCTTCCCCAGCCCACTGACTCAAATGTTGATCTCTTTTGGCAACACCCTCACAGACACACCCGGGATCAATACTTTGTATCCTTCAATCCAGTCAAGTTGACACTCAGTATTAACCATCACAAGTCCACCCCTTGTCAACTTCAACCCATACATATCTCCTGAGATCATACATAATCTTCAAATAAAGACAATAATAAGGTCATAATTATGCCTAATATAATACTACTATCCTTCATGTAACCAGAAACACACCAATCCCCAACACATACTACTACATAATATTAACATTATTTAAATACTGATATAAAGTCAACAGATCTCATGTTACATGATAAAGGAAAAAGGAAATAAAATGAAGATAACTTCTTAGTACAAGTGTATACATGCGCAAGCATGTTTTTAACAAAAGAAGGAGGAAATACTCATGACAATTACAGTCACCATTTCTGCAGCTGGTCATGTGGTCATAGCTGGTGTTGATAACTACCTTCTTCTACTACCCATTCTGTATTCCCTTTGCTTTCAGCAATCAGCTCAGCAGATCATGGTTTTTTTCCAGGTGGAGTGGCCAGAAACCTTCATTCCTGAAGGGTCTGGGCCTTTTGTAGTCCTGACTGGATTGGGCTATTGTAGTTTTCCATTGACTTTAATCTCAGGGCATGGTAAAACTAAGAGATGCCCTAATGGATCTCCTGTATTCCATGCATACCTTTCCTTACCTCCGTTGTGGAGCAGTAGACTGATTTCATCTTGAGAGTCCGGGTCAATCACTCCAGCCAACACTATAACTCCCTTCTTATCCTGTTGACTTAAAGGTGGGAGGAGCCCAAAGTGTCTGAGTGACAATCTCATCTTCCAGTTTAATGGAATCATTGTTGTGTCTCCTGGTGGCAGGCTTCCTCCCTCTGGAAATAAGACCTCTAGGCCACCAGAATGTAAGGTCGCAGGAACAGGAAGCAAAAATTTTGCTAGTGGATCTTTAGAGGTGATGGTGAGTGGTGCCACTTCCACTTCCACCCCTTGATTCCTGGAGTTGTGAATCCTGGCTAAGGGAGAAACAGTACCATATATTGGATGCTGATTCAGAGCATACACAGCCTTCTGGAGAACTTTGCCTCAGCCTTGCAAAGTATTGTCACCTAGTTGGCGTTGTAATTGTGACTTCAAAAGGCCATCCCATCATTCTTTCAATCCAGCTGCTCAGGATGATGGGGAACATGGTAAGACCAGTGAATTCCATAAGCACGAGGCCACTGCCACACTTCTTTAGCCATAAAGTGAGTGCCTTGGTCAGAGACAATGCTGTGTGGAATACCATGATGGTGGATAAGGCATTCTGTGAGTCCATAGATGGTAGTCTTGGTAGGAGCATGGCATGCAGGATAGGCAAACCCATATCCAGAGTAAGTGTCTGTTTCAGTGAGGACAAACCTCTGCCCTTTCCATGATAGAAGAGGTGCAATATAATAAACCTGCAACCAGGTGGCTGGCTGATAACCCCCAAGGAATGGTGCCGTATCGAGGGCTCAGTGTTGGTTTCTGCTGCTCACAAATTGGGCGCTCAGCAGTGTCCATAGCCAGGTCAGCCTTGGTGAGTGGAAGTCCATGTTGCTGAGCCAATGTGTAACCTCCATCCCTGCCACCATGGCTACTTTGTTCATGGGCCCACTGGGTGATGACAGGGGTGGCTGGGGAAAGAGGCTGAGTGCTGTCCACAGAACGGTTCCCCCTATCCACTTGATTACTAAAATCCTCCTCTGCTGAGGTCAGCCGTTAGTGAGCACTCACATGGGATACAAATATCTTCATGGTTTTTGATCACTCAGAGCGGTCCATCCACATACCTCTTGCCCAGATTTCTTTGTCACCAATTTTCCAATCATGCTTCTTCCAAGTCACTGACCATCCAGCCAAACCATTGGCTACAGCCCATGAATCAGTATATAATCGCACATCTGGCCATTTCTCCTTCCAAGCAAAGTGCACAAACAGGTGCACTGCTTGAGGTTCTGCCCACTGGGAAGATTTCTCTTCACCACTCAGGGATGTCCTAGAAAGGGGCTGCAGTACTACAGCTGTCCACTTTTGAGTGGTGACTCTATATTGTTCAGAATCATCTGTGAACCAGGCCCTAAGTCTTCTCTTCCTCTGTCAACTGATCATAAGGAATGCCCCATGAGCCCATTAGAAGAGAGGGCAGGGTGGCAGGAGTAAAGACCATGGGCATTTGAGCCACTTCCTCATGTAACTTACTTGTGCCTTCAGGACCTGCTCGAGCCTAATCACGTATATATCACTTTCATTTGATAATGGAATGATGCTGTGCTTGACCCATTTTATGGCTAGATGAGTCAGAAAGCATCCAGTTCATGATAGGCAGTTCAGATTGCATGGTGATTTGATGACCCATATTCAATGTTCATTTTCCACCAAAGGCCAGTAACAGGCCAAGAGCTGTCTCTCAAAAGGAGGGTAGTTGTCTTCAGAAGATGGCAGGGCCTTGCTCCAAAATCCTGGAGGTGTCCGCTGAGATTCACCTATGGGGGTCTGCCAAAGGCTGCAAACAGCATTTCTATCTGCCACTGATACCTCAAGGACCATTGGATCTACTGAGTCATATGGCCCAAGTGGCAGAGCAGTTTGCACTGCAGCCTGGAGTTATTGCAGAGCCTTCTCCTCTTCTGGACCCCACTTCAAACCGTCAGCCTTTTGGGTCACTTGATTAATGGGCCAGAGTAACACATCGAAATGCAGAATGTGTTGCTTCCAAAATCCAATGGGCCCACTAGGCGTTATACCTCTTTCTTGGCTGTAAAAGGGGCCAAATTCAGCAACTTATCTTTTACCTTAGAAGGCATATCTTGACAGGCCTGACACCACTGGACCCCTAGAAATTTTACAGAGGTAGAAAGTCCCTGAATTTTAGTCAGATTTATTTCCCATCCTCTGGCAAACAAATGTCTCACCAATAAGTCCAGTGTGTTTGCTAATTCTTGCTCACTGGATCCAATCAGCATGATGTCATCAATGTAATGGACCAGTGTGATATCTTGCAGAAGAGAAAAGTGATTAAGTTCTCTCTGAATAACATTAGAACACAAAACTGGAGAGTTGATATACCCCTGAGGTAGGACAGTAAAGGTATATTAATGGCCTTGCCAGTTGAATGCAAATTGTTTCTGGTGGGCCTTATGGACAGGAATGGAGAAAAAGACATTTGCCAAGTCAATGGCTGCATACAAGGTACCAGGAGATGTGTTAATTTGTGCAAGCAATAAAACTACAGCTGGTACAGCAGCTACCATTGGAGTCACCACTTGGGTAAGCTTACCGTAATCCATTGTCATTCAAGTCCTTGATGGTGGCTCTAATCTCCACCATCCCTCCAGAGATACAATATTATTTTTGATTTACTATTTTTCTAGGTAGAGGCAGCTCTAATGAATTCCATTTGGCCTTTCTCACCATAGTAGCCCTCACCCTACCATTCAGGTAGACCATCTGGGGTTCTGCCAGCTGCTCAGTATGTCAAGGCCAATTATTCATTCTGGCAATGGGGAAATTACCACAGGATGAGTCTGGGGACCCACTGGACCCACTGTAAGTCAGACGTGAGCTAAAATTGCATTAATTACCTGACGTTCATAAGCTCCTACTTTAACTGGAGGACCACAGCAGTGTTTTGGGTCCCCTGAAACCAAGGTCAGCTGAGAGCCAGTGTCAAGTAGTCTCCAAAATGTCTAATCATTTTCCTTTCCCCAGTGTACAGTTACCCTGGTAAAAGGCCAGATGTGTCCTTGTGGAAGGATGGGAAAAAGATTCATTGCATAAATTGTTGGTAATGTAGTAGGGTCCTTCCTTAAGGGGACATAGCCTCCCCATCATTCAAGGGGTTCTGGGTCTGTAAACTGGTTCAAGTCTGGAAATTGATTGAGGGGCCATGATTCTCTGTTTTTATAATTCAAATTAGTCTTTTGTCCATTTGACCTAGAAGTTTTCTATTTACATAAATTAAGTAGGAGTGTAGTAGGCTTCCTGTCGATTTCAATTCTAGGAACATCGTGATTAATTAGCCAATGTGAGAGTTCTACAAAAGTCAGACTGTTTTGATTGCTGCTTTGCCTCTGCTGTCCATTATGGTAGCTATGCTTACCTTGCCCTTGATGGTTGAGTGCTGCCACTCGGCCCTTGCCACCTTGGGATCCAATTATTCCCATTATATTTAAATTTTGTAGTTGAGTGAGTGTGGTTCCCACCGATAGATCTGACATACAGAGAAGAGCAATTACAAGCCTCTTCGAAGATGTAGGGGCTGCCCTCACAAATCTATTTTGCAAGGCATTGGACAAGGGTATATCTTCTGGACCTCCCAGGTGGGATGAGTAGGTCTAACGTGACTAATCCACCTCATCATTCCAATCTCCCTAAGCCTTTGGATCCATTCCTTTACATTAAGCCAAGGGAGATCAGGCATTTCCAGCTCACTCACAGTGGGCCATCTTTTAATCCATATTTCAGCTAACCAAGCAAATAAACTATTAGAACCATTTTTAACTCCCTAAGCTGCAACATTAAATGCAGAGTCCCTATTTAGTGGACCCAAATCAATAAATTCAGCGTGATCTAACTCTATATTCCTTCCACCATTATCTCGTACCCTTAATATTCATTCTTATGCCTGTTCTCCAGATTTCTGTTTATGTAATTTAAATAACTCAAACAGTTATTTTCAAGTGTAGTGCACCTCCTCACGGGTCACACTCTCAACCTCACCTCTAGGTGTCCACTGGTACTTAATCTAGTTATAGGTCTAGAAGCAAAGAGAGGTGTTGGGGGTGGTTTCTGAGAAGAATCAACATTATCTTGCTTGCCAACTGCCTCACGGGATGCCATCACTGTTGCCTCAGGCAGTACCGGGTTTCTTTCCTCAGACAAAGGTGGAAAGGCTGATGGCAGCATGGGTCAGGGAGGGAATGTTGCCACTACTGGGGTTGGGAAAGCTGTTCCTTCTCACCAAAAAGGTTCACCAAAAAGCTCAGTGTCCCCAGCTTCATCAGGTTCCTCCTACATGTCCCCATTGCAACTTGCAGGGTCCCATTCTTTTCCAATCAATGGCTGCAATTTAACAGTAGACACCTGGTGAGGCTGTGCATGCATCTTTCATTGCAGGTCAATCACTCTCACGTTAAGAGCTTGTGTCTGTTTTTCCATAGTTTCAGCTCTTTCTCTACAGGAGGTAAGACTGTCATTAAGGGCAATTGTAGCAGATCTGAGGCTCGGTATCTTCTTCTGCAGCCAGGAGACAGAATACCTGAGTGCATCATTTTCTTTCATCACTTTGTCCACTGAACTTGGAAGCAACCAACAAGCTTAATTATGTTCCTAAATTCTCCACATATGGTCAAAGATATTATGTAAAGAGTTACTAAACTCGTTGCCTCTCATGAGCGGTGAATTAGGAGTGTCAAATGCATTTATTTTGCGTAACTCTCTAAACAGTTTCCATCAAGGACTACCAGTGTTCTCCATACTGTTAGAAGTAGAGTCCTTAGCATTTTTTGAGTCTAATCATATTAAGCCACCAACTTCAGAAACTCTAAAACCAATGAAAAAAACTCCATCCTTAATATTCTGTAATATTCTGTTCCTCTAGAACCACTATCTGTACCAGTACCAAAATCTGTATTAGTCAGTATTATCTTAGTGGGACAGAGCTTATATATATATATATTATATATATATATAATATATATATATAATATATATATATATATTATATATATATATAATATATATATAATATATATATATATATAAGTTATCCAGTCAGGATTACCTTAGTGGAACAGAACTATGTGTGTGTGTGTGTGTGTGTGTACATATATATATCTATATGTACATATAGATATATATATATAAAGGGGAGTTTATTAAGTATTAACTTACATGATTGCAAGGTCCCACAACAAGCTGTCTGCAAGCTGAGGAGCAGGGAGAGCCAGTCCAATTCTCAAAACTGAAGAATTTGGAGTCTGATATTCGAGGGTGGGAAGCATCCAGCACAGGAGAAAGATATAGGCTGGGAGGCTAGGCCAGTATTTCCTTTTCATGTTTTTCTGTCTGCTTTATATTCACTGGCACTGGTTAGATTGTGCCTACATGATTAAGACTGGATCTGCCTTCCCCAGCCCAGTAACCCAAATATTAGTCTCTTTTGGCAACACCCTCACAGACACACCCAGGATCAATAATTTTTTTTCCTTCAGTCCAATCAAGTTGACACTCAGTATTAATATTCTCACTTATTTTTATATCTCTTTGTTACTTGGACTTTTGGCTTTATATCTAAGAAAGATAAGGTAGTGAGCATAAAGCAGGGAAGATGAACTCCTGGGTTTCTAAAACAGTTTTATAGTCTCAGATCTTATATTTAGGTGAATGATTCAGTCTGAGTTAATTTTGTACATCGTGTGAGTCAGGGAGTTCAAATTTATTCTTTGCATGTGTATATCTAGTTGATGCAGCATCATTTTTTGAAAATATTATTTTCTTATTAAATTATCTTGACACCCTTGTTGAAAACCAATAGATAATAAATCTAAGGATTTGATTTTTGACTGTCATTTTATTCCATTGATCTACCTTTTTTATTCTTGGTGGAAGATTGTTTTGACTATTCTGGCAATTTGAATTTTCATAAATAATTTTGTATCAGCTGTTAATTTCTGCAAAAATGCAGTAGAGATTTTGACATAGATTATGTATAATCTGTAGATCAATTTGAAAATTATTGCTAACCTAACAATAACTAGACTTTCAATTCATTAACTGAGATCTTTTTACTCAATTATTTCTCCTACTTCTGGCAAATTTTTTGTAGTTTACAGTGTGCACATCTTACATTTCTTCTTTAAAATGCATTCCTAAGCATTTTATTGTTTTTGCTGTTATTACAAATAAGTTATTTTGTTAATTTCATTTTAAAACTATTCATTGCTTATGTATAGAAATAAATTTTATTTTTATATTGATTTTGTATCTTGTATGACTCATTTCTTAGTTGTCAGTATTTTACTATTTTCTTTGAGATTTTTCTACCAACAAAATCATGACAACTGCAAAGAGAAATAATTTTATTTCTTCCTTTACAAACTGGATGACTTTTCCTTTCTAACCTAGCTTTACTACCTAGAACTGCCATTAAAATATTCAATATAAGCAGCAGGAATGAACATTCTTGTCTCATATCTTATCATAATATAAGAGCATTAAGCTTTTCTTTCACTAATTATGATTTCAGCTGTGAGCTTTTCATAGATGCTGTATACAGATTTTTAAAGTTATCTTCTATTCACATTTGCTTGAGGGTATTTTTAAATCATGAAAGTGTATTTGATTTTGTTAAATTTTTTGCTGTGTCTATTGAGGTGATCTTATTTTTATTTTATTAATGTGTTATATTACAATGATTGATTTTTAAATATTGCACTAGTCTTGTATTTCTGGAATACACCCCACTTATTCATATTTACACAATATAAAGCAATCAACAGAGATAAGCAATTATTGCTGTATGCAGTTTTCTTATAAATAAAATAGAAGAAAAGTGTTACAAACATACTTTTATACTGTTTTCTACATTTCTCTGTGAAGTTATCTTTATTTAGGTATTCGTTTTTTAAATGTAAATTTGTGTCTTTGTCTAGTTCTCTTTAATTTTAGCCTGAAGGACTCTCTTAGTATTTTTTATAGGGATGGTCTACTAGCAAAAAATTCCATGAGTTTTTATTTATCTTCGAATGCCTTACTTTTTTATCATTTATTTAAAGAAGTGTTTTGCTGAATTTTTAATTCCAGGTTGCAAATATGTTTCAACAATTCAAGATCTCATTTTCCTGTCTCTTGGTTTCCATGATTTCTGAAGAGAAGTCAAATGTTAATCTTACTGAGAATTCCATCTATGGGACAAAACTTTTTGTCTTGCTGCTTTCAATTTTTCTTTGTCTTTGACTTTTGTCTGCTTGACTGTTATGTCGCCTAAGTGTGGATCTTTTTGCACTATATTTTTTCTTCCTGGGTTACTCAACATCTTGGAAAAATAGAAAAATATTTTTCATTCATTAAATCATTTTCTGCCCTCTTCTCTTCCCTCTCTCATTCTCTAAACTCCCTTTGTTGGTATCCTTGATGGTTTAATAGATTCACTGAGGCTCTTTTTATTTTACTTCTTTTATTTTTCATTCTAATAATTAAAATAGATAATTTCTATTGACCTATCTTAAAGTTCACTGATTTTTATTTCAGATCAAATCTATTTGTTAGCTTTTGTAGTATTTTTATTATTTATTTATTTATGTATTTATTTTGAGAGGAGTCTCGCTCTGTTGCCCAGGCTGGAGTGCATTGGCACAATTTCGGCTCACTGCAAGCTCTTCCTCCCAGGTTCTAGCAATTCTCCTGCCTCCACCTCCCAAGTAGCTGGGACTACAGGCATGCACCACCACACCCGGCTAATTTTTGTATTTTTAGTAGAGATGGGGTTTCACCATATTGACCAAGCTTGTCTCGAACTCCTGACCTCGTGATATGCCTGCCTTGTCCTCCCAAAGTGCTGGGATTATAGGCATGAGACCACGCCCTGCCTCTAGTAATTTTTGAAAATATGTAGTTACTTTACCTGTTGACCTCTGAATGAACTTTCATTTGGTTTGTTTATTGGTATATATTTGGTGAGACATAATTGTCATTCCTCCTTTAATTTGTTTATCTATAGTTTCTTTTAGTTATTTAAATATGTTTGTAAATCTGATTTACAATTTGTTGCCTTTTAAGTCTAATATCTATTCCTACTTAGGGACATTTTGTGTTGGCTGATTTTTTTCTCAACTTGTTATATATATTCTATTATTTTGCATTTCTCGTAATATTTTTGGTTGAAAAATGAACTTTAGAGAATTTATTTTAACAACTCTGGAATCAGATTCCTCTGGCTTGCAGAGAGGTTCTGTGGTTTTGCTAAATTTTTTTTTTGTTGCTGTTGTTTTTCTCCTTTCTATTTATTTGTTTTTGACCTTCCTGGATTCTTTAGATTCTGTATTTCTTGCAGTCCTTAGTCATTGACTTCACAGATAGCTTTTTCTTTTTCTTCTTCTTATTTTCATTTTTAATTTTGGCTTATTTAGATTAATCTCTAGGTCCTGACAATTTGGTGGTTAGCCTACGTTCATGCAGAATATTTTCTTACATACCGTACCTGTGTGTCTTCTTTCATGGACAAGTAGATTAATGTGTGAAGGCACACCTTCAACCTTCAGATTGTTTACAAGACACTCTTATTTTTGTCTTCTTGCTTTTCAGGATCTCAAGGAAAGCAAGGAGTGCACAACTGTTTCCTTCTCATTTTCCCTGTCTTTTTTTTTTTTTTTTTTTTTTTTTTTTGAGACAGAGTCTCACTATGTCACCCAGGATGGAGTGCAGCAGGACCATGTTGGCTCACTGCAACCTCCATCTCCTGGATTCAAGCAATTCTCCTGCCTCAGCCTCCTGAGTACCTGTGATTACAGGCACCCACTACCATGCCTGGCTAATTTTTTTATATTTTTAGTAGAGACAGGGTTTCACTGTGTTGGCCAGGCTGGTCTTGAACTCCTGACCTCAGGTGATCCACCCACCTTAACCTCCCAAAGTGCTGGGATTATAGGCTTGAGCCACCGTGCCCGGCTTTTCCCTGTCTTATTGGGCATGTACACAGGTAAGTGTATATACACAGCCTTCTAGATCTTCAGGAACATATTGAAGAGTTTCAAAATTTTCTATCACCATCTAATTTTCTACATATTTATTTTAATTTTTCTCCAGGATCTTGTGGGCCTCATCTTAAATCATAGACTTAGACAGCTGCAATATTGTCAGCATATATCTATAGACATTGGTAATATCTTAGGGATGGGGATTTTTTTCTTGAGCTGAACTCTGAGTAAAAAATAGCTGTAATACCCTCGCACAGCTGTGAGCTTTTCACAGTTACCATGCCAGGAAGCTGAAGAGGGATGCAAGACAAGAATAGGCCCAATTTAAAACACCACCAACAGCTGTCTTACCGAGGTTTAGTAGTTTCTTGTTAAAAGATAGTTTTCAATTGTTTTGTAGTTTTGTTTAATTTCCAGTTTAATTTTAGCTGTTTTTCCTTTTTTTTTTTTTTTTTTTTTGTTTGTTGTTGTTGTTTTCATGGAACACCAAGTTTATCAAAGTTCTCATTCTGCCATTCCAGGAGTTAGTCATTAGAAAGATTTTGACTCTCAAAGTTTTCAAATACTTTTTGCTCTTCATAATTGGATCATTGGAAAATGATTGAGAAAGCTTCACAGCTCCCCAAAATGGTATCTTTCCTAGAGACTGGTAATGGATTCCTCTTAAAGGGCAGTTTGAGAGCTAATAGAAAACTTGCTTCTCTGCCAAGTTAGTGTCTTCATTTTTCCTGCCCAGTAGGTTTGCGTCTTTGCCGTCAACTAATTATTACTGTGTGCCTTTATTCTTCTGTTATTTAGTCTGGGTGCTAATTGTGTTTTTTTTTTAGTCACTATTCTGAAAAATAATGGCTTGGATAAAGGTAGGGCAGTTTGCTTGTCTTTTGGTTTACAGACTAGCAAAACATAGAGAAACAAATCTATACCTGATAGAGAGACACAAGTATAGCTATGCACCACATAACAACATTTCATTTAATAATGAATGGCATATACAATTCTGGGCATATAAGATTATTAATGGAGCTAAAACATTTCTATCACCTATTGATGTCATAGCCAACATAATGTCATAGCACAAAGCATTGCTAATGTGTTTGTGGTGATGCTATTGGAAACAAACCTACTGCACTGCCAGTAGTCTAAAATTATAGCACATACAATTATGTACAGTACATAATACTTGACAAAAAATAAACCATTATTATTATTCTGTTCATGTATATACTATACTATGTATTTATTTATTTACTACACTATTTATATGATTATTTTGGAGTATACTATTTCTCCTTCTACTTATATTTATAAAAAAGTTAAAAGCTGTAAAACAGCCTCAGACAGGTTCTACGGTAGTATTCCAGAAGACGGCATTGTTACAGGAGATGACAGCTCCATATGTGTTACTGTCCCTGATGGCCTTTCAGTCGGACAAGATGTAGACGCATAAGGCAATAACATTGATGATCCTGATCCTGTGTAGGCCTAGACTAATATGTGTGTTTGTATTTTAGTTTTAAACAAAAAAGTTTACAAAATAAAAATAAAAAATTAAACACAGAAACAGCTTATAAGAATATAAAAAAAGAAAATATTTTGTACGACTGTACAATGTGTGTGTGTTTTAAGCTAATGTTATTGCAAAAGAGTCGAAGAATTTAAACATTTATGAATAAAAAAGGTATAGGAAGCTAAGATCAATTTATTATTGAAGAAAAACGTGTTTGACAAATTTAGTGTACCCTAAGTATACAGTGTTTATATAGTCTACAGTAGTGGACAGTAATGTCTGAGGCCTTCACATTCGCTCATCACTCACTCACTGGCTCACTCAGAGCAACTTCCAGTCTTTCAAGCTCCATTCATGATATATGCCCTCTACAGGTATATTATTAAAAAATATTTTATATTTTCCTGTCACTTTTGTATGTTTAGATATGTTTACATACACAAATATTTAGTATTGTGTCACAATTGCCTACAGTATTCAGTACAGTAACATGTTATACCAGCTCCTAGCCTAGGAGCAATCAGTTATACCATACAGCTTAGATGTGTAGTAGCCTATACAATCTAGGTTTGTGTAAGTATACTCTATGATGTCATATGATGATAAAATCACTTAACAATGCATTTCTTAGAATGTATCTCTGTCATTAAGTGAGACATGATTTTATATATATAATTCAGAGATAATGAATGTTGAGACATAAAAAAGATTTTACTTTAGGCCAACTCTCCTGAAAAAGTGGTAGGTGTATATGATCTCCGCATAAAGTGAAAAATATGGTTTCTGCTGACCAGAGGTTAGACTGTGGCAAAGACTGCTTTTGCTCAAAATCTATTATCCCTTCCGAAATGTATAGAGCTGTCTGGTAAGTAACTTCTCAGCTAAATCAGTTTCCCCTATGCTGAACTCTCTATCCTCTTATAATTGGTGTGGCCATGTTACTTGTTATTACCAGCAGAATGGAAGCAGACATTATATGTATTTCTTCCAGGCCAAGAGGTTATGTTTTTTTAAAATTCCATCTTCTTCATTCTCTTTCCTACATGTTTTAAGAGGTTTCTGGGATCCTAGGTATGGTGATGATACAAAAATGGAAGAAACCTGGGTATTTGAATCACTGTGTGGAAAGGACATGTTCATTAACATAAGCACCCATTTGGACTGTCTTAAGAGTGAGACAAACTTCTATGTGTTTGAACTACTACCTTTTGTGGCATATCTGTTTCAGAAATAAAGCTCCAACAATTAAACCTTTCTTTACTATACCTGACAAAACATATGAGTAAATTAAAAGATGACTTTCTAAATGGATGATAAATCAATGTTTTACAATATCCTCCCACTTCTGCATATTTATAGACCTACCAAACCTATATATGTATATATTGAAAACCTGTTTTTATATATTCTATAGTCATATTTCTATACCTCAGTGTTATATAGAGTAATAGCAAGAAATATTAGCATGACCACAATAAAGACACATTTTTCCCCTAATAGTCATATAAAGACATAGATTCACTAAATAATATTGGAATTATCCAAATTATTTGTGATGATCTTGCTACCTAAATTGCATAACCTACAAACACATGTATGACCATGCATGTACACACACATATATAGACTAATAAAATAAGTGAATTGTTTTTAATATGTGTCTGTTGTAAACATGATATGTCAAGTCAAATTTAAACGATATCATCAGCAACTGAGGTCATATCTATATGACAGTAGACAATTAGATGAATTCTGATTTTGTTTTGATTTGATTGATAGTTATGACATATTTCACCGCAAAATTTATATGTAAAATTCTTCAAAATAAATATCAATTTTCTTTTCTCAAGTGTTATATAGGTAGTGAAGAGGACGTGTTTATGGTTGTAAAAATGAAAATGTATTGAAAATTGTGTAGCTAAAATGGATAAGCTTATACTTTTAGTTGTCTATTGTTTAACTAAAGAATGTTCTTCATCTTGGCATAATCAGGAAAATTCTCAGCAGCCTCAGTGTTCAGTAAATAAAACTTATCTGATTCTATACATGCATATAGAGCTTTCCATTCATGCACAGTCAATATTTTGAAAAAGTAGAAGAAAAAAAGATAAAATAACATTTTTATATTTATCAAGTATTTAAATAAAAAAACTGAATTGTTATTATTTAGTGTATCCTCTCAAAATTGCTGATTATGATCACATACTTTTATCAATATTATAACTTCAAGTTTCATCTTTAAGTTATAGTATTTTATTTTTTATATTATATATATATTTTTCTATGTATAGTTCTTCATTTTATTTATTGTATAAAGGAAAATTAGAAAAACCATTTGTTATTAAGTGTTTTAATATTAAAAGACTAGCTGCTTCTTGTTACCACAGAAATCAGTTTTTATTTGCTATTTTTGGATTTCTTATATCATTCTATATACATGATTCAACTTAACACCTTGTAAAATGTCAGGCTATCTTAGGGTGTTGAATGGGTTTACCATAAAGTAGGCAAGTGTTTATCAATTCATTTCCAATCTTCACCATATCAGTGAAATTACTGTACTTTGGTCAAGGTAACCTATCATGTCCATTTTTCGCATTCACTGGACATATTAGGTTATCTCACTCAACTCATTATCACCTTTAAAAAAAGTTCACATCTTCCTTATTGAAACAGTCTCTTCATTCAGCAGCTAAAATTGTAAACTCTCCTGTAGGTGCCAGAAGCTTCCAAGTTTTCCAGGGCTCTTTAACTTTTTTTTGTTGTTGTTTGTTTGTTTTTTTCCGGGACTATGGTCTTCTTATGTACCTCTTCCTCAAAGACAGTTTGTGCCTTACAGCTCTTTCAGATGTAATCTGCTGTTATCATTCTGAGCCCTCTTGGCGTGGTGATAAGGTGTCAGAAAAGAGGAATGTTCTGTAATCTTCTGATTAAATCTCGTTTTTTGTGGGTTCTATCTTGGGATTGTGACTTTGATGTGTTTATTCAATTGCATAGCTTTCTTGCTTCTGCCCCCGTTTAGTTCCCTGGCTACATCCTTTCCAGCCAGTCTACCTCCTTAAATCCCTGAGCCCCGTAAACCATTCACTCAGGTGAGAAGGGAAGGCAAGAGATAGCTGAAGGGAGAAGAAATTTCCTTTCCGGGCAGGAATAAGGTTTCAGAACTGGGCAAAGTCCTTATACCTGGAATAATATAGAAGGTTCTGAGTGAATTTCACAAAGATTTATCTTCCTCTTCTTCTGCCATAATCACAAGTGATCTTTTGAATCCTCACCAAAAAATCCTGGTGTGGAAGTGTGAAGGCTCCCTTGGGCCTGGGACCTTCAGCAGATTCTCACTGCCATACTAGTCCACGTTCGGCCTGCAGTAATTCATCAATATTGCTGTTTAAGTGCCCTTCTATGGCTCCAGTGCGCACTACTCCGTGTAAGCAGATCGTGGTTATTTTATCTCTCTCGATATACCTTTCTCTCTGCGCATTGAGATGGCAGTTCCCCTGCAACTTCAGTTCTCAGGTGGATCCAAGAAATGCCATTTGTTTTGACGTTTGTTCAGCTTCCTCTGTTCTGTAAGAATGAGAGTGAACTCTTTTAAGCGCTTCATCTGTTGCATCTAAAACCAATGGTCAGTTCTGGCTTTTTCATAGTTTGTAGAGCACATCAATGTCTCCAGCTGAGTTTTTCCCCTTATGCTTTACTCTTGTCTCTTTCAACAAATGACTTAGTCTCATCTTCTAGGTATCAGCCTTAAATGTCACTACAATACTGAGGTCCCCTTGTCATTCTCTTTAAAATAGCTTCTTCACCCTCATCTTTATCAGTGACAGCATCCTTTATAAAACTTGTCAAAATCTCAAATGATTTTCTAAGTTATTTTATCTTATAAAATTAAAATTGTTGAGGAAAAGAAATATGCCTACATCTTACTCATCCTTGTGTTTTTAATGTCTAGTAAAATTTATTACTGAATATTTTACTAATAAAATTTTATTATCAATGAAAACATTTAATATAATATAAAACATTATTTTTAAAATATGAGATCAGTTTATTCATTCAGATATCTTTTATATGTTTTTTCCATTGAAATTATATATTTTTTCATCATTATGTTCAGAAAACTTTGATGAAATACTTCAAATTAACTTACAATCAACTTAATTTTTGTCTGCAAAATAAATATTAATATCTACTGTATGGGTTATGTAGTCTTATTTACTGACATGACTTATTTCCTGACTCTCACTTTAATTTTCACCAAATTAGAGCAGTATGTTACTATTTTTTTAATTCTACACAATGTAACTTGAATAAGCAATTGTCTGAGATTTGGGATTTGCCTGAATATAAGCTCAAGCTGACATTAAATGACTTCACATCATATCATATAAAATAAACATTTTTATAAAATGATCCCTTCATTATAAAGTATGAGGTAATAGTATGGAGTAGAGTTCCCAGCCAACTCACAATGTCATGTCAACTGTGCAATAAATGAATTTAGGTTGTTTTAAGCTACTGAATTTGCTTGGTTTAGCAGCATAATCTAGATTTGTTAAGTTGATAGAATAGGAATTCAAATGAAAACTCATAATTAATCTTACATTTCATATTTATGAAATGCCAGCTAACCAATTATTTAAAAATCTTTATGAATTTTGCTTGGTTGGTTGTTTTATCAGAAACCATGCTATAATCTTAAAATCATTTTATGTGTTTGAGTAACAGTGCTATAAATAATACATAATCTTATTCGAGAAGGTCTCCTGATTTAGGATTGGAATTAACATATGTTTAGGATTTACAGCAATTTCACAGGGGACTCATGGAATGTTGAAAACATATACTCCTAAATGATGTTAACTATATTACCTCCTATATATATTCTTTCCCAACCATTACACATATTTACTTTATTTTTTTTATTTTAATGAAATTCACCAGGGAGGAGTGAGCAGCTAAGTAATCTATCCCTTCTCAGGCATAAAAATTATCAGAATTCTTCTTGAGGATACAATGATGAGGGCTTTCATTTCAAATGGGTGGTGATTGTCAGTCTTATTAACAATAATCATGGAAAGTAAAATGTCCCAAATTTATATTGACTTTTACATACACATACACGCACGCACAGACACATAAAAACGTTTGATAAAAAAAAAAAAGAGTGTAAAATGATTTTACTTAGAAGCTCTTTGGTTTATTTCCATCATACCTGAAGTTTCAGATGGAAATGCAAAAATTGAATGACTTGGGATCTTTGATTTGCTTGATATTAACTCAATGAATGTTGCCAAATGTTCTTGAGTAAATTGTGTTTTCCATGTAATGGCCTAATAATTAAATTCTTTTTACCCTAGTATTTAACATGCATTACATTGTCTTAATATATATGCTTATTTCTATGCCTTGGTATTCTCACTGAATTACTGCAGCTATTCCTTTTTTCCTTTCTCTCTTTCTGCCTATTTGTTTCCCTCTCTTCTTTCCTTCCCTCCTTATTTCTTTATCTGTCTTCTTATAATATTATCATTTTGTGTATTTTTTTCTTTTAAACTGATTCTCTTCTTGTATACTCTGTTGAATTAAAATAATCCTAGTGGTGAAAATGTTCTATTATCATGTTAAGGTCAGTAGCATTAGGTTTATACCAATTCTCTAAACAATGTATTTGTAATAGACTAGAAATAGAATACAGGTTTTATACAGATTGGAAATTGTGTGCAAAATTAATAGCTATGAGACAGGAATATGACTTCAGACATACTAGAGCACTATTGTTAAATGAGGCTGAAAATGGATGTATATTATGTGTGTCTTGAGTAAAACTCCAATTATGAATCTATGTATGTGGCTAAGGGTCATCTTCATATTCTGAGTCACTTTTGAATATTTTTTAGTGGTACCAGTAACTGCTTTTAGGACAGTACTAAAATAATGTTTTAGTTTTAAATGGATTTACAACAGTGCTTATATGGAGGGATTTTTAATTTTCTGTTTTAGGTCATTAAATTATTGATATTTTCCTGAGATAACTTTATTTTTATAGTATACATCTCTCCTTCTCTCTCATTCTCTCTCTGTGTGTGTGTGTTTGAGTGTGTGTTTGTATCCAGAAGTCTAGTCTACATTATGATGAAAATCAGAATCAAATTATATGTCAATTAATGTGGGTCCTATTGTAGCAGGCCAGGTCTCACTAATGCAGGCCTCCATAACAACTGTTCCAGTATTGACTTAGTGGTTAAGTTAAATATTAAAAGTCACTGCCCTTATTCAAAGGCTAGAATGTAATAAAAGCCCACCAAGGGTTTTGCCTAGGTCTTTCCTGGGCCTTAAAGCATGACAAAATAACGAAGAAATTCTTAACAGGGCCAATTTAGAATTAAACATGTTTTATTGCAGGTTTGAAGAAACTCCCCAGGCTTCCACAAACAAGTTTATTAGGGGTCTGAAGGAACTCCCCAAACCTCCATGATTTAGCAGGAGACAAGATAAGGTTAATCACCCAGCACCTGGACCCATTTAGATTAAGTAAATTTACAGAGGCTCCAGAGGAAGGTCTTCAAGACTCAGACCTTAGTTATAGATTAAAAGAAGTTAATCACTTATGTCTTTAGATGAATGCACACTTACATGTAGACGTATCGCTTAGAAGGTATATTGCCTCTGGAAAACTTTGTAATTTTGAATTGGCATGGTGATAATTTCCAGGCCCTTTCCCTGTAACCAGTTGCAGAAATACACACTCGCTTCCTCCTTAGTTCATGTGTATCTCGTTATTGGCCCATGAGAAATAGAAGCCCAACCCTCAGTTTTGTTTGGGAACACTATGGTACTTAGAAAACAGTCTCTCTGTAATAGCCTATAGATGATAGGCAATCAAATACTATAATCATGATTAATTGCTAGCCATCTAGCAAAGAAAGCCCCAGATGCATTTAAATACAGATTTCAGCTCGGCATGATATACAAATTGAAAGCTCTCTTCTTTTTTATTAGTGTATTTATTAAAATAACTTACTATGCCTGTCTAAAAGCATTAAGTACCTTCAACGGTACAAAAACAAGTTATAATCACATTAACAGAACATTTATGTATTTCAAGATCTTTCTCTTTCTAAATGAACTCTGCTATTTGTCCGTTCTGTTAAGGAATACAGTACTATAAAGAGAAGCTTATTTTAAAAAATAGGGAAAAAATTCTTAATTATTCGTTTCTTTGAACCTTAAACCAAAATAGAAAAATTTTCCTTCTCAATAAAAGGACCACTGAATGGAACCATTTCCATCATAAAAGTAATGGAATTTCCCCTCATTACTCATCCACCACCATATCAGACCCTCTAAGAATTGTGTATAAGGCCACTTAATATGAAAATTTTTAATTCTTTGTTTAGACATAGAGAAAGGGAGAGACTATCTCTCACATCACTAGAATGATTATCCACATAAAGAGAATGAAGACTTCTACAATGATGGTGGAGACAAATGAAAATTGGTAAAAAAAAAATCTTTATATGTATATTCTAGATACTATGTAGGCATAGAAATAAATATACCAAAGAGACTTTGAAAAATCTCTCTTGCAGGTCCAAATGCTTCTTAGCCACTTGCCACGTGATAATCCAAATTTTTCTCAAAAAGTTGGCCTAATAATAAAATACTAATGTTTCTATAGCATGGTACTGCAAGGACTGGCCTTTGCCCTCTTATAGTATAGTTTTATAAGTTACAATGAGGGGAGAAAACAAACATAAAACTTTTCATAAAATTTTGTCAGCAACCAGAGGAACACCAACCATGAGCATCAGATGAGAAAGGAAGATTGTAACTCAATAAATAACTCATCATTCTTTGTTATCTTTATTATAGGAGTTCATGTTGCCTTTTCCTGGAGAACAAGTAAATCAAGTAAATGGGAGGGGAAAGAGTAAGGACAGAACTGGGACTCATTTCTCTCTTACTAAGGGGATGTCCCATGGAAAGAACACCTCTTACCAGCCTCCTAATAAACGTTCTGATGGTACTTACTGATTGATTTAATGGAGTCCCTATCTAAGAAATGCCTTTTAAGTGTCAAAGTCTGAGATACTTATTTAGACTGAAGGAAACTTAGGACAATTAAATGTGAAGCATATATCTGAAATGGATTATTTTGCTATTATAGACATTATTATGATATTTGTCAATATTTGAACAACAGATCTAATCAGGATTAGATGAAATAATTTTCTTTTTATTTCAGATTTTAAAAGAATATTAAAATTTATTTTTATCAAGTTATAATGGATGTGCCTCAATTAATTATTATAAATAAAATTTGAATTTATGGACTTACAGAGAATAGAATGGCTGGTAGCAAAGGGGAAGCTAATTACATCAGCATTTTTTCCTACATACCCAAGAATATAAAACTATAGAGCAATCAACCTGAGACAGATTCCCTTAAGAAACAGTTTCCCTTAAGAACAGTAATTCTGCACATATTATTCAAAAATTTCCTATTAATTAAAAACACGAGTAGAGCTAAAGAAAGGGGACATTTAGAAGCTGTACCTCACAGATTCAAGTTTTTCCACAAGTAATACTCTATCTGTGCCTAACTTTTGCCTTTATCTTTTAATCATTAATAAACTTGGTATTTGGTGAGATAAATAGATAGACATAGTGGCCTCTAACAGTTAGGAGTTAATCATTTTATTTTGTTCCCATATCAGAGATGTACATGTTTTTATTAATGGTGATGTGAAGAGAAATTTATGAGAAAGAAAACTAACATTAGTTAAGACATATAGAAGACTTTTCATATAATTTAGCTCTTTTACTTTTTGTTATAACTTATCTATCCCCTTCTAATAGGTGGAGAGAGACTCCAAGATATTTACTAACATTATCAAGACTGTTTTAAAGTCACAAATCTATGAATTGAGCATCTGTATTTGTTTTAGTTTCCAAACTTATGTTATTGACATGTCACTACATTTTTTGGAAGAGTAAGTCCCAAGAGGAGTCTTGAATAGCATTATTTTTTCATTCTCACATTTACACAAGCTCTTGCTCTTTTCTTGGTCTTGCAAATGCTCTTTCTTTCCTTTATTATTATATTGGTTGTTTAATGCTGACTTTAATAAAGTAATCCTTTGAGTGAACACATTTACACAAGCTCTTGCTCTTTTCTTGGTCTTGCAAATGCTCTTTCATTCTTTTCTTTATTATTATATTGGTTGTTTAATGTTGACTTTAATAAAGTAATCCTTTGAGTGAATAAATAAAAATAACTTTTGATGTAGTATACAAGATTATGTCCAGATTATAACTAGGTGGTCCTATAATATTTTTTTTTTATTTAGCCAAGCCACATCTTTAAAATTTAAAATGAGGAAATGACATTGTGTTGACAATTTGTATTTAAATTAAGTATGGGAGAATAAAATCTAAATACCGTCAAAATCCTTACACTTTTATATTTATACTAATGTTCTTCATAGAAACAAAGCCAAGAGTTATCCAGCAGGGCATTCAATAATCAGCATTAGCAGTATCTGATCTTTCTTTCACAGTCTTATAAAAGACACTAAGTAATTAACCTACAGCTTTGGGTGTAGAAGGAAGTGTGTGTGTGTGTGTGTGTGTGTGTGTGTGGTGTATGTGTGTGTTTGTGATTTATTTTTTTTTTTATTATGGGAATTGTCTCACATGATTACAGAGCCCAAGAAGTCCCATGATCTTCTGTGTGCAAGATGAAGAACCAGGAAAGTGGTATAATTTACTCTGAGTCTGCATGCCTTACAACAGGAGTGCTGATGTCCAAGAGTAGGAGAAGATAGATGACCCAATTCAGAGAGAGCGAATTTACCCTTCCTCTTTTTGTTCTATTCATGTTCTTTGCAGATTGAATGATGCCCATGCATGTTAGTGAGGTAAATTTTTTGCCCTCAGTCTACTGACTCAAATGCTAACCTCTTCCACAAACACCCTTACAGAGAGAAATAATGTTTTACCAGCTATCTGGACATCTGATATGGTTTGACTCTGTGTCCCCACCCAAATCTCATGTTGAATTATAGTTCCCACCTGCTGAAGAAGAGTCCTGGTGGGAGGTGATTGGATCATAGGGAGAGGATTTCCTCCATGCTGTTCTCATGATAGTGAGTGACATCCCAAAAGATCTGACAGTTTAAAAGTGTGGCACCTCATCAAGCCTGGGCAACATAGTGAAACCACATCTGTACTAAGGATACAAAAATTAGCTGGACTTGGTGGCACATGCCTTTAATCTCAGATACTCAGGAGGCTTAGGTGGGAGAATCACCTGAGACTAGGAAGTCAAAGCTGCAGTGAGTTGAGATCGCACCACTGCACTTCAGCCTGGGTGAAGAGAGTCAGGCCCTGTCTCAAAAAAAAAAAAAAATTGTGGCACTCCCCAGCTCCTTTCTCTCTGTGTCTCTCCTGCTCCACTGTGGTGGTATGACAGGCTTCCTTCCTCTTCACCTTTTGCCTTGACTATAAGTTCCTAAGCCCTTCCGGTCATGCTTCCTGTTAAGTCTGTGGAAGAGTAAGTCAAATCTCTTTTCTTCATAAATTACCCAGTCTCAGGTATTTCTTTATAGCAGTGTGAAAGCAAACTAATACAGGACATTGGTACCAGGAGAGTGGGGCATTGCTATAAATATACCTGAAAATGTGCTACCAACTTTGGAACTGGGTAACAGGCAGAGGTTGGAATGTGGAGGGCTTAGAGAAAGACAGGAAGATAAAGGAAGGTTTGGAATTTCCTAGATACTTGTTAATGATTTTGACCAAAATGCTGATAGTGATGTAGACAATGAAGTCCAGGGTGATGTGGTCTCAGATGGAGATGAGGAACTTATTGGGAACTGGAGCAAAGGTCACCATTGTTATGCTTTAGCAAAGAGACTTACAGCATAGCACCTGCTCTAGGGATCTGTGGAACTTTAAACTTGAGAGAGATGATTGAGGATATCGAGTGAAATTTGCTATGCAGCAAAGCATTCAAGAAGTGATCTGATTGTTCCTAACAGCATACAGTCATATGCATTCACAAAGAGATGGTCTGAAATTGGAGTTTATGTTTAAAAGAGATGAAGAGCATAAAAGTTTGGAAAATTTGCAGCCTGATCATGTGGTACAAAATAAAAATAAACCTTTTTTAGGGAGATGTTTAAGCCAGCTACAGAAAATTGCATAAGTTAAGGGGAGCTAAATGTTAATACCCAAGACAATGGGGAAAATGTCTCCATGGCATGTCAGAGACCTTTGTGACAGCCACTCTCATCACAGGCCTGGAGGCCTAGAAGGAAAAAATGGTTTCCTGGGCCAAGCCCAGGTCCCCACTGCTCTATGCAGCCTTGGGACATGGCTCCCTATGTCCCAGCTGCTCCAGGTCCAGACATGGCACCCTGTGTCCCGGGTACTCTAGCTCCAGACATGGCTAAATAGGACCAAGATACAGCTTAGGCTGTTGCTTTAGAGGGTGCATGCCCCAATCCTTGGTGGCTTCTATGAGGTGTTGGGCCTGCAGGTATACAGAAGACAAGAGTTTGGGAACCTCTGCCTAGATTTCCATCTGCCTGCATGTCCAGGCAGAAGTCTGCTGTAGGGTCAGAGTCCTCATGGAAAACCTCTACAAGGGCAGTGTGAATGGGAAATCTGGAATTGGAGCCCCAACACAGGGTCACCACTAGGGTGCTGCCTAGTGGAGCTGTGAGAAGAGGGCCACTGTCCTCCAGACCCCAGAATGGTAGATTCACCAACAGCTTGCACTGTGTTCCTGGAAAAGCCACAGGCACTCAATCCCAGCCTGTGAAAGCAGTATGGGGGCTGTACCCTGTAGAGCTCCAAGCATAAACCTGTCTATGGTCTTGGGAATCCACCCCTTGCATCAGTGAGTACTGGATGGAAACCATGAGTCAAGGGATGTTAATTTGGAACTTTAAGATTTAATTGCTGCTCTACTGGGTTTTGGGCTTGCATGGGGTCTGTAGTTCCTTTGTTTTGACTGATTTCTCCCTTTTGGAATGGGAGTATTTATCCACTGCCTATATTCCATTATATCTTGGAAGTAACTAACTTGCTTTTGATTTTTCAGGCTCATAGTTGGAAGCAACTCACCTTATCTCAGATGAGATTTTGGACTTGGATTTTTGAGTGATGCTGGAATAAATTAAGACTTTACGGGTTTGTTGGGAAGGCATGATTGTGTTTGAAATGTGAGAAAGGTATGAGATTTGGGAGGGGCCGGGGTAGAACGATATGGTTTGCCTCTGTGTCCCTATCCAAATCTTATGTTGAATTATAATCCCAATGTGTTGAAGAAGGGGACTGGTGGCAGGTGATTAGATCATATAGGCTGGTTCCCCCCATCCTGTTCTCATGATACTGAGTGAGTTCTTATGAGACCTGATGGTTAAAAAGTATGGCACTTCCCCACCCTCACTCTCTCTCTCTCTTTCTCTGCCATGGTAAAACATGCTTGCTTCCTCTTTGCCTTCTGCCATGATAGTAAATTCCCTGAGGCACCCCAGTGATGCTTCCTGTTAGCCTGTGGAATGGTGAGTAAAATAAACCTCTTTTTATTTATAAATTGCCCAGTCTCAGGTAGTTCTTTATAGCAGTGTGAAAATGAACTAATACAACATCCCTTAGCTTAGCCACATTAACATGTAAAATTAACCATGACAATATTATAAAAGCCATTTCAGTAATAAAAGCTTATGAAAATACAATACCAGAATAAAGATGCCAGTTAAATTGAATACATTTTACTTTATGAAAACCTCAGTGTTGTTTCCCAATTTCCATAATTATACTACTGAGAACTTCCCAAGAGAACTAGTTTGTAAACCCATATTTGAGAATCTTACCTAGTGGACCAAAGAATTAAGTTCCTTTAACTCACAGAATCCTAGAAAATTATCAACTGATAATATTGGTTTTATAACTATGTCAACTAATGTCAGTGAATATGCTGCTGACAATATTGAGAGACATCTTAAAGTGAAACTTGGTAATGACAATTCAACATCTTATATTAATCTAATTGAGAGAGAGTCCAGGTGGTCAATGAAATGTCCATTACAAGATACTTTTTATACAAAAATTTTTGCAAAATAATGATTTTTTCTACTGTATTCTAATTTTTAAAATATATATTGGTATTTCAGCATAATATTTTATATAGTTTGTTAACATTAAAATTTATAGAAATGAAGAGTACATTTATACAATGTAATTATTTATAACTTGAAGTCACAAAGCAAAAATACAGTTACTAAATGAGATCTCTTAGTATGGTAGCACAACCAAAGATAAATAACGAAATGTCACATGGCATGACATGTTGACTACATCAAATAAAATAGAAATAGAAAAAAGTGGGTGCTTTCCTTTTTATAAAAAGCTTTTATTTTAGATTCAGAGGTACATGTGCAGGTTTGTTATATACATAAATACGTGTTATGGAGGTTTGTTGTACAGGTTATTTTGTCACCCAGGTACTAAGCCCAGTAAAAAATAGTTATTTTTTTTTATCTTCTCCCACCTCCCACCCTTCACCCTCAAGTAGGCCCCAGTATCTCTTCCCCTTTTATGTTCATGTGTTCTCATCATTTAGCTCCCACTTATAATTGAGAACATACAGTATTTGGTTTAGCTCCCACTTATCAGTGAGAATATACAGCATTTGGTTGAATGTCACTGCATTATTTTGCTAAGGAAAATGACCTCCAGCTCTATCCATATTCTCACAAAATACATGACCTCACTCTTTTTATGGCTGTATAGTATTCAATGGAGTATATATACCACATTTTTAAAAATCCAGTCTGCCATTGATGGGCACTCAGGTTGATTCCTTGGCTATTGTGAATAGTGCTGCAATGAACATACACATGCATGTGCCTTTATAGTAGAATAGTTTATATTCCTTTGAGTATATACCCAGTAATGGGTCAAATGGTAGTTCTGTTTAAGGTTCTTTGAGGAATCGACACACTGCTTTCCACAATGGCTGAACTAATGTACACTCTAACCAGCAGTATATAAGTGTTTTCTTTACTCCTCAATATCATCAGCATCTGTTTTTTCTTTTTGATGTTTTAATAAGAAGCAAGAGCAAACCAACCCCAAAGCTAGCAGAAGACAATCAATAACCACAATCAGTGTTGAACTACAGGAGATTGAGACATGAAAAAACATTCAAATGATTAACAAAGCCAGAGCTGTTTTTTTTCTTAAATAAATAAGATAGAGAGACTGCTAGCTAGACTAATGAAAAAGAAAAGAGAGACAGTCTAAATGAACACAATTAGAAATGACAAAGTGTATGTTACCACTGACCCCACAGAAATATAAACAACCGTCAGAGACTATTATAAATACCTCTATGCATACAAACTAGAAAACCTAGAAGAGATGGAAAATTCCTGGAAAAATATACCCTCCAGACTGGACCAGAGAAAATTGACTCGCCACAGCAAACCAATAACAAACTCTGAAATTGAATCAGTAGTAAATAGCCTACCAACCAAAAAAAGCCCAGGACCAGAGGATGCACAGCTGAATTGTACCAGATGTACAAAGAAGAGCTGGTAACATTGCTACTGAAATTATTCCAAAAAATCCTCAACTCATTCTATGAGGCCAACATCATCCTAATACCAAAACTCAGCAGAGGCACAACAACAACAAAGAACACTTCAGGCCAATATCCATGATGAACATTGATAAAAAAAAATCCTCAGCAAAATGTTTGCAAACAGAATCCAGCAACACATCAAGAAGTTAATCCAACATAATCAAGCAGGCTTTATCTCTGGGATGCCAGGTTGGTTCAACATATACAAATCAATAAATGTGATTCATCACATAAACAGAACTAAAAACAAAAACCACACGATTATCTCCTTAGATGTAGAAAAGTCTTTTGATAAAATTCAACATCCCTTCATGTTTAAATCTCTCAATAACCTAGTTATTGAAGGAACATACTTCAGAATAATAAGAGCCATCCATGAAAAACCCATAGTCAACATCATACTGAATGGGCAAAACTGGAAGCATTCCCCTTTAAAACTGGCACAAGACAAGGATGCACTCTCTCACCACTCCTATTCAACATAGTATTGGGAGTTCTGGCCAGAGCATTCAGGCAAGAGAAAGAAATAAAGGGCATCCAAACAGGCAGAAAGGAAGTCAAATTATCCTCGATAGCAGGAGACATGATTCTATTTCTAGAAAACCCCCTAGTGTCAGCCCCAAAACTCCTTCAGCTGATAAACAACTTCAGCAAAGTTTTAGGATACAAAATCAATGTATGAAATATACTAGCATTCCTATACACCCACAACAATCAAGCCAAGAGACAAATCAGGAACAAAATCCTGTTCACAAATGCCACAAAATGAAATACCTAAGAATACAGCTAACCAGGGAGGTGAAAGATATCTACAATGAGAATTACAAACTGCTGCTCAAAGAAATCAGAGAGGGCACAAACAAATGAAAAAACATTTCATGGTCACGGAGAGTAAAAATCAATATTAAAATGGCCATACTTCCCAAAGCAATTCACAGAGTCAATGATACTCCTATCAAACTACCAATGACATTTTTAACAAAACTAGAAAAGGACTATTTTAAAATTCATATGGAACTAAAAAGATCCTAAATAGCCAGGACACTTTTAAGTAAAAAGAACAAAGCTGAAGTCATCACACTATCTGACTTCAAAATATACTACAAGGCTACAGTAACCAAAACAGCATGGTGCTGGTACAAAAACAGACACATAGATCAATAGGACAGAATAGAGAGCCCAGAAGTAAGGCCACACACGTACAATTATCTGATCTTTGGCAAAGCTGACAAGAAAGCAATGGGGAAAGGACTCCCTATTCAATATATGGTACTGGGATAACTAGGTAGCCATATGGAGAGGCTTGAAACTGGACTTATTCCTTTCACCTTATACAAAGATCAATGCAAGATAAACACTTACATGTAAAACTCAAAGCTATAAAAATCCTGGAAGACAACGTAGGCAATACCACTCTGGACACAGGAACTGGCAAAGATTTCATGACAAAGATGCCAAAAGCAATTTCAACAAGCAAAAATTGACAAATGGGATCTAATTAAATTTAAGAGCTTATGCGCAGCAAAAGAAATTATCAACAGAGTAAAAAGATAAGCTATCGAATGGGAGAAAATATTTTCAAACTATGCATGTGACAAAGGTCTAATATCCAGCATTTATAAATAACTTAAAGATATTTACAAGAAAAATTGTAGCAATACCATTAAAAAGCATGCAAAAACATGAACAGACACCATTCAAAAGAAGACATGCATGTGGCCATCAAGCATATGAAGAAAAACTCAATATCATTGACCATTAGAGAAATGCAAATCAAAACCACAATAAGACATCACCTCACACCTATCAGTATAGGTTCTTTTTTAGGATGTTTAAAATTATCAATCATACTAAAAAATGTCTCTAGTTAGAAAAACTCTAGTTTGTTCTGCATAAATTCTGGGTCTCCAATTATTCTCAGTAAGTGAACTCAATACAATTTCCAGCCCCTTGAAGATTATGAGTAAATAAAGTAAGCTCACATGCTAATTTCGAAGAGAATTTCTATTCCTTTTTCAGCTTCAGAGAAGCTTTAGAGGTCTGAAAAAAATCAAATCTTTAAAAAAAAGTTTCAAAAAGTACATTTTAGAAAAAGTTTGTGACCCCTGAAATGACTTATTTTTTCCTATCTCAATGAAGGTGAAAGTCTACAGAAGTAAACTTTCATTCCTACATTCTGCATACATTTCAATTTCCACCATGCTTTTGAAAAAGTTGACAAAACAAATTATTAAGCCCTGGTATCATAAGTTATCCTAAACTATAAAACATCTAAAATGTACATTTTCCCATATAAGAAGGATAAGGATAAAAATGTTGACTGCAGAATTTGTAAATATTTGATGCTGTTTCCTACAAACGTCATACTTGTGATCAGTGAGACTGTTAAGTGTTAGATCAAATAAGACATAATATAGCAGAGTGAACTCAGGGACAGTGAAAGCATTCAAATGCAATTCATGCAAGTTTGTGGCAGATTGCAAAACTTTTAGAAATACAGCTTATATTCCCTAATCACCTATTTCTATCTTACCCTGCTTCATATTGTTATTGGCTAAAACAGTTCTAGAATTGTACTGATTCATTCTCTTTATCCATTATGCTATTTGTTATAGTTAGTATTGCTGAAGACTTTTTTAAAGAATTATCTCCTGTATTAATTCCCATTGTGCCACATCTTGTTTGTATTTTTTTCTGACTATACCAAATGAAAAATAAATTCAGAGAAAAGGTGGATTTTATAATTATATGTTATTTTCAAGAAATGCAATGACATTGAGCTGATATTGCTCCATATTCTTTCTTATCCCCTATAAGTTGTCAGAATATGCTTTATTCATCTCTCTCAACTGGGGCATACATTTGAATGCTCAGTCCCAGTCCCACCTCTGGTGTGTGTCTGCATGAGATTGAATTTAGAAGTCTTCAGTGAGTCATTGCTCCTTAGCTGAGGTCTCTTTTGTAGCCTGGGTGAACAAATCAGCTTTAATCTAGAGATGTAATTCTGTTTAAATAGCTGAGCATCCTCTGACTTTTTTTTTTTTTTTGTCTTAATACTGATAGCCTACATTTTGTTAGTATGTGCAATTGTGTTCTTAAAATACTTTCAGGCTGGGCTCTGTGGCTCACACCTGTAATCCCAGCAATTTGGGGGGCAGAGGCGGATGGATCACTTGAGGTCAGGAGTTCAAGACCAGCCTGACCAACATGGTAAACCCCGTCTCTACTAAAAATACAAAAATTAGCTGGGCATAGTGGCGCGTGCTTGTAGTCCCAGCTACTCAGAAGGCTGAAGCACGAGAATCACTTGAACCTGGGAGGCAGACGTTGCAGTGAGCCAAGATCACTCCACTGCACTCCAGCCTGGGCAATAGATTGAGACCCCATCTCAAAAAAAAAAAAAAAAAAAAAAAAAAGCCTACCAACTTTCATGTTTCCAAACTTCCTCATCTGGAAACACTTTATCATTGTTTCAACCATTTTTTGTTGTTGTTACTGTTACTGCTTAAAAATGTTACTTGATGCTGTCTACCTGTGTGAATTTTAGTGAACAAAGCTGCTTCTTGAATCTTGGGGGGAGTCTTTCTATTTTTTAACATAACAGTCTAGTATCCCTCTTCATCATCCTCTTCTCAGAGCAACTGGTAATTTGGTCGTGACGCATTTAAAGGCCCGCTATTAAAACGGCCCCTTCTCCGTAACTGCTAAATTGGATTAACTCCCAGAGACTCATCCGGCAAATTTACACATTACCTGTTCCTTCCACTAATTTAAATTGCATTAATCAGCTTTAAATGTTTCTGCATTTTAAATATACTGATTGAAATGTTTAAAAAAGTCAATTGGCTTTTGGTTTTAGTTCTGAGGATAAAACAGCATTTTACTAATAAAGCAAACCACTGTTCACTTTAAGCTTTATTATTCCTTCAAAATACAAGCACTAACCTATATGCTTGAGATTGAGAAAATATATTATAAATTTAGGCCTTTAGGCCAGATTCTTTCTAATGCTCTTGACTAAATAAACAGAGCACTGTTAATTCTATTATCATCTTATTATTCTCTGGTGTACCAGGATAAACTACTTGCTAAATATTTTATTTGCTGAAATAAAGTCAAATATAGCACATGTTACATCTATATGTACTTTTTCATCATCATCACTAATTGTTGGAGCCTAGTCAGGTTCAGAAAAAAACTAAAGATAGGCTATATTTTATTTAGATAAGGATTTGCAGCTACTACACAGATGATTTTTTTTTTTGCACTTGAATACTAACTGTCCATATCCTAATTTGTTGTTGTGTGATCGGTTTTGCTTTGAAGACAGGGTCTGGTTCTGTTGCCCAGGCTGCTTGAGTGCAGTGATGTGATGATATCTCACTGTAGCCTTGAACTCCTGGGCTCTAGCAGTGCTCTCACCTCAATCTCATGAGTAGTTGGGACTATAGGTGTGCACCACTTTGCCCAGTCAATATTTTTGTTTTTTGTGGAGATGGGATTTCACTATGTTGTCCAGGCTGGTCTCAAATCCTTTGCTCAAGTGATTCTCCTGTCTCAGCCTCCCAAAGTGCTTGGATTACTGGCATGAGCCAGCACACCCAGAAATATTCTAATTTGAAAAAATAAAAAGTTCTCTGTCTTACATGCCAGTTACAAGTTCAATCATATCTCAGTTTTAACCCATAATACTATAATCAGAAGTAATACTATGACTGTCTTTGTGCTTAGAAATACTCCTGTTTGAATGCTGGTATTTTTTTCACAACCTTTCATTTCTGTAAGGACTTATACATATTTTTTATACCTCATGAAGTAACATTTTGGTAAAATATAATTATAACTATAGAAATAATACTTTATGTAGGTAAACATTCTAGTCCTCTTTTAATGGGAGAGCATTTCATTCGGAAGCTTAATCTATGGCTTTCAGAGGATACTTAAGTTCTGGGAAAGATAAAACTGATGATATGAGAAATCCAAAAAATATCAATATCTCTCTTTATTTTCAACCTTTAAAAAAAGAATTAAGTGTGAGACAGCTTTTGGGATCTACAAGAGTTACCATTTCCAAATATCAAGAGTTTTATTTTGAAACCGTTTATTACATTATCTTGTGATATAATAACATCATGCTTAATTATATTCTCAAAATATTTAAAATATGTGTTTGTTTATTAAACAAATAAGTATTGAAATATCTGCCATTTGCTGACATCGCTATACTTTTGGAACACATTGTAAAACAAATATCAAAAATTACCTCCAAGTTATATGAATAGATGTAGATGAAACTTTTATTTTGAAATAAAGCCATAAAAATAAAAATCATAAATTTAGATAAATCTTTCAAATTTTGAAGGAAATAAATGAGCAAAGACAGGGAATCATGGCAGAAAACAGTCAATTTGGATATAATGTTTACAAATTATTCTCATACTAATAGAGAGCAAGAGATAAACATAAAGGAAGGGAAATAAAGAACTAGAAAATAGGAATTGCATTTAGTGAATCATGAATCTGGGATAAAATTGTTCTGACGATAAGACATGTCTCAGTATGGAAATAATAGAAAAAGAATTCCATGGCCGGGCGCGGTGGCTCACGCCTGTAATCCCAGCACTTTGGGAGGCCGAGGCGGGTGGATCATGAGGTCAGGAGATCGAGACCATCCTGGCTAACAAGGTGAAACCCCGTCTCTACTAAAAAAATTAGCCGGGCGCGGTGGCGGGCGCCTGTAGTCCCAGCTACTCGGGAGGCTGAGGCAGGAGAATGGCGTGAACCCGGGAAGCGGAGCTTGCAGTGAGCCGAGATTGCGCCACTGCAGTCCGCAGTCCGGCCTGGGCGACAGAGCGAGACTCCGTCTCAAAAAAAAAAAAAAAAAAAAAAAAAAAAAGAAAAAGAATTCCATGAGATAAGTTTGTAAGAATATAACATTATGTCATGAACAGTAAGTCATAGACAGCAAGCATGTTAAAAATTTTGGATTGTATTCTTTTAGGCTGGGCCATATGAAACTGCTAATATTTGAACATTTAAAAATATAAAATGGTAATTTCCATTCAGGAAGCTGTTTCAGAAGCCTATGTGAAAAACAATGGTATACTATAACAATGTGAGCTGGAAAGAAATAGCAGATATATGTAAGTACTTACTGTTCTTGAAACACTATGATGGATACAAGGGAAACACAGATGGGTAAGTAATTTTTCTGCTATCCATAACACATTTTAGGACAGTTATTTCAGTTATTTTAAACCAAGATGTATGTCAGACTTTTCTGATAATTTAAAAATATAAATACACTTACCATATCCTGGATCCACTGACTGTGTTTCTGAGGGTAGGCCTAGAAGTGTACGCAAATGTGCATGTGTGTGCTTCAAATCATCTAATTCATTCTGATGTGCGGCTCTGGTTAAAGGCCTTGGAATAGGTAGAAAAACATACAGTTACATGGATAATCACCACTCACTGTGACAAATGTGATGACATAAGGAAACACAGAACTAAGGAAACTCACGAATGAATTAACTAATTGAATAAATCATAATTTACTAAGTATTTTTTCAATTTTTTAGCTCTATACAATGTTCCCAAAGTACATTTATCTAGACAGTCATACACAACTCATGAAAATAAATAGTAACAAATCAAGTGTGTTTGTTTAATATTTGGTCTTTTATAATCATTTATGTTAGAATTTGGGCAATGTCAAAATATTTTATTTGGACAGAGCCATGATATTAAAATCATATAATATGCTTTAGCACTTTATATGTGATGCAGAATTTGCAAAGAATTTGAACGATTTTCCTATTGAGTTCTGGTATCAGCCAGGATGATAAATTAATATTGTACTGATTTAATATCTTATTCTATTAATGTTTTCCTAATAGGAATTAGATAACCATTTTTTTTCCTTTAAGGTTAACATAAATTTTTTAGTTAAAAATAAATATGATTATAATGTATATCTTGTAATTGTTACACTATCTATCTTATTCACCTAACTATAAAAAATGGCATTTTAATATTCCAATGTAGTGACATGCTGGAGCATATTATTCTGACTCACAACAGGCAACTGTTCATTTATTTTTCCAATTCCATGTTCAGTGATATCACATTGGTATTGGAAAACAACTATTTGTTGGTTTCTTGAGTTTCTGTATTTTGTGAAGAGGGGTACTGATGACTTTTGCTATGACAAAATTTTTTAAGGATGTTTGTATAGTTAACAAATTTGAAAAAAAGACTAAACAAATTTGAGTAAAAGACAGACTTGTTTACTCTCCAGAATAGTAGAGATAATGTCTCCCTTTTGGAAAATTTTGTTTTGCCAATTACTTATGAAAAATTCAGGTACCCTAAACTCAGGGATTTTCTTTCATAACACACATGCAGGTGTTACTTAGATCTTTATCTCACCCTATGGGATTTGGGGTTAGGGAAATGGCACAAATTCTGATACTCTGCCAACTGCTGTTACTATGAATAATAAGCTGCCCTTTGTCTCTGACTCAGAGTCTCATATCTTCTGCCAGCAACCATGAAACTATGACATGCTAACATATTTGACTGCAAGTAGGGTAAAATCTAATATCCTTCATATTTCTTGAAATATAGCAGACTGAAATAGTCCAAGGTGAAAGTACTCACGCTACAAAAATCATTAAACTCTACAAAGCAGTCTTCTGTTTCCGTTTGGTTTTTGTTTTTGTAGAATTGGTTGTTAAACCTTTGCCAACACACCAGAATTTGATTTTATATTGTTTCCTACATGATTAATGACACTATCTGCAATGCTTTCTGAACAGCATACTACTACCTTGCAAAACAGGGCAAAATACTTCCTGTTTTTTGCTTGATATATTATGTTATTATTGCTATAAGTGGTGCTTCTTACCATTTTCACTTTATGGTTTCCTGGTTAGCAAACTGTTCTTTTGTATGCACAATAAACTTTAAAAATTATCTAATTTGACCTAATTTTATTTTTGACAGGAGTTATTATGAGGTTTAAAGTAAAACAATGTTCACAGTAAAAGCAAGGGTTTCATTGAGATTCTTAATATCCAAATATTCAACTTCAAATATGTAACTTGAAGTTAAAATCTGTAAAAACTTACTGTTAAAATTCTATTTTCTTTTACACATATTATCATTTGAACTACACACATAAAATGCAGCAATGACTAATAATGATCCTGAAAGTTGGTGAAGTATACAATATTTAAGAAATGTTTTAAAAAACTTCTCTCTTGTAAAAAAAAATGCTAAGAGAATAAAAAGACAAACCACAGATCATGATACAGTCTTTACAAAACACTCATCTGATAAAAACTAATATGCAAAATATACCAAGACCCCTTAAAAATTAATAACAATTACAGCTAGATAGGAAGAATAAGTTCTAGTGTTCTATAGCACCGTAGGATGACTACAGTTAACAATAATATATTAAATAGTTTCAAAGAGTTAAAAGGAGGGCATTGAACATTCTCCACACAAAGCAATAATTAATGTTTGAGAAGATGGATATGCTAATTACCCTGGGCCCAGCCCTAGGCCTCCTAGGCATCCAGGCCTGTGATGGGAGGGGCTACCTTGTGAAGACCTCTGAAATACCCTGGAGATATTTTCCCCATTGTCTTGGAGATTAATATTTGGCTTCTTGTTACTTATGCAAATTTTTTGCTGCTGGCTTATATTTCTCCTCAGAAAATAAGATTTTCTTTTCTGTCGTATTATCAGGCTGCAAAATTTCTGAACTTTTATTCTCTGCTTCCCTTATAAAACTAATTGCCTTGGCTGAAGCAGGCAGATCACGAGGTCAGGAGACGGAGACCATCCTGGCTAAAATGCTGAAACCCCCATCTCTACTAAAAATACAAAAAATTAGCCGGGTGTGGTGTCACACACCTGTAACCGCAGCTACTCAGGAGGCTGAGGCAGGAGAACTGCTTGAACTTGGGAGGCAGTGTTTGTAGTGAGCCAAGATTGCACCACTGCACTCCAGCCTGGGCAACAGAGCGAGGTTCCATCTCAAAAAAAAAAAAAAAAAAAACTGAATACCTTTAATAGCACTCAAGTCAACTCTCAAACGCTTTGCTGCTTAGAAATTTCTTCCTCCAGATACCCTAAATCATCACTCTCAAGTTCAAAGTTCCACACATCTCTAGGGCAGGGGCAAAATGCTGCCAGTCTCTTTGCCAAAACATAACAATAGTCACCTTCGCTGCAGTTTCCAACAAGTTCCTCATCTTTATCTGGGACCAACACATCAGCCTGGATTTCATTGACTTTATCACTAACAGCATTTTCAAACAAGTATCTAGGAAGCAAAGCAATTCAACAAGTCTGTAGGAAATTCCAAACTTTCCCACATTTTCCTGTCTTCTTCTAAGCCCTCCAAACTGTTCAGCCCCTGTTTGTTACCCAGTTCCAAAGTGGCTTCCACATTTTCGGGTATCTTTTCAGCAGCACTCCATTCTACTGGTACCAATTTACTGTATTGGTCTATTTTCATGTTGCTGATAAAGACATACCTAAGACTGGGCAATTTACAGAAGAAAGAGGTTTAATTGGGCTCCCAGTTCCACGTGGCTGGACAGGCTTCATAACATGACAGATGGCAAGGAGGAGCAAGTCACATCTTATGCATATGGCAGCAGGCAAAAAGAGAGCTTGTGCAGAGAATCTCCCATTTTAAAAACCATCAAATCTCCTGAGACTCATTCACTATCACAAGAACAGCACAAGAAAGACTCACCTCCATAATTTAATCCCCTCCCATGGGTTCTTCCAACAACACATGGGAATTGTGACAGTGACAATTCAAGATGAGATTTGGGTGGGGACACAGCCAAACCATATCAATAAGTATAAAAAGAAATCTTTGTCTCTATTAATAATTATAACCTTCACCAAAATATGTGCTGTTTTTACCTGCTATTTTATTTCTATTCTATTTATTTAATGCCTCAAATTAGAAAATTATTATTTTGTAAAATCAATGTACATTTAGATAATATGTCTTTATCTCCATGTGTCTAATTTTATTTGCTTGTGACTCCTGGTTAGAGCAAGTCAAATCAACAAAGTCTTGTTTTGTTTTGTTTTCATTTTTTCATGACTGACCCTTTAGAGTTCCGCTGGTGAGGGTCTGTTAACATTAACCCTGTCAGCTGAAATTACATTTTAATATTGTTATTCAAAGTATTTTTATTGACTGTATGATTTAATTTTATTTAATTTTATTATTTTATTTTACTTAAGTTTTGGGATACATGTGCAGAATGTGCAAATTTGTTACATAGGTATACATGTGCCATGGTGGTTTGCTGCACCTATTGACCCATCCTCTAGGGTCCTTCACCTTGCTCTCAACCCCCCACAGGCCCCAGTGTGTGTTGTTCCCCTCCCTGTGTCCATGTGTTCTCATTGTTCTACTGCCACTTATGAGTGAGAACATGCAGTATTTGGTTTTCTATTCCTGTGTTAGTTTGCTGAGCATGATGGCTTCCAGCTTCATCAATATCACTGCAAAGGACATGATCTCATTCATTTTTATGGCTGCATAGTATTCCATGGTGTGCATTTACTACATTTTCTTTATCCAGTCTATCATTGATGGACATTTGAGTCGGTTCCCTGTCTTTACTATTGTAAATAGAGGTACAATAAACATACGTGTGCATGTGTCTTTGTTGTAGAATGATTTATATTCCTTTGGGTATACACCCAGTAATGGGATTGCTGGGTCAAATGTTATTTCTGGTTCTAGATCCTTGAGGAAGTGCCACACTATCTTCCACCATGGTTGACTAATTTACATTCCCACTAACAGTGTAAAAGGGTTCCTATTTCTCCACAGCCACACTAGCATCTATTATTTCTCGTCTTTTCAATAATCACCATTCTGACTGGCATGAGATGGTATCTAATTGTGGTTTTGATTTGCATTTCTCTAATGATCAGTGATGTTGTGCTCTGTTTCATATGCTTGCTGGCTGCATAAATGTCTTCTTTTGAGTAGTGTCTTTCATGTCCTTTGCCCACTTTTTGATTTTTTTTCTTGTAAATTTGTTTCAGTTCCTACATTTTGGGTATTCGACTTTGTCAGGTGGGTACAATTGCAAAAATTTTCTCCCATTCTATAGCTTGCCTATTCACATTGATAATAGTTTATTTTGCCATGCAGAAGCTCTTTAGTGAAATTAGATCCCATTTGTCAATTTTGACTTTTTTTAAAAATTGTTTTTGGTGTTTTCATCATGAAGTCTTTGCCCATGCATATGTTCTGCATGGTATTGCCTAGGTTTTCTTCTAAGATTTTGATGATTTTGGGTTTTACATTTAAGTCTTTAATATATCTTGAGTTAATTTTTGAATAAGGTATAAGGAAGAGGTCCAGTTTCAGTTTTCTGCATATGGCTAGCCAGTTTTCCCAGCACCATTTATTGAATAGGAGATACTTCCCCATTTCTTGCTTTTCAAACACTGCTTGTTTGTCAAACATCAGATGCATGTTGATGTGTGAGGTTATTTCTGAGTTCTCTGTTCTGTCCCATTAATCTATATGTCTGTTTTGGTATCAGTACCATGCCATTTTGATTACTAAAGCCCTGTGATACAGTTTGAAGTCACGTACTGTGATGCCTCCAGCTTTGCTCTTTTTGCTTAGGATTGTCTTAGCTATACAGTCTCTTCTTTGGCTACATATGAAATTTTGAGTAGTTTTTTTTTTCTAATTCTGTGAAGAATGTCAATGGTAGTTTGGTGGAATAGAACTGAATGTATAAACTAATCTGGGCAGTATGGCCATTTTCTCAATATTGATTCTTCCTATCCTTGAGGATGAAATGTTTTTCCATTTGTTTGTGTCTTCTCTTATTTCCTTGAGTAGTGGTTTGTAGTTCTCCTTGAACAGGTCTTTCACTTCTCTTGTTAGCTGTATTCCTAGGTATTTTATTTTCTTTTTAGCAATTGTAAATGGGAGTTCATTAATGATTTCGTTTTCTGCTTGTCTATTGTTGGTGCATAGGAATGCTTGTGATTTTTGCACATTGATTTTATATCCT
The DNA here is from genome assembly GCF_000001405.40 of Homo sapiens. NCBI lineage: Eukaryota > Metazoa > Chordata > Mammalia > Primates > Hominidae > Homo > Homo sapiens. The sequence goes on along the minus strand of NC_000001.11, from coordinate 191,202,442 downwards.
GAGTCTTTGCTGAAGTTACTTATCAGCTTAAGGAGTTTTTGGGTTGGGATGATGGGGTTTTCTAAATATACAATTATGTGGTCTGCAAACAGAGGCAATTTGTCTTCCTCTCTTCCTATCTGAATACCCTTCATTTTTTTTTTCTCTTGACTGATTGCCCTGGCCAGAACTTCCAATGCTATGTTGAATGGGAGTAGTGAGAGCGGGCATCCTTGTCTTGTACCAGTTTTCAAAGGGAATGCTTTCAGCTTTTTCCCATTCAACATGATATTGGCTATGTGTTTGTCATAAATAGCTGTTTTTATTTTGAGATATGTTCCATCAATATGTAGTTTATTGAGAGTTTTTAACATGAAGAAATGTTGAATTTCATCAGAGGTCTTTTCTGCATGCATTGAGATAAATGTGTGTTTTTTTCTTTGATTCTCTTTATATGATGGATTACATTTATTGATTTGCTAGTCTAGTCTAGCTAGTGGTCTACCTATTTTGTTAATTTTTTTTCAATAAAACAGCCCCTGGGTTCGTTGATTTTTTTGGAGGATTTTTGTGTCTCTATCTCCTTCAGTTTTGCTCTTATCTTAGTTATTTCTTGCCTTTTGCTAAGTATTGGATTAGTTAGATCTTGTCCTTCTAGCTCTTTTAATTGTGATGCTAGGGTGTCAATTTGAGATCTTTCTAGATTTCTGATGTGGACATTTAGCGCTATACATTTCCCTCTTAACACTGCTTTTGCATCTCCCAGAGATTCTGGTACATTGTCTCTTTGTTCTCCCTGGTTTCAAAGAACTTCTTGATATCTGCCTTAATTTCATTATTTATCCAGGAGTCATTCAGGAACAAGTTGTTCAATTTCCCTGTAATTGTGTGGTTTTGAGTGAGTTTCTTATTACTGAGGTATAATTTGATTGCACTGTGGTCTGAAAGACTGTTTGTTATGATTTCAGTTCTTTTGCATTTGCTGAGGAGTGTTTTACTTTAAATTATGTGGTCAATTTTGGAATAAGTGACATGTGGCATTGGGAAGAATGCATATTCTGGTGATTTGGGCTGGAGAGTTCTGTAGATGTCTATTGGGTCCACTTGATGCAGAGCTGAGTTCAAGTCCTGAATATCCTCGTAAATTTTCTGTCTTCTTCATCTTCCTAATATTGACAGTGGGGTATTAAAGTCTCTCACTATTATCATGTGGGGTCTATGTCCCTTTGTAGGTCTCTAAGTACTTGTTTTATCCATTTGGGTGCTCCTGTATTGGGTCCATATATTTAGTATAGTTAGTTCTTCTTGTTGAATTGATTCCTTTACCATTATATAATGCCGTTCTTTGTCTTTTTGATCTTTGTTGGTTTAAAGGCTGTTTACTAGGATTGCAACCCCTGCTTTTTTTGGTTTACATTTGCTTGATAAATTTTCCTCCATACCTTTATTTTGAGCCTATGGGTGTCTTTGCATGTATGATGGTTCTCCTGAATACAGCACACTGACGGATCTTGACTCTTTTTCAAATTTGCCAGTCTGTTTCTTTTAATTGGGGAATTTAGCTCATTTATCTTTGAAGTTAGTATTGTTATGTGTAAATGTGATTCTGTCATCATGATGCTATCTGGTTTTTTGCCCACCAGTTGATGCAGTTTCTTCATAGTGTCATTGGTCTTTTTATTTTGCTGTGTTTTTGCAGTGGCTAGTACCTGTTTTTCCTTTTCATATTTAGTGCTTTCTTCAGGAGGAGCTCTCACAAGGCAGGCCTTGTGGTGACAAAATCCCTCAGCACTTGCTTGTCTGGAAAGGATTTTATTTCTCCTTGGCTTTTGAAGCTTAGTTTGGCTAAATATAAAAATCTGGGTTGAAAATTTGTTTTTTTTTTTTTTAAAATGTTGAATATTGGCTCCCACTGTCTTCTGGCTTGCAGGGTTCCTGCTGACAGATCTGCTGTTAGTCTGATGGGCTTCCCTTTGTAGGTCACCTTGCCTTTCTCTCTGACTGCCCTTAACATTTTTTTCTTCATTTCAACCTTAGAGAATCTGATGATTATTGATTATGTGTCTTGGTGTTGATCTTCTCGTGGAGTATCTTACTCGTGTTCTCTGTATTTCCTGAATTTGAATGTTGGTCTGTCTTGCTAGGTTGGGGAAGTTCCCCTGCATAATATCCTGAAGGTGTTTTCTAGCTTGTTTCCATTCTCCCCATCTCCTTCAGGTACTCCAGTCAATTGTAGGTTCGGTCTCCTTACATAGTCCCATATTTCTCAGAGGCTTTGTTTATTTCTTTTTATTCTAATCTTGTCTGCATGCTTTATTTCAGCAAGATGGTCTTCCAAATCTGATATCCTTTCCTCTGCTTGGTCGATTTGACTATTGATATTTGTGTATGCTTCACGAAGTTCTCATCCTGTGTTTTTTCAGCTCCGTCAGGTCATTTATGTTCCTGTCTAAACTGGTTACTCTAGTTAGTAGCTCCTATCACCTTTTATCTAGGTTTTTAGCTTCTTTGCATTGTTAGAACATGTTCCTTTAACTCAGTGGAGTTTGTTATTACCCATCTTCTGAAGCCTACTTCTGTCAATTCGTCCATATTATCCTCTGTCCATTTCTGCACACTTGCTGGAGAGGCATTGGGATCATTTGGAGTTGAAGATGCACTCTGGCCTTTTGTGTTTTCAGCGTGTTTTTATTGATTCTTTCTTATCTTCATAAGTTTGTTTAAACTCAATCTTTGAGGCTGCTGACCCTTGAATGGGGTTTTCATGGGGACTGTTTTTGTTGTTGATGCTGTTGTTGTTACTTTCTGTTTGTTGGTTTTTCTTTCAATGTTCAGGTCCCTCTTCTGTAGGTCTGCTGTGGTTTCCTGGGGGTTCACTTCAGGCCCTGTTCATCTGGTTTGATCCCGTGCCTGGAGATGTCACTCAAGGAAGCTGGAGAACAGCAAAGATGGGTGCCTGCTCCTTCCTCTGTGATCTCTGACCTTGAAGGGCACCATCCTGATGCCAGTTGGATTGCTCCTGAATGGGATGTCTGACAACCCCTGTTGGAGGGTCTCACACTGTTGGGTGGCACGGGGTATAGAATGCATTTAACGAAGCACTTTGACTGTCACTTGGTAGAGTGGGTGTGCTTTGCTGGGGGAAAACCCACTCATTTGGGATGCTTAGATTCCTCAGGACTACTAGAAGGAAAGGCTAAGTCTGCTGGTCCACAGAGACTGCAGCCAACCCTCCCCCTAGGGGCTCAGACCCAGGGAGATCAGAGTTCTGTCACTGAGCACCTGTCTGGAGATGTTGGAGCTCCTGCAGGGAGGCCCTACCCAGTGAGGAGGGTCAGGGTCAGCCCTGAAGAGGCACTCTGGCCACAATCTGTCACAGCCAGTGTGTTGGTGTATGGGGGACACTTCTTGGATTAAGCCATCTAGCCTCCCCGGCTCCAGCAGGGAAAAAGCATGGTCTGCAGCTGTAGAGATGGCTGCCTCCCTTCCCATGACCAGGGAGCTTAGTGTGTTAGGCAGCTATCAGTCCCAGTGCTGGCTGCTGCCCCCTCCCCCAAGTAGCTCAAGCAGCTTAGACAGCAGCCAGCTGCAGCTGTGGTGCTGGTCACCTCTCCCCCCAGGAGCCCCTCCCCCCAGGCTTAAGCAGATTCTAGCTGAGCGTCTGTTAAGAACCTGCATGGCTTTGGGGTTGAGACCCTAGACTTGGTGGCATGGGCTCACGAGTGGCAACATCCCATCCGTGGGTTGCACAGTTCCATGGAAAAGGCAGTTTCCCTGGATGGGTAACATGTTGACTCATGGGCTCCCTTGGCTAGGGGATGGGGACTCCCCTGCCCCATTTGGCTCTCAGGTGGGCTGCTGCACCACATTGCTCTTCTTTCCTTTCCATGGGTCACGCCAGCCACCTAGTCAGTTCTGATGAGAGAACCTGGATATCTCGGTTGCCAGTGCAGGATTCATATGCTATTATTGTTCTTTTGGATGGGAGCCTCCCATTGCTGTTGCTTCTAGTCGGCCATCTTGGCCACACCCCAAACTATATGATTTTAGATAAAGGTTTTGTTAAAAAAAGTTACTTGGCATATTTATTCATTACTGAAGCTAGGTAATCTGCTGTAAGCATGTAATTTTCATGAAGGTAATCTGTATTTTATCATTGACTCCTTTTAAGATATTGTCCTTACCTTTTGTGTTTTGCAGTTTTGACACTCTATTGATATAATTATCTTATTGAAGATTAGCTGGGCTTCCTAAATATAAATATAAGTATTCATTTTGTAACTTTTTTTGTACTTTCTTCATGCTTTTGATATCTTATTTTTTAATATGTTAGCTTAAATATTTTATATTCTGCATTTGATAATGCAGTATCTACAATTACCAGAGGTTTGACCGTGTAGTTTCAAATGATTCTCACAATTATTAGCTTATTTGCTCAGAATTTTTCTAATTCTGAAACGTAGAGTTCATGATATTTGGAATTTCATTTGTGGGAACTTTTTGAACCCTAATTATAAAATTTGTCCTGCTAGACTTAATTTTGTTTTATGCTTCTTCAGGAGATGTTTGCGGTAACTACAAATCCGAGACTGAGGCTGTGTATTTGTCGTCAGGTTTTTCTATCATATAACTGACCTGATTACTGGCATGCAGATAATAATTATTTTTCTTATTTTCTCCTCAACCTATAGTCAAGTTTAAAACACCAAGCAACAAATGTATGAATCTACAATGTGCATAGGCTTTTTTCCTTGGTTTCTAAATAAGAGTTTTCTTTAGGGTTTCCCTGGGTAATAATTAATTTATTATAATATCGGCTACTTTATGAAGTCCCCACACTGGGCCTCCCGTGTTCTCTATGCAGCATGTTAAATCTGTCTAGTCCACCAGTGATAGATGTTCAAACGATAAGCACTGGCTTTGTAGATCAATCACAATGATGGAACATCTTTGTTACCACAATACACCTGCAAGAACTTTCTTTCATATTCATGTACTAACTACTTTATTTACTAGTGGTTTTCTAAAATAAAATTTTATCAAACACTCTTTGATGCTTTCTAGCAGGAATATTTCCAAGGCATCCATTCTATGTTATTACTGGACAAATGTACTCATTAATTTCATGCCCCAACCATTTTTCTGCATAAGAAAAAAGCAACCACAAAGCTTTATTTTATTTAATTCAAGATTCATTATAATGTAACATTTGGAAGAATGATTCTTCTGGCTACTTCAAATACATCACAGTGAAGATAAAATGTACATAATTATAAAGCTTATATGCCATTTATTAGCATACTTATATCTTAACCTACTCTACATATCAACATCATGATTAGTTTATTTCCTACTTATTTTATACTTGTTTTAATAGTCTTTAAAGTTACAACTATTTTCATTTTGGTACCTTCCTAAGATTTCTATACTCTAACAAGGGACAAATAATTCATCTTAGATACGGTAAACAAGGGACAAATGTTTCATCTTAGATAAGATGAACAAGGGAAAAATAATTTATCTTGGATAAGCTGGCATATAATCTAGATTTTTAATAAATTGGCATTGGTTTGCAAATGATCCTTTTGCCTTCCCAAAAGGTGAATTAAAAACCAATCTTCTGGACACCTGGTTATAATTTTCTTTATAGAGTAAATCTTTTCTACACCTTTAAAAGTGTTTCTAAATTAATATGTTTATTTAAGCTTTAGCTTTTCGGTACCCTGCATTTTTCTTTAAAATAATTTGCTTTTAAGTTTTTTATGTCCAGCATCACATAATCAATTGTTCTAACATGAGAATATATTTATTTGGTCTATTAGCCTTCTTAAAAATGTATTATGTATTAGTATTTTCTTATAATTTATAAGATTAGTATTTTCTTATAATTTATAAGATCCTTTAAAGATTTCCTCTCTAAATAGATGATGGATTGAGTTTATTTAGCTACATAGTTAGCTCTACTCTTTTGGATATGTTAATAAATCAATTATTATTAATATATTGTTTTGGAGCACACCGTGGAAAGTGTTATGTTGTCATTGTTGTGAATACCACAACTGATCAGTCCTTACTCCAATAGTAACATTCCAGCACTTTCAAAGCTTTTCTGGCTTATTCAGAGCTCTCATATTTAATTCAGAAGTAAGTGCATAATTTATAAAAAACATAATGAATTGAAGAAATAGAATGTCATTTATAAGAGTCAAATTTATTCATGCTTTTGCATTTTTTCATTACAACCATATTTCATATACTTCATATTTATATTTCTATTTATCTTTAATTTGTTATTGTGAGATGCAATTAAGTGGAAGAAGATAAAATGTGAGCTTGTTCTGCCATCTTGAGCTAGTAGTTTAGTAATAACTGATCTGATGAATTTCTTTGCTAATGGTGGATATGAATTGGTTACAAACACCGTTGTAGTAAGTGGCAATCATAGGACATAGGTCTGGCCCATAAGTAGTAAACAGATCTTATTCAGTTTTCCAAAACTTTTTTTTTTTTTAAGTAACAGACTTCAGACTTGTGTGACATGAGCCTTCTTGTCTTTTGTCCTTCACTTTTCTCCAATTTTTATGCCATATTCCAAGAATGGCACAAGAGAAAGAATGTGTACACAGACACCCTCTACGCACACACAAACGTACAGATGTATGGCTGTGGAAATGTGCAGATAAATAATAGATTTACAAGTTAAATGTAAAATAATGGAGCCATTAAAAATAGGAGAAAACATAAGAAGTAGCATTTCCTGGACTTTTTAAGAATAGGTGGACTTTGGGGTACAATGTTAACTATTTAAGTGATGGATACACTAAAAACTCAGACTTCACCTAAACTAATATGTGTGTGCTTATAAAATTCAAGTCATCCTTAATATCAAATATCTTAGGAAATGAAAAAGGAAAAATAACTGAAATGCATTTTACAAACTCCTTCAAGGATTAAAGTTATTAAAATATATTTGCTAAACCAGGTGGCACAGGTTAAGTTCAAATTTAAGAACAATAATTGTAGCCAGAGTGAATTAACTCATCCTAAAAAGAGGAGGAATTTGTATTGATTACCTAAAATATATAAGGCAACAAGAGTGTGGACGATTCCAGACACACTGACTTTTGCCTGACTCAGAAACTCTATTACTATATATGTGTGTTATTGTAAAAGGGCTGCAGGAACTGAACCAATTAACAATATTAACAATCAGGGTATTTGTGATATAGCTGTGGAATATTGCTAATGAAACATTTTATTTATAGAAAAATATTTCTTTTCTTGTACATGTGGTACCACAGTGATGAGAGCAAGATCCAGAAATATGCATTAGTGATATTGCTAACTAAACATTTTATTGATAGAAAAATATTTCTTTTCTTGTACATTTGGTACCACAGTGATGACAGCAAGATCCAGAAATATGCATTAGTGACAGTAGTGGTTGCAAGAGAGACATCAGAGCTTTGAGGAGCACTGGTCTGTTAAGGTCCATCTTTTTGTGTTTTGATTTTGTCCTTCTACTAACTTACTCAAGGACACTGTAAGAATATGGAAAAAAAAGCACATGTTAGAAATTTAAGGAAAGATAATGAACAATATAATAGTCATCTGAGAAAGGAAAAGAAAATTTAATGGTCTAAATATACTATGGTTGCATCATTAAAACACTACCTAAAGTTAGTAATCAACATTTAAAGTAGGAGCAGTCATATGGGGCTATGTGTTTAACTGCAATTTCTTTCTTAGTGATTGTCTTACAAACAAATTAGGAAAAAACTGAGAGAAAGGCTGAAGGGAAAAGTTATTAATTACAGAGTTAGAAATTAAATATATATATTTAATATTTAAATTAAGTATATATATTTAATACTTATATGAAATATATAGTTAACATTTATATTAAATATGTATTTATAAATTTATATATATATAAATATTTTTATATATATATCCACAAAAAGACAAAATGAAAAATAACAGGTTGGACAAGACATATGGAGATAGGGACAAGCTCTAACATCTAGTTTAGTTAGAGCTCAGGGAATGAGAATGAGTAAAAGAGGATGAGGTTGGAATAATACGTGTTTAAAAAATAGAAATGAAGCCCTAAAACAAGTCAAGTAAAATTGTGCAATTATTCAGTGAAAAAATATCATTTTAATTCTAAAAGTTGACTCTTCCAAAGAGCTAGTATTGTTTTGCCTTATTTATCAGATAAAGGATCATCTAGAGATCACATACATCACGATGATACAGGTCTAGCATCTAAATAAACATTTTGCATCTGAATCTTCTTGCGTGTGAAGTGCAGTGAAGAAAAGACTGCTCCCAGTGTTCTCTCTTCAAAGAGACATGCCTTTCTTTCAAGAAAGGTTTAAAAAATTATATTTCCAGAGCTTCACATCTTATTCAGATACCAAAGAAACTGGAGGTTAAAGAGTCAGGAGTTATTGACAACTGAAGAGTCAGACATGAAAGGTACTGGGGATCTCCATTATGGAAGCCTTGTGCTATGGTCTTTGTCACCCTCTCCACCATTAACTAGTAGTGTGAACACAGGAAAAGCACTTCGCTTTCAAGGCTTGATTTTCTAATCTTTATCATAAAGCTAGAAATAAGTTGTCTTCACAGTCTTATGAGCTCCTTTTCAATTTTGGTATCCATAAACTGATGAAGCACCTCTGAAGCGCAGGGAGGGAAGGAGATTTCCAAGGAACAGAATATTCAGATTCTGCCGATAGCTGGTTGGAAGCGTCTTTGAGAAAGTCACTTCGCATTACAGAATGAAGTTACTCAAAATGTGGTCTACAGATTGATGCTTATCTTTAAGTTCTTTGTTGTCAGTCCTGATGAGGTAAGTAGAGACTTAAGAGTGACATACTCTTGCTGGATGATCATCTATCCATATACAACTTGGAGATATTATTGCTACAAGGAATATGGGAGAATGGATTTGTAGATTCAAATAGCAGGCTCTGCTGTACTTGGCAAGTGTGGAAGATTTGGATATTTTCCTTAGGTTAGTGGGTGTCTTAGGAGTAAATGTTTACATGCACTCAATAGAACCCTGCTCTACACAGTCAAGTAAACACGTATGGAAATCATTCAATCACTTTATATTTGTGAAAACGTTTCCAATATAATAATTTTAACACATTTTTCATAAATATTTTTAAAGAATGATTCTGTAAAGAACTGTTAATTCTATTTTAATTTTTAAAAATATTACTTATGTTTAAATGTAGTTAGTGATATTAATGTCTTTCTGTAAATTACTTACTTATCTATATAAACTCAATTAGTTAGTTAGGGACAACCATGTGCATCAGTGCTAGTGATATATAGAGTTACTGATAATCTTAGGAGCCACAATGTCTTAAGAAATAATGAAAGTCACAAAAGGTATTCATTGTAAAATGCACATATTTCATTTTTATACACTAATGATATGATCAACATTTGAGTCAGAATTCACATGAAATTTATTCAACTTATTTATTGCTCCTGAGAACTTATGTTAACCTGAAACTTTATGGAGAAAAAATGTACTAGAAAGGTAAGAAAGCAGTTTCATTAAAAGAATTTGGGAAGAATTTGTTAAAATAATATTATGCATCATAATAATTACTATAAAATAATTTTCAAGCAGTTACTTGAGAGTGATTAATGCAGTACTGAGAATGATATATATATATAGTACAATTTAATGGTATCAGTAATTGAAGAAACTGACAGTAGTAAATTAGAAAGTCACAAATATTGAATATTTGAAGGATTGCTATCCAAGTGCAAAAACGTCACCTTTTTTTTTTTTTTTGAGATGGAGTCTCCCTCTGTCACCCAGGCTGGAGTGCAGTGTTGTGATCTCGGCTTGGTACAACCTCTGTCTCCCAGGTTCAAGTAATTCTCCTGCCTCAGCCTCCAGAGTAGCTGGGAATACAGGCATGTGCCACCACACCTGGCTAAAAGTTTTGTATTTTCAGTAGAGATGGGGTTTTGCCATTTTGGCCAGGCTGGTCTCAAACACCTGACCTCAGGTGATCCTCCCACCTTGGCCTCCCAAAGTGCTGGAATTACAGGCGTGAGCTACCGTGCTAATTTTTTTCTGATTAAAATCTAAAAATTTAATTGATTGCTTAATGTATTATCTTTCACACCATTTCTAAAAGTTTAGCTCCCACCCATGAAAATAAAATACAAAGTCTTCTGAGATGAAGGCACAATTTTCTTTATATTTTAGTTTTACAATCCTAAGAAAAATTAAAACTGTAATAATGATATAGATTAAATTAATTTACATAAATACCAATACATGTCCGTATGCACCCATATATTTTCTACTCATGCATAACACCCTAGATATAATTGTTTATGTCTTCCTAGTGACAAAACAACTTCTAGTTTAGTTACAAAAGTATAGACCTAAATACAATCTATCAATGAATATCCTACTTGCCGTATTCTACAGTCTTTTAACTGCTTTCTTCATTTAATCTGTTTGTAAATAACCTACAGACCTTTAAATCTGAAGGCATATTAGGGAACATTCAGTGATAGAATGTCAAAGGAATTGTTTAAATGAATATTTATTAACTTATTAGGAAGCAGAGTAGATATATGTGACTACATAATGGTGTATGCTTTGCATATTCAAATACAAAAGCATATAGTGGGGTAGTAGATGTTTAGAAGAAAGCTTAATGAAATAAAAAATGGAGAAAATGCAAAAAAAATTTAAACGTTATTCTGGGTTAAAGTTTTCTTTATTATCAATATTTGCTGATTTTTTTTCTTCCTTTATGATAAAACCTAGAGTGAAAAAAAGAAACTAGAATAGAATTAAAAGAATAAAATAGAGTAGAACTAACCATCTGTTGAAAATTGCTTCACTTGGCATAGAGGTCTCAAAACACTGAACAGTTTAGCTAATTTTTGAACCTGGACAGAATCTTGTTGCTGCTATTGAACTAAACCATATCTAGATGGTAAATTGATATCTATATTGAATATTACAAGATAAAATAATCCATTATATTTTTATGATATCCTTATGTGCATCTTAAAACTGTCCTTTGACATTTGAGTTGTTTCATCAGACATTTCAGGTTGCAATTATTTTGCCTACTCACAAGCTTTTTCTATTTGAAAAACTGCTTCTAAAATATAGTGGTCTATCATAACTCATTTAGAAATGTAAAAACAATATATTATGTTTGATTGGGTTTAAAAGTAACTTATAGCAGCTCAATTCTCTCTTTACTGGCTATGGCAGAGAGGATAGCTTTTTTTTATTTGTATGTAAAAACCCCCCAAAGTATTCCAAAGCTACTTTTTTTTCCTTTAAAAGATGTTTTTTTCTTTGGCTAAACTAAAATTGTGAGTTAATAATAGTAAGGGCAGTACTTCTAATAATTTCCCAACACAGTACCCTGGTGGAGTACAAAAGTGACAACATATTGCTATCAAAATATTAGCCATTGCATCCCATCCTGCACACTTTGGAAACACTCTTTAGTGAAGTTTCATGTAATCACATTTACTAAGCTACTATGCAAAAACATTATTTAATCAGCACAAGTTTTTTCAGGCATAGCAGGATTTCCTTCTCCCTGCATCTGTTTATGCAGTATAGGTTCAATGTAGAAAACTCAGAAAATGATAAATAAATAAATATGTATAAAGCAAAACATCACTCAGAGGTGACAATTGTTAACATTTTTACATAGCTCCCTCCAGCCTGCATGTGAATGTACATATAAATTGGAATATTAAAATTATACATGATACTGTACATTCTAATTTATAAACTATTCTTACACATAACTTATGCAGTACAGTGAGTTTTAGAAGTCACTTAGATCTTAGTATAAGTTGTTTTATCAAATACTTCCCAGAGTAGTTTATGGGAAGGCATTGAGGACAAGGTGAGAAGGTCATATCTGCGTGTGGCAAGTGGTAGAATCACTGCTACCTGGACAACAGGTGTTTTAATAGGGAGAAAAAGCCACCTTATTTCATAAATTTTTATATACCTGACATTTGCTTACTAAGAGAAATATAGATCAATATTATTAGAAGACTTTTGTGCATGTGGGAAGCTCAGTTAAAGACAATAAACTCCCATCTTTGCAGACACTACATAACACCTTTCATGTGTTGATGGAGCTCAATATATAAACTGTACATGAAAATGAATAGGTATATTCCCTTCTTGACAAAAGAGGCTAATGGAACTTACCCAGCTAAAACTTTTCACATTAAATTGAAATTATACCTCTAAATCTTGGAGGTAGTGAAAGCTGTGCATACCTCTTCTATGTTAAGACGCTGCAAAAATATTGGCCAAAGCAAAGATTTATAAGATGTCACTGAAAGCATTCACTCTAACAATAAAGAAGACAGCAGGATGGTGAAATGATGGTTGGGGTTCAAAATAAATCACATGGCACTATAATAATTTCATAGCAGTTAGGTCTCCCTTACCACACTGCATCTCGCATTTCATCATGTTGTCTTTTAAGGAAATAATTGTTCCTCATAGGTATAGCATTTCAGTGTTTAGGGCTTGCGTTTATTTAAAAAAATCCAAAAAGTTCACTAAGAAAAAGACGAAAGATTCAGTGAGGTAAACACACTCTTAAAGTTTTAGAGACTGATATTTTGTCAGCATACTATTTCGAAGGAAAAATAAGCATAAATATCATGAGGAATATGATGTTTTTCTATGAAAAACTAAAAATTGTGTAAAACAGTAGTTCTCAGTAGTAAATAGGCATCGATTTTTGATCCCACCTTGTTTTGTAAAAATTATTAAGGAATTTTTGTTTAATTACTGGTACTCTTAATTTTCATTTTCTGATGGGAAAATGGAACTGAGCATAATGACAAAAATTTCTTTCTCTGCACATGGAATGTTTCTAGTTACCATATTACTTCACTCTAACCTACTGGTCTTATTGCCTATCAATTTCAGGTGGTCTCAAGACTTCCTTAAAAATAAGATAATTTAAAAGAAACATATTTAAAAAGTGTTATTAATCTTCCCTCTAGACTTAAGGACATTGGATTGACCTTTGGCCATTCTCATTGCATGATTGTGATGAGTTGAATAATTAACCCCCTCAGCCAAATTCATGTTCACCCTGAACCTCAAAATGGGGCCTTATTTGGAAAAGAATCTTTATAGCTATAATTAAAGATCTTGAGACAACATCATCCTGGATTTAATGTGGCCCCTAAATCCAATTAGTTATAAGAATTTATGTAAGTAGTGGAGAAGAAACAGAAACAGAAAGCCAAGTGAAGACAGACACAGATTGGAGTGATAAGTCTACAAGCCAAGGGTCACCATGAATTGCCAAAAAGCCAGAAACTAGAGAGAGGCATGAAACAGATTCTCCCTCAATGTCTTCAAAAGAAACAAACCTTGCTGACACCTGATTTCTACATTTTGGACTGTAGTATGGAGATGATAAATTCACATTGCTTTAAGCCATTCAATTCACGGTATATGCTACAGCAGCCCTAGGAAACTCATATGATCATGATTTCAAGAAATTGTTAGGAGCTTACTCATACCTGATACCAAATAACTGAAAATCCAGCCAGAGCTATGCACTGAACCATGTACCTATAATTAATATTCAAGGTTTTTATAGAGTAATTAAGAACAGGCATTAATGAGAAGCTGCTGATCTGGAGAATAGTGCCAGTCACATGTATCTGAGTGAGCCACATGGTTAGCTGGGTAAGAAACATGATAAAGTCCCAGACTTAACTTCACAGGGTTGAGGTACCTACGCACACTTAACTTTCTCTCTTTATCATTCCTGGCCCAAGTATAAAATTGGGAGAACTGGGGTATTGGGAGCTGAACTTAAAAAACAGGAGTTTTATGTACTAATATTGTTGTGGATTGTGTGTTTTTTTTTTGTATTATTTCTTAAAGCTAAGTAAACCTGGTGGTGTTTAAAGCCTATTGTGTCCATTAAGTTTGATTTTCAATGTGAACCCAGATCCAAATGCCAAATGGCTTGTACTTGGCATTGCATGGTTTTATATAAACACACACACACACACACACACACACACACACACACACACACACACACACAGATAAATATGCATATATACGCACAATATATCTGGATACATATACATATATATGTCATATACTTAGTCTTGTAAATACATTTTGTTTTAACCTTATGGGAGACTATGAGTTAGGTATTTAACAATTAAAGGAAAATGGCTAAGCTTGCAATACATTTAGTTATGTCGTAGGTAAGGTTTGCTGAGGAAGTCATTTTAGGATCCACTGGATAAAGTATAGTATGAGAATAATAAAGCTGGGGGTACCTGAATATGAGGGAAGTGAGAGACCAAGATTAGCTGGATTACTGTGAGATTTCTATAATCAAATATATTTCATGCTACTTTTCACAGGCTATAGAGGATTTAAAGTGCTTACTAACAAAATTGTCAACCTAAGGAGAATAAATGAAGATGGGTTATATTGCTTGTTAAGATATAATATGCAATTAGTGTTACTACCAAAATAATAAAAGTTATATTACATGAACTATAGAAATAACCATGAATAATTTTTTATTTTTTTGAGACAGAGTCTCACTCTGTTGCCCAGGCTAGAGTGCAGGGGCACGATCTCGGCTCATTGCAAGCTCTGCCTTCCAGGTTCATGCCATTCTCCTGCCTCAGCCTCCTGAGTAGCTGGGACTACAGGTGCCCACCACCACGCCCGGCTAATTTTTTTGTATTTTTGATAGAGACAGGGTTTCACCATGTTAGCCAAGATGGTCTCGATTTCCTGACTTTGTGATCCGCCAGCCTCGGCCTCCCAAAGTGCTGGGATTATAGGCGTGAGCCACCACGCCTGGCCCAACCATGAATAATTTTTTAAAAATGGTATCAAGAGAGCAGCTCAGATAATTCATTTAATATAATACTATTACTAATAATACCTAATAAACTAATTTCATTCTATGTATGAGCTTTATGAAGTTAAAGAAATTAGTATGTTAGAAATTCATGTTACTCGTTTAATTAAATCATTATCTCCAAATGGATAGAAATAATTTTAAACTAGTATTGTGACAGTAATTCCATAATGCTCCCAAATTACAATGGCTATTCTAGGAGAGTAGTAGAGTCAGTTCAAAAACAGAAACACATGTTCTAGATTCAGACAAACCTGGGCTTAAGCCTTAGCAGTACCACATCCTAGCTGCTATGAGAAACTGTGCACACGTCTCATCTAAAAAAGAAGGATAATTAGAATAATATCTAGAATAATATCATAGGCTAATTGTGAGGATACATGTGTTAGTCTGTTCTCACACTGCTATAAAGAACTACCCAAGACTGGGTAATTTGTAAAAAGAGGTTTAATTGACTCATAGTTTTGCATGGCTGGGGAGGCCTCAGGAAACTTACAATCATGGTGGAAGGGGAAGCAGGCATGTCTTACATGGCAGCAGGCAAGAGAGCAAGTGCAAGAGAGAGCAGAGAAAACTGCCATATAAAACTCTCAGATCACATGATAACTCACTCACTATCACTAGAGCAGCATGGGGGAAAATGCCCCCATGATCCAATTACCTCCCACCATGTCCCTTCCTTGACACATGGGCATTACAATTTGAAATGAGATATGGGTTGGGGACACAGAGCCAAACCATGTGAATACAATAAAATAGTCTTTATGGGATTTTGTTGAAAAATGCTTTCCAAATAATGTTTTCTTCCGTAATTATTCATAGTTGAACTAGGAGACATTCTCTTGAATTTGACTACATGAATGATGCATCCCTGTAGCACTCTGAACATACTGTCCTCATATTTAAGTTACTTATTACTGATAAACATCAAACTGGAGATACATATATCATAAGTAATTGGAGACCCCAGGCTGGAACATAGTGGTGTGATCTCGGCTCACTGCAAACTCCACCTCCTGGGTTCAAACGATTCTCCTGCCTCAGCCTCCCGTGTAGCTGGGATTAGAGGCCACACCTGACTAATTTTTGTATTTTTAGTAGGAACTGGGTTTCACCACGTTGCCCAGGGTGGTCTCGAATTCCTGAGTTCAGATGATCTGCCCTCCTCGGCCTCCCAAAGTTCTAGGATCACGGGTGTGAGCCACTGCACCCAGGTAAATACCTTTAGAGAAATTAATTTTTTCTGAATTGTGATAGGCTGTTTTAAAAAGGTATTTGTTATAAAAGCAAAGAGGCTACTGTGGATCACCATGAAGATGCTGCTTTATTTTCCGTTTCACATTCCGCCTTTCTGTTACTACACACACACATAAACACACATACAATGCATCACTAATCTTACTGTAGTCCATTTTTCTGGGGTCAGAAAATCACTAGAAGTTCAAATTATAAGGTAATTTGAAATGTTAGTGTGGGTGAGGAGAAAATGAAAAACGAATTAGTTTAATGAATTCCAAGAGACTATTTCAACAACACAGGTTCATTATAATTTTTAGCTTTTAGCAAATTTAAGAATAATAAAATAATCTTTGATATCTTTTAACATTTTAAAGATAGATCACTGATTGATTCTGTCTTGTTTTTTAATAGTTGGAAAAATTGAGTGACACTACTAAAAATCTATGACTATTCATCTAGAAATTTGAACAAAGTTACTCTAAACACATAAAATAGAAAAAAAAAAATAAATGTAGAACGATAATACTTTTATTACTCTGGCAGTAAGTAATAAAAATGGGTAAATAAATTACTAATAATACATTTTATTTTATTAGTAGATAAATTCTCAGCAATAACTTGTCAATTAATATTTGTAATATAATTATTTCAACCAATTTTATACCACAAATAATTTAAATGGTTACTCAATCCAGAAGGAAAAATGTTAATACACAGAGCTTCATGGTAACTGAATATTAAAATTATTTTTAATGTGGAAACACATTAATTTTCAGACAAATATTGTGATAATAAACAGATGTTTAAAGCTCAAATTATTTTTAATAGGATAATAATTATCTGGAGAAAGCTCAAAATGTAAAAAAAATAAAAAAAGTAAAAGGAACAATGTAAAACTTAAGAACCTATTCATGGAGATTTAGATATATGATTATGGGTATCATGTTTGCATTAGATATTCAAATGAGTAATTGTACAAATTTTCCTTTAAAAAATGATATACACAATATTTTACCAATTACATTACTTGCCATTATTTGTACTTGTACTGGAAAATGTCTTGAAAATTTGAAATGTACATGAATATGAGAGCAAAATCATCTTAAGGCCTTTAAATGATAGTACCTGGGCAAATGTAGATAAGTTAAACAATTCATTTTAAATTAATTAAGAACACCATATTACAAAATAATATACTCATGTTTCAAAATTTATTAAGCATTTACTGTCATGCCTTGGACAAATGATACATAGTGTCCGCCTACAAAGAACTTGGAAACTCTTATGGAGAAACAATCACATAACAATATATAACATATTGTCATTTAGGTAGTAGGGATGTGTAGGCATCGTACAAAGTTGTTTCTTAAATGATATGAGAATTACAGGAATTACAAAGATTCTTTTAAAGTATGATGACTGATTTATAATCTAGTAACTTCTCTATGATAATAGTATTAAAATAGATTATTATATGCAAATGTTTTGTTTTATAACAAATATACTTAATTAAAAAAAATCTTTGAGTAAGTAAATTTTTGTACATGTGGAGTTTACCATGACTTTTGGGATGATTTCTGGGTTCATATGTGTTTCAGAGGTCAGATTTTGAGACATTTACTGTGTTTTTTTTTCCCTGTGTTCAGGAATTAAGCAAATAAAGTATAGTCATCTCTCAGTATATGTGGAGGATTTATTCAGGACCATTGTATAACAAAATCTGCACGTAAGTCCAGCAGTGAAAACCTGCATTGACAAAAAGTCTGTTCTCCCTGTATGTGAGTTTCACATTCCACAAATACTGCATTTTGAATTTGCATTTAGTTTAAAAAATCTTCATATAAATTCAAACCCATGTTGTTCAAGAGCCAGTTGCAGAATTATCGATACTAAGTATATTGATACAAGAGTATAATGCAGAATTGCTGAAATTCAAGTCATTTGCATTTCCTTAAATAGCACCTTATATTTATTTGTTTACTGTCTAATGATCAAATTATGTAGATTAAAATGTACAAATAATCAACAATCCTTATACAGGTTGTATATAAATATCTTGATTTAATTATGAAAAAATAGTAAAAGAGGTTAAAAAATCTATAAGGTAATACGTAGAGAAACAGAGCAGTCTCTGGTTAATCTTTAGTCCTTTTGATGCAGGGCAGATTCTTGACGTCACCCAGGAAATAATTTAAGATTAAGCCAGTGATGGAAGAAAGCAGTTTTATTAAGGTGGTGGCAGTGTTAACAGTTCTGTGACTGCTCCTTGCAGAGCAAGGCTAGCGCATAAGCAAAGTGGCTAGAACAGGCAATGGGCAGTTGACAGTTGTATTTATACCCACTTTGATGGCATACAAATAAAGGGGCAGGTTATACATCAATCGCTAGAAAATGGGCACTAATTTCCAGCTGTTGCCATGGAAATGGGTGGTGACTTCCATACGTTGCGATGGCATTCATAAACTATCATAGCCCTGGTGGAAATGTCCTGTGCTGATGAGCAGCCAGGGCAACTAGAGGTTACTGTCGGTGCCGCTTGTTGGTGGTTTTGGCCTGTCGTCACCTGGTCCTGCCAGGCTCCTACCTCCCTCCTGCTATGATTATTCTGTTCTGTAGACACTAAAACTAGGTAAAAGACACCAGGGCATTTAGATAATAAAAACAATATATATTATTATTGTCTAATTCTCCTGAAAAAATAGAATTAGAGGTAAGAAAATGGACAGATTCAAATCTAATAACCCATGTAAGCATTGAAAATGATGATTAAATATAAAAATATTAAAATAAATAAAATATGTTATTATTTAAAGCAAAAATTAATTTTAATTTAATATTAATTGTTAATACTGAATGTTAAAATACTGAAGGCTGTTTCACCCCCTTAGATGAGTATTTAAACTCGGGAACAATTCTTATCTAAGGAAACAGTTCAAGGATATTCACTTTCCCAAATTTGATTAGACACTGTACTGGAGAGTCTAGCCAAGTGCAATAACAATGTTAATTAACTAAAATCTAAGAATTGAAAAGGAAACCATATATCTGTCTTTACTCAGAAAAGATATGCATGCCTGCACAAAATATCTAAAAGCTACCTACAAGTAAATGTTTAGATTAAGTATATATATTTAATAAGATTACTCCATTTGAGATCAATGTAAAAAAAGCAACTGCATTTGTAAATATCAACAATTCTTCCAATTATTAATTATATTATAGAAAGTTTTTCTTCTCTTGCCTAAATTCAAGCTCTTCACCTTTCTAGGATAGAAAGTGCCTGGGGGTTGGGGGATGTTCCTCATCACTGATGCCTGGCTTTGTGGAAGCAGGATTTCCAGACATTCCAAAGTCTTACCCAAACTACATACTCCCAGGAGAGGAGGATGAGGAAGCATGGTTATCTTGGGAATTTGGTCCTGGACACCCACTTTGGGTGACTTGGGTGATAGACTTCAAAAACAACTAGCCACTGTTTTGGTTTCCCAGGGCAGGGACTCTGATGCTCTCCCTCCTCTGCTACTTAGACCTGCCTTCTCTGGCCTTGGGCTCAAATTTTTCTCATTTGTAATTAAAAAATTTAAAAAAAATCAGAAGAGGAAAAGAAAAAAAAAAGATGGCTTTATTTTTCCCTGTCTATGGTATGTGTGCCCTTGTAGTTTGCTGGGCTCCTTGTACCTAAGGTAGTATACCACCAGGTGAGTGCTATGGCCTCTAATACTAGACCTTGTCTGAGACAACCTATTAAATTCTCTTAGGAGTTCTTCAGTCTGGGGCTCTGCAGCCCTTGGTGTACCTCCCTTTCTTGACTGTTGTGAGATCATTGAAGATAGCATCCCCAAAGTAAACACGGTTTTGTATTGATAAGAGCAAAATAAAAGAGCAACAATAAATGTAATTTGCACTGATTAAAGAGAAAATGGTTTCTCAACTATAAATGCCCTTGACATTCAATGAACTATTTGAATCTTTCTCTCTCCAATTACATTATAGATTAAGAGCATAATGAATATTTTCTGAATTAAAGAATCATTAATACTCGTTGCTGATTATAATGTGCTAAATGCTCTAAAATATCACCTCAGATACCATTTATAACAACCTTAGGATACATTTAGTACCATTATTATCACCATAAAAGTAGAAAATAAGGCATAGAAAAACAAATAAATTACCCAGCCATTCCATGAACACTTACTGAGCACCTACTGTTTGCTGGATATGGTTCTTGGTGTTGGAATGCAGAGTGGAACAATCAGAAGTGGCTTCTCCTTTGGTGTCACTTTTAGCTTTAACATGTGGCAATTCAGAGTTTCAGCACAGGCAGATGGCTTCGCCCATGCCAGCGTGGAGCTACTAGGCTATCCTTTGCACACTGCTGCATGCCCTGATCCTCTGTTATGAGAAATAAAGAATATGAAGTCAGAACAGTGCTCTGGTGGATCACATAATCAAGCTAATCAACAAAGAAAGACTGCCGTACAGAAAGTTTCCATCACCTCTTTGAAAGCTTTGGTAGATTTCTACTTAGATTACGTGAGTTCTTGCTGATTATGAGACACGTGACTGGACAAATTATTCAATCTTTCAGAGTCTATTTTACATTTGGAAAAAAGGGGAAAAACAAAACCTACCCTACCTAGTGTTTTGGTCCTTTCAGAAGTAGGGTTTATTGATATGTTTATATAAATGCACACATGGGTCAAACTTCATACACCCTCTCTCCTAAGTTAATTTTACCTTATGTTAAAATACAGAATGAAAAGGTTTACAGTGTATCCGTTTATTTTTTTAGGGAGAATTACACACATTTCCAAGATTACTTGTGTAATTTTTAAAAGATTATTTGTACAAATGTAAAATACTTTTGAAGAGTCACACTCACCAAAATAATTAGGTTTTTTAAAAACACATTTTATATATGAGAATGAGTTCACATCATAAAAGAGAAGCAGGATTTGACAGTTCATTTTTTGGACATAAAAACCCAGTTACTGATAATTCATTAGGAATGAAGCTTTGGTTAAACAGGGCCATTCGTTGTTAATAGCCTGTGGTGCAATAAGACTTGCCGTGAACAGGTGATGATTACAGTACTTAGCACTTCTGGAGAATAAAAGTACAGTGACTGTAATCATTCTAAAAATTACTTCATAAGTGTCACACTGTTAATTACAGTTCAAAGAATTAGCATCTGGTTGAAGTTATAGGTGTAGCTTTGAGGAATTGGTATTACAGGAAATGCATTTAAAGAACCTTTAATCACAACATAAAATGTTCTCCGACTGGCTTTAGGTACTCTTGTACAGTAAGTCACACCTGGTGTTTACTAAAAGTGAAAAAGTATAAAAAGCAATTGATACTGTTTTTTCTTCAGTAGAACATGAAAAACAGTATTATTTTACCTTGTGGACATTGTAGTTCTCAAAAGAAAGTAAAAGTGTGGGAACTTTAATGAATTTTTATGTTTCAGTAATATTGAAGGTGTTGCTCAGTTGTAAAAGTTGGGTATGATTTATAATCAATATGTAAATGAGATACAAAATTACCTAGGAAAATTAAATGACATTAATTTGTTTTTTTAAAAGTAGACTAAGTGAGGATAAAGTCTAAAGGAGGATACAGTTTGTGAAGAGATTTTGTGAAAACCATTTAATGCATGCTGACTATTGTCTAAGAGGCATTTTAAGTACTGAATTTCTGAAAGTACTGGAATTTTATTGGATTTTTGATTTGGAACTTAGTGTTCTGAAAAAAGTAATGGTAAGAAGGCTCATAAGCAGACATGTATTTTATTCAATATGCAATACATGAAGTATTTAAAATCAATGCGAAAGAGTTACTTTTTTCTTAAAACAATGTTGGGGCAATTGGCTAACATTTGAGGAAATTATATGGAATAAAATGTAAAAGCAATCATCTAATCATAAATACAAGTAACAGAATAAAAATAAGTAAACAATAGTTTTTAAAGTATTTTTATTAGAAATGATACCAATGTGGAATCAATTGAGAAATGAACATATCTAGCTCTGTACAACCTAAACATTCTATTATATTGTTTTTATAATAAAAATAAATTAACAAAATATAAACAAGGTGTGGATTGATATTATCTTACCAAATGTAGAAACATCATAACATACTTTTAATAAAATCTGTTAATTGGGATTCTGAGTCCCTGGCCTGGGCCAGAGATAGGAAACGCAGGTTGCAGTTGCTGCCATGATTTTGCCTGGGTGCCCAGCTGAGACAGTTACTGCCTTGCTTTGGGGACTCTATGCTCTGTGATTGCTGCCCAGCTGTGAGACCAGGGACTTACACTTGCCAAAGCTGAGGGTAAGAGGTAAATGTAGTCCTTGGGGTCTGTGGCTCCAGTAGGATTTAAACCTTTACTTTAGAGATACAGTAGAACTAAAGAAAACAAACAACCAAGCATCATGAAATTGTGATTAGCTCACGAACCATCCTAGAATAAAGTTAGGGATCACTACTCAAGCATATTGTCCTAAAACCCATTCAAAGATGTTTGATATAATGGCTTGGGATGACTATATTGTGGAATGGGCTGCAAAGATTTCAAGTAGCTTCCTCACAACGGCTATTTTGGCCCTCATTTCACTGGTCCTAGCAAGTGCTTTATGTCCTGGAAACTGAAGAAGATGATTGTGGAGCCGGGAAAACAGCAAAAGAAGAAACAGGAGTCAAGAAAATATCGCCAAAGTCAAACCACTTAAAAAGGATAGGGGAAAGAATAAGAGGAAAATTATTTGGAAAATTATCATCTTTTGAAGGATCCTCTATGGTTTCTTTGTTGGATTTCATAACAGTTATTATTTAGTAAATAAAATTTGACCATATGGGAGAATCACATTAGTGCTGACCTCAATAATATAATAACATTTAGGCTTGGATATAGACGTTTGTTGGTGTCTGTTCACAGTTATTTTAAGATTGCATTTAATAAGCTACACATTCTTTGTAACTGACTTAGTCATTTGCCATTTTGCAGCTTAAGTACTTAAATGAAAACATCCTGTGGAGAAAACTGACTATATATTTTGAACTCCATTGAAATAATGGTTTAAAATGAAGTCCTGTTCTGGACAAAGAAGTTTATGAATGTCAAAGTAAGAATTGTGCTCTCTGAAGTAAAAGTGTGATTTGGCTTAAAAGAAACACAATATATAAATTACATCTTTTATTATTATTATTATTTCTTATTTCTTGGAATAGAATCATTTCTGGTTTTCTCAAAGAAAATAATATCAATCAATGAGCACATTAATTTTCTGAATTTTTCCTATTTTAGCCTTTTAGATAAATGGTAATTGCAAAGATATTCTGCATTTTAACTTAATTTTGTA
Organism: Homo sapiens; assembly: GCF_000001405.40. Taxonomy (NCBI): domain Eukaryota; kingdom Metazoa; phylum Chordata; class Mammalia; order Primates; family Hominidae; genus Homo; species Homo sapiens. The sequence goes on along the minus strand of NC_000001.11, from coordinate 191,178,897 downwards.
AAAAGTTCTCATTACCTTGATTATGTAGAATATCACCTACAATTGTTGTACTTATGAAATGTCATTTTCTTAGAGTTGACTTGCTAGGAAAAGAAACACTAATTCAAAGCTTGCAGTAAAAACGACAAATGTGGTAGCTCCTTGGAACCGGTTTATTCTTGCTTGGACTGAGTAGAAATGTGAAGTAGTTAAAATGTCTCATCAGACACTTTGCTAATGATATCATACCACTTTTGTTTTTTATTCTATTCTTTTTTAATTCATGTGGTAATGATATCCTACACTTTTTGATCAAACAGGTTCAAGGTGAAAATTAAAATTTTAAATTTCTCTTAAGGAAATTTTAAAAGAGTAAGTTAAGTCACACTTCATAAGTGGTAAAGAAAGTCTTAAAATTTGGGAAAAACATGTTGGGAATACTAATTTGTTGCAAAAGGTAAATGATTTCCAAACCACAATAAGCTGGAATTAGAAGTAAAAGCTAAAGGGCATCTTCTTCAGTTAAATAGTATAAATAGAAGTTATTGTTATTAAACATGGCTTTTATAAATAATGGTCCAGTAATTTTAATCACTATCAATATTTAATAGCTTATTAATGTTTTCTCCACCTCTGATAATGAATTTAAAGTTACAAAATTGTCCAAAAGCTCTAATTTAAAAGTAAAGCTAGACATTATGATACATGTTATACTTTTTTATAAAGAGAGGAAAACAGTGTTAATCTATACGAAAAGCTCATTTCCAAACAATAAGAAAACAGGAAATCACATTGTATCACCAAAGAATAAATGTAAACAGTAAATAGCACAAATAATGGCATTTAAACCAATATTAAATTACTTACATATTGAACTATAACAAAATGTGTATATTTGGAAGTAATATTGAAAATTGTGAAATGATTATATATAGAGAAGGGTCTGCTGAAGCAAGACTACTGGTGGGAAAACAAATTCTTAGATTACAATTGTTAACAATAGGTATTTCCTTGGTATTAAAAATGTCTCTTTGAGACATATACACTAAAAAAAATAGCAGTCACCCAAGTAAATATTTATGTAAAACAAGTTATTTAAATTAAACTTATAATAGTACATATACATTATGTAATAATATGAAGTCATTAAAAGGCTACTTATGATAGCAGCTATGGAAATATATGAATACACATAGGAAAAGAGAAAAACTAATACAAGAAGAATGGACTGAAAATAAATTGATGATAGTTGTCTATATATAATATGATTATATTTAATTTTTATTCCATCTTTTGTCTTTTCTAAAAACAAATTTCAGTGGGAATATACAATTTACACATTTTAATTTTAATTTTCATAGAGTAATTCATTTTTTATTAAAACAAATTTAAAGGTAGCAGAATTTATCATCTACCCCAACACAGTTGTCTCTCCAGGGGTAACCACTATTCTAAACTTGGAATTTTTCTTTCTGATATTTCTCTTAATTTAAATACATGAATTTTTTCCAATAATGACATATAGTTTGGTTCTGCTTATTGCATGTAATTTATTAATGCATTTGTTGAGCACTTATATTTCAAGAAAGAAAACTTGAAGAAAAAAAAATAGAGAAGAAAGTTCGTAACCTTGTGTACCTTAAATCTTAGTGAACTAAAAACACAAACTAAAAAGTTAAAAATTAAATATATAGCGTGTTAAGTGGTGTTCAGCACTATAGAAAAAGGAATAGCAAACTCAGAGATTCAATTACGGCATTTTGTGTTTCTGTGTGTGCAAGTTCCTGTGCATGCACATGCATGAAGCATTCTCTTTTAATACAGGGGTAAGGCAAGGCTTCATTATCTAATGATTTTTTAGCTTAAGCCTGAAGAAAAGTGGGGAACAACTTTTGTAATGATCTGAAAGGATGGCTCTACCAGATTTTAGAGTGGTTAGTGAAAATGCCTGAGGTTAAAGCATGTTTGGTTGCAATGCATTAAGAAGTTCAGTGTGGCTAAAGTAGTAATGGATCAAATCATAAGGGGTTATGTGACACATCATGTAGGTCTTTATGAGCAACCAAATTTGCGTATTGTGTAAAGGAGTAATGTGACCTGACATTTACTTCAAAGATTCCTGTGACTGCTTTCTTAAGAATAGATAATACAGATATGTTTATAGTTGACCCTTGAATAATGATATTTGTATTGTGCAGATCGATTTATACAGAGATTTTTTCAATAAATATATTGGAAACAATTTGGGAGATTTGCAACAACTTGAAAAATCTCACAGATTAACTATGTAGCCATAGTTATCAAGAAAATTAAGAAAATGTTAGGTATGTCATGAATGTAAAAATATATGTAAATACTATTATTTTATCATTTTATATATTCAAGTTGTAGAAATATATTACAAAAAGTTAAAATTTATCAAAACGTAAACACACAAACACTTTCTGTACAAGGCACCATTTGAAGTTAAGAAGAATATGAAGAAGCATAAAGATGCAGTATTAAACCATAACTAGATAAAACTAAATGTGTTACATGCTATACTACTGTAATAATTTCCTAGCCACCTCCTGCTGCTATTGTGGTGAGTTCAAGTGTTTTGCCTATCTACTTAAAAAGCCACATGATGCTAATTATCTCCATGTGAGCAGTTTCTCTCTTTAGTAAACTGAGTATTGCAGCAAAAAGTGATCTCTCATAGTTTTCACATATTTTATCATGTTTCATGCAATACTGTAAACCTTGAATTACACCATGGAACCCATGGGAAGTGCCACTAGTGATACTGGAAGTGCTCCCAAAAAGCAGAGAAAAGTCATGACATTGTAAGAAAAAGTTAAATTACTTGATATGTACTGTAAATTTAGGTCTACAGCTGTGGTTGTCTGACCTTAAAAGATAAATTAATCCAGCATAAGGACCGTTGTAAAAGAAAAAGAAATTTGTAAAGCTGTTGCTGCAGCTACACCAGAAGACACAAAAACCTTGCACTTTATGCAAAGTACCTTATCTTTCATTAAAAATGCAGGTTTTATGTGGGTATAGGATTGCTGTGTGACAGGCATACCTATTGATACCAACCTAATTCTAGAAAAAGTGAGGTAATTATACGACAACTTAAAGTGAAAGAAAGGCAACAGATCTAAAGCTGGAGAATTTAATGCCAGCAAAGGGTGGTTTGATAATTTTAGAAAGAGGTTTGGCTTAAAAAATGTCAAGGCAACTGAAAAGCCAGCTTCCATCAACCAAGAGGCAGCAGAGTTCCCAGAAGTCATTAAGAAAATTGTTAGGAGAAGAGGTATCTACATAAACAGATTATTAATGCAGACCAAAGTGCCTTATTCTAGATAAACAAACAAACAAACAAAAAAACCACAAAGAACATTAGTAAGGAAGAGAAGAAAGTACTGAGACTTAAGGAAGGAAGGAATGGGCTATCTCTACTGTTTTGTGCAAATGCAGTAAAGTTTATGATCAGGACTGCCCTTGTCTATAAAGCTACTAACCCCTGAGCCTTAAAGGAAAAAAAAAAAGATAAACATCAGCTGACAATCATTTGGTTGTACCACAATACCTGGACAACAAGAACACTTTTTCTGAATTGTTCCCATTGATGCTTTGTCCCCAAAGTCAGGATGTACCTTGCCAGTGGGGGGTTGCCTTTTTATTTTCTTTTGACTGGACAATGCCTCTGGCCACCCAGAACCCGATGAATTTAACAACAAGTGGATCAAAGTGGCCAACTGCCCCCAAACACATTTCTAATTCAGCCTCTAGATCAGTGGATCATAAGGACCTTTAAATGTCATTACACACAGTACTCTTTGAAAAGGATTGTCAACACTCTGAAGGAGAACGCCAACAGAGAAAACATTATAAAAATATGAAAGAATTACATCATTGAAGATATTGCTGTGATAGAAAAAGTCGTGAAAGCCATTAACCCCAAACAGTAAATTCCTGCTGCAGAAATCTGTGTACAGATTTTGTTCATGACTTCACAGGATTTATGACTGAGCCAATCAAAGAAATAACGAAAGCAATGATGGATATGGCAAAAAGATGAGAGACAGAGAGTTTCAAGATATGGATCTTGGAGAAACTCAAGAGCTAATTAAGACACCACACCAGAAGAATTAACAGATGACTTGATGGAGATGAGTGCTTTCAAACTAGTGTCAGGCAATGAGGAAAAGGCATAGAATCAGTGCCAGAAATAAATTGACATTAGACAATCTGGTGGAAAGAATCTGATTTTTCAAGACGAATTTTGACTCCTTTTATGACATAGACCTTTCTATGACATGGTCACAGAAACAAAAGCAAATGGTGAAATAAGAGTTGGTACCATATAACAACATTTTTAGGGAAATGAAAGTGAAAGAAAGTCAGACAGAAACTACCATGTGTTTTTCTTAGGTTACTCCAAGTGTGCTTGTTTCTCCTGCCTCCTCTTCTGTCTCTTCCACTTCTTCTACCTCTGTCACCCCTGAGACAGCAAGAACAACCCCTCCTCTTTGTTCTCCTCCTCAGCCTACTCAGCATGAAGACAAAGAGGTTGAAGACCTTTATAATCATTCACTTCCACTTAGTGAATAGATAATGTATTTTCTTTCTTACAAACAGCAGCTGCCTGCCATTTGGTTGAACAAGACCTGGATTTTCTTAGTAACAGCTTCTTTTCTCTAGCTTACTTTATTGTGAGCATACACTATATAATACATATACAAAACGTGTTAATCGAAAGTTTATGTTATCAGTAAAGCTTCTGGTCAGTAATAGGCTATTAGTAGTCAAGTTTGTGGGGGAGTCAAAAGTTATATGCAGATTTTTGAATACTTAAGAGTTGGTAACCCTAAACCCCTGGATTGCTATTGTTCAACTGTACACCTTTAATCAGGTAGAAAAAAAGTGTTGGATGAGTAGATTGTGAATACCTGGGCTTGGTAAGGATATATTTATTGAGAAGTTAACTTTGAGATGCCTATTTTACAACTAGATGGAGATATTAAATAGCCATCACAGATCCAGGCTGAAATTCAGGGAATTTTGGATTCCAAACAGAAAATATAATTTGGAAAATTTTAGTATACTCTTAATATTTAAAGCAATTCAGTGGTAGAAAATCACCAAGGGAAAAGCAGGAAAGGGTTCTAAGAACCAATCCCTCGTTTCAAAACAAGCAAGTTAAAAAAATCTTAAGTTTGGGTCATACCTCAGAACAGTAAACCAGTCAGCAGAAAGAAGAGAAACAGTTGCCCTTAGAGTGCATCCTATTTATCAGCAAACAATGTTGAGCCTGAAGCCAGTAATGAGGTGGAAGAAGAGGGACTGATACTCCAGCATGAAGATGGGACCTTGAGGTTGGATTGAACTGATTGACAGCACAGTTTGGCTCTAGGAAGAATTAATATCATGTCTCCTCTCAGGGAAGGTACCACTAGTTAAGAAGCTAAAGGATTCCCCAGCTTAAGATTAATACCTGAGATTTCAATCAAAGATTGCCAAGCAGATGTTGTAATAAACCACCATGAGAGAATCAATTGGAATATTATATAAAATTCAATATTAAAGACTGCAGACTGGAGATATAGACCATAAAGTAGTGAGTCTTAAAATATTTAATTTTTTATTACAATTTTCAAGTAGAACATACAGAGTAGCTAGTATTAAAACATTTAAATTTTAAAAAGTAAACCAAAAAACATGTCTGAAATAATAATGAATAAGTAAATTGGAGCTCCCAATGGAGCTTCTATCAGTGATAAGTTTATAGAATTTTTGATATTATACATTTAGTGAATAGATAAATCAGCAGGTTGCAGACAGCTAAAAAGAGAACAAGTAAAATGGAAGACACAGCTGAATAATTTATAAGAAATCATTACAGAATGACATAGGAATGTCACAGAAAATATTAATGGAAAGAGATTGACCAAAATGGTGTTAATAATCCCCTTATTTTACTTATTTAAGGTTTTCTTTTATTTTGTTTTTAATCGATACATAATAATGTACATATGAGGTACAGCATGATGTTTTGATACATGTACATACAATGTTAAATTAGGATAATTAGCATATCAGTCACCTTAAACATACATAATTTCTTTGTGGTGAGAACATTCAAAATCCTCTCTTCTAGCTACTTTGAAATGCACAATGTATTATTGTTAACTATAGTGACCCTACTGTGCCTTGAAACATTACAACTTATTTCTTCTATCTAATGGTGAGTGAGATGTAGCGTTTATCTTTCTGTACCTGGCTTCCTTTACTTTACATAATGTCCTCCAGCCTCATCCATGTTGCTGGAAATGACAGGATTTCATTCTTTCTTATGGCTGAATAGTATTCCATTGTGTATATATACCAAATTTTCTTTATCCATTCATCCATTGATGGACAGTTACATTAATCCCTTATCTTGACTATTGTAAGTTATTCTGCAGTCAATATGGGAGTGCAGATATCTCTTGAACATACTGATTCATTTCCTTTGCATATATACCCAGTAGTGGGATTGCTGAATCATATAGTAGTTCTCTTTTTAATTTTTTGAGGAACTTTTATATTGTTTTCTGTAATGGCTGTACTAATTTACATTCCTACCAACAGCATGTAAGAGTTTCTCTTTTCCACATCCTCACCAGCATTTGATATCTTTTTGTCTTGTTGATCATAGCCATTCTAACTGGGGTAAAGTGATATCTCATTTTGGTTTTGATTTGCATTTCCTTGATGATTAATAATATTGAGGATATTTTCATATACCTGTTGGCAATTTGTGTATCTTCTTTGAGTAATGTTTATCTATATCATTTGTCCATTTTTTAATTATTTGTTTTTTTTGTTATTTACTTGTTTCAGTTTTTTAGATTTCTTCCCGACTGTAGATGCCTGATATCCCATTGCTTAGAGTGTCGGCATGAGGAAATGTGTAATTGCACATTCTTTTCTCTTTCTTTTGAGATGGAAATCTTCTCCCAGCTCTCCTTAATTGTACAACCCAGAAGTATCTTTCTCAAATACCTGGGAGCTCTCCCTATGAAATGTAGCCATCAAGAATGACAGAGTCCCTATCTCCCAGATTCAGTGGTGGCATAGGAGCCTAACTGCAATAAACATCAGTTAGAAAAAACAAATGGCCTAATCAGTGACCAGTATCCCCTCTAACTTCTTTCATTAGCTCAGCCTAGCATTTAAGAATCCTCCTGCGTTTTATTTCAGTGGAGTTGAGTTCAATTTTACTTCTCTGTTTCAATAGTTTTGATCCTCTTATTGCAATATTCTTGAATAAAGTTTTCCTTGGCTGTTTAACTCTGTCCAGAGCAACATATTGGAGATGAAAGTAGAAACCTCTAAAATATTTGTTATTGGGGTCTCATCAAACAAAAGAATAGAGAGAATGGAGACAAGACAGGATTTGAGAAAATACTCGTGAAAACTTGCTGATCTAACAAAAGGCATTATTTTAAACCCAGAAAGCACGTTTTCCAAGTAATTTTTTAAAAAATAAAAATATATATACATCTGGCTGGGAGCTGTGGCTCACACCTGTAATCCCAGCACTTTGAGAGGCTGAGGCAGGTGGATCACCTGAGGTCAGGAATGCAAGACCAGCCTGGCCAACATAGTGAAACCCCGTCTCTACTAAAAATACAAAAATTAGCCAGGCATGGTGGCAGGGGCCTGCAATATCAGTTTCTCCTGAGGCTGAGGCAGGAGAATCACTTGAACCTGGGAGGCAGAGGTTGCAGTAAGCCGAGATAACATCACTGCACTCCAGCCTGGGCGACAAAAGTGAGATTCCGCCTCAAAAAAAAACTTATATACATACATACAGATATATGTATATATATGTATATATATATATGCATGTATATATACACATAGGGAGAAAGACATCTATTATTTGGATTATGTGTTTTCAAAATATTTATCACTGGAGATATTTGGTTTTGGCAAAAATTAGTATGTGTCATATATTATCAATATAACATTATTTTTTTCTAAACTGCCTTTAATAAAATATATACAGTTTTAAAGAAATCAGTTTTTATGACAACAATACAGATTTATGTGGTACATTTCAATAAGCTAGAAATGTTTTAAATTTTTCTTATAATTCTTATTTTACTGAATTAGATATCAAAAAGAATTTTAACTTTCTCTTTGTAAAATATGAATATGTAGAATATTTTATTGCTGTCATTACACTAACATCTTTTCATTCAGTTATCCTGATGGTTTAACAATCACCTGTTCTGAGAATTGCTTTTATAAACAAATGACAACTAATCTAAGTGCCTCATAATTAACACGGGTAGCTGTGCTTAGTTATTTGCATTTTTATTTGTTCTAAATGGTCACATTCTATATTGTTTAGTCATTTTAAATACTAAGTAACATCCTAACATTAAACTGTAAGATATCTTTTCAGATGAAACGTTTATTTTAACTGTACTTTTCTGGCTTAAATGGACATTTGGCTATGAAATATATTTTTGAAATCTGATATTCAAATTGCAAATAATTTATATCATGTAGTAGTGACTAAATATAACTAACCATAATTTTACAGATCGAATTTTGAAATTATACCATGGATGTAATTTATTAATTATGCTTTCAATAATTAATAAGTTACAGCACTCAATGTTAATGTTTATTTTAATTAACTGGATTAAGTTAATTACAATAATTATTGTTTAAGCATTTCAACATTTTTTAAGCATTTCAACATATTGAAACCTTGTGGGTTAAAAATTCTCTCATATCTTTTCAAAAAATATATTGCTTAGAAGATATTAATGGTATCTATGCTTCAGCCAATGTTAATTTATCTAATTGCATTCCTGGAAGTACTTTTTCACAATTGATTCTGATGAGAAAGCTAACAGCTAAGAGGACACAATGATCAAATTGGAGATAATGGTAATAATAATGATAACTCCCACTAAAGTATTTAAGAATAATCTTGTGCTATTCATTCTAAAGCATCACACCATCCACACTTATACATTTTTGAAAATCTATTATATTAGCTTTCTTTCATCTCTTTGGAAAAAAACTACAGTAAGAATTGGCATATAGACATGAACTAAATTGGTGCGAGCTTTAATAATTTTTCTATGATGTAAGTGAGGATAAAAAATGTGGTGGTCATAAAATAGAAACATAATCACGAGGAAAATGGAAAGCCAGAAACTGATCCAAAGTGTCTGCAAGTAATATATTAATATGTTATTTCTTGAAAAAATGTATATTTGGGCAATATAGTTTAAAGTAAATAATGCAAATATAATTTTTCAGGCTAGAAATATTCAGTAGCTAAGAAAGCAACATGTACACAATGTATAAATATGATATTTCTATTGCTCTAAGACTGTGACATGGTAAAAAAAAAAGGCATTACAAGAAACATTACTAGGACAAGAGAGCCATGTGCATCTATCTAATTTGAGGTAAATATAGGTTTGGTCAAAAAAGTATACTAACTATGTGTATGGGGAAAACGCTTTTGAATAAGCAGATTGCATTTTAGAGATAGTTATTATAGTTTTATTTCTAAGTAGATAGCAAAAGTATATAAAAAGAAACTTACTAACTAGTATTTAAGGTGGAAGTAGAAGACATAGAACAAATGGTATGTTGAAAAATGATGAAAACTAACGCTCCGGTGGGAACAATAGTCTGTGGCAGTTGCCAGTTTCCCTAGTGTATGTATTTCGACAGTAACCAATTCTAACCTGCTAACATAACATCCCTGAACATAAAAGTTGGGAAAGAAACATTAACAATACACGGTAGCAAGTGATTTTCAGCCAGGTCCAGCACACTTATGTAGAAAAATTTACATTATAAATGTGAGTGTGTATGTGTGTGTGTGTATATACACATAAATATATATACATATATAATATAAATACATGCAATATAGTATACACATATACTAGGTACATATAACATATGCATATAAAATATAATGTATTTGTGTGTGTGTGTGTGTGCGTGTATATATATATATACAAAATGCCAGCATTTAAAAAAAACCCTAGAGCTAGAAGAGAAAACAGTAACTAGTTTTTATGTGTAGGCTAAGAAAGTCAGCTAGTATATGTGGTGCCCTATGCATAGCAGAGTACTAAGTCAGCATTTATATAGTTTAAACAAGTTCTCCATGTAAATTGTCCACTTGTATAGGTGGTTCAAGTCAGTGTTGTCTGTGCTGTAATGAGCACTCTGTGGGGAAAAGGTTAAAAGAAAGGTCTCAATAAGTAGTAGCCATTAAACATTTATTAATATTATCAGATTGCATCCAGATTAGACAAATTATACTAAAATGCTTTTGCCAGAGAAAAAACCTGTCAATATAATTTACAGAAATAATAATTTGTGTCTCAAATTCCTTCTATTAATATCCAATAATTCTAAAAATATGATCAAGGTATACTGAAATATATTTAATAAAATTAAACACACATTGCATTTAAAATAATAAGTAAATTAGGAATAGGGAAATACGTCTTAACAAAGAGCCAAAATTGTGTTTAGTGCTATATGACCAATAGCTTTCTCACTGTACTCTGAACAAAAGATAAGTGTGCCCAATAGGAATGCTCTCACTTAACTTCTTTGTGGACCTTATACAACAGGAACATAGAATAATGAAAAAAGAAGAAGAGGTAAATATTTAAATTTAGCAGTCTAAATTACAATTATTTCATGTGGCATGATTGCTAAGTTGGATGGCCTGAGCTAAACCATGGGAAAATGATTCAAAATTATAAGAACATTTCTTTCTTTAAAAAATGTAATATTCAAAAATTAATAATTTTATTACATACACAAAAGATTTTTATTCTAGAAATATGTGAGGAAATCCCATTTATAACATTAACAATACTAACAAGTACTAAAATATCTCTAGGATGTATACATAGAAACACACACACAAATCTACTCAGTGACATTAAAATTAATAAAAGAATATTCCCTAAGTCACATGGAAAGTTACTAATATAAAGATGCCAATTCCCTCCACCACTCAAATTATTATAATGTTTAATAATGTTAATGATGATAACGATAAGAATATATTACACACTTACTGAGCTTCCACTAAGTACCTATGGCTGAAACTGATAAATTGTCTCATCACATCTATTCTTGCAACTTTACCTCTATGCTAAAAATGAACACATTTCTGTCTACCTGGAATGTCGTCATAGCATTTCTTTAACCTAGAATGAAAGCATAAGTAATGTGCTAAACTTCAAGGTCATTTTATAAAACAGAAAACATTGTACCCAGGCTGCAAAATGGCAACAACTGCAGAGAGGAAAGACATGCATTATGGACAGTGGAGCCAAGTGCTCCTGGAATAGAGTCATCCACCAGATAATTTTCAACTGTTACATGTGAAAGAGGAAGTTTACTATCCTATGTAAACCAATTAATTCCTAAGGCAGCATATCTTGACTCTCAATTTTAATTATGTTTTGAGGGAGAAGAATGAGAGTTGGTTTATGTCAGAAAATAATTCGAGCAATCAAGACACATGTCATAAGACATGTGGTGGACTCTTACATACACTCCTACACTCACATACCTATAAGTGTTTTGTCTTGATATCATGGGAAGTGAACTTGCAGATTCAACTTCTCCAAAGTAGAATAATTGTTTCCAATTTTCTATATAACTGACAGAGTTTTCACATTTCAGTAGGGCTTATTTCAGATTGACACAACTTATTAATCACTCAAAATTTAACAAAAGATCTAAAAATGTAAGGATATTTCCAGGTAACTGATGGGTTAATGGTTACAAAAGCCGTCTTCTCAGAGTACTCATGGCACAAAAAACACCAGTTGAACACTTGCTATCCTTCTCCCAAAATGAGATAATCACCAATGTTAAAAAATATTCTCCAAGGAAGTTGCAAGAAAAAAAAATGCCAAGCAAGATAAATGCTGATGAAGATCACCCAAGTGGAAGAAATGTTGACTTATTTGCTATTCCACTGATAGTTAAAAACGAACAGCATGACCTATTTTGTATCTGATAATTCCAGAAGTGGAAGAAGAAGTGAAGTAGTCACGATCTGCCCCCTCATCCCTAGTGTGGAAAATAAAATATCATTTGTCTTTCTATTTTCTATAGCAACGAAATCCTCCCAAAGTATCTGGTAATAGAACAAGTCCTTAAAATAAAGGTTAAAAATGTTCCAAATGTATCTGTATTTTATCCACATAAGAATTATTATAACAACTAGTAACAGGAAATGTGTACCAATACTAATTATTGGAGCAATAAAATATTACTGGTTATATGTAATCATACTCAGTCATGTTTCACTAATAAGAAAAACAAAAATAATATACAGTTAAAAATATTATCTTGTCTTTCAACTGACCAGGAAAACTCAGGCTCTAGCTCTGCTTAAAATCCCTGTTGGAGAAGGTAATCGTCATCCCACAACTCTTAGCCTTTGTTGTAAATGCAGAAATTTTTAAAATTTATTTTATAAGAAAATTAGTAGAAAATATGTATCCTGTTCTTTTTCTAGTGCAACACACAATATATATCTAATAACCCTTAGATGCATACAGCATGACTTTCAAGACCATGTTCAATATAGAAACCAAGCAGTAGTATTTCAATTGAAATTCACAGAAAAATTTTTTTGTTACAGTAAAATTGAGCAAGTGAATGTATCATAATTACTTAGAATCTGTAAAATTCATCCACAAACTTAGCTGTTGCTTCATTTAATCATTCCTATCATTTAAATATTTGTTCTGCAGTTTATCTCATTTAGTAACGTTCTCTCAGATATAAATTAAAATGTACCATTATGCTATCAAATAAATAATAATTTTAGACTCTTATTTGATTATGTAAGGAAAGTTAAAGTGTGTGCATTTACCTATTCACTTTGGGAGTAATTTCCTTCTTTTTGAAAATAATACTTCCTAAATATTAACACTTTCAATACTAATTTTTGGACTATTTGATCCACTCATTAAATTAGGTTTGAAGTATTCACTATCTCACTCATTTGATATTTAATGGCTGCTTGGCGTTAAGACAGTGGAAAACTATATGTTTCACTTTAGAAAAATACTGCAACATTTAGTACAAAATAATTTTAAATGAATGATCCAGTCGAATTTTAAAATCAATGTCATATATTTTATTCATTTATTCTTAGCATTTTTGAAAGAATATTTGAAATAATTCCCAATGTCTCAATAACAATGAAAGCTCTGTATTCATGCTAATAAAATATAAAGACAAAGGTCCAACAATTTCTCAAAAATCTACTATACATACTTGCATAGGTTTTGACTTTGTTATAACTCTAATGTTTTCACAAAGGAACTGATGAAATTGAGTGCGTTTTAGAGCAGGTTTGTTTTCCCACAATATTTTTCTGCTGGCAAATTAAACTATGTTCCTACACATATAAAACATACGAAAAAAACAATTTTTTTTAATGATCTGGTCTCTAGACTTTGTATACTCCTCTTATACCTGGACCATTTATCTGCTCCCCATAAAAGGCTCAAAATTGTTTCTATTTCCCCTTTTTCATTCTTCCAGGGTTTATTCATGCCATGCCATGTAATTTCTGCTTGTTAATGATTGACATCTGTCTGCATTTGGTATGTGCATTAGTCAATTTTAAATCTTTTAATTAATGACAATTTTTCAAGATTTGCGTTATTAAATCACTTTGTCAGTTTTGAAAACTTTACTTCATTTGTTTCAGTATACCATTCTCCAGGTTTTCTAATCTCACTGGTCAATTCTTTAAGTTCTCTCTTTCTTAGCTCAAAATTTGGTAGTGCCCTGGAGTTCAGTTTGTGGCATCTGTCTCTATTTACGCAATGTCCCTAGGTTTCCTATGCTTTAAAAACCACATATGCGCAGAAAGTTTTCAAATGTAGATCCACAAATCAAAATGTCTCTTCTGGGCTCCAGACTCAAATAACCAGTTTTATATTCAATATAAATATTAAGTAATTTAATTATAATTGATTAATATTAATTAAACATGAAGGATATCTCAAATTTAATCCATCCCAAACAGAACATTTGTTTTTCATCTCAAAATCTCATATGTGACTAGTCTTACACAGTTCCAACTTGGAACCATCAATCATATAGTAACTGAGGTTAAAAATAAATAAATAAATACATAAAAATCTAGAAATGAATTAACTGCTCTTTTTCATAGTCTTCTTACCATGTGGTTCCAAGCAATCATAAATTATGTGTAAGGGTACCTAAATGATCTCTAAGAAATTTTGTTTCTGGTTGGGCGCAGTGCCTCACGCCTGTAATCCCAGCACTTTGGGAGGCCGAGGCGGACGGAACACCTGAGGTTGGGAGTTCGAAGCCAGCCTGACCAACATGGGGAAACCCCATCTCTACTAAAAATACAAATTAGTCGGGCGTGGTAGCACATGCCTGTAATCACAGCTACTCAAGAGGCTGAGGAAGGAGAATCGCTTGAACCCGGGAGGCGGAGGATGCAGTGAGCTGAGATCGCGCCATTGCACTCCAGCCTGAGCAACAAAAGTGAAACTCTGTCTCAAAAAATAAATTAAATAAATAAATAAATAAATTTTGTTTCTATAAGACGATTTGATTTATGTTAAATAACATGGAAATTGTCAAAGATTAGCTAATGACAAATCTGAACCAGAATCTTGGTCACCTAATTACCCTTTATTTTTTTCTCCTTGTGAAGCCTAATTGTTGTGTGTATGCACATATATATGTCTGTGTGTGTTCAACTCTACATTTTTTGTGTGCATTGCCTTTGTGATAACCGATTATACTATATTTCGTATACAAATTTCTAGATAATTTATAACTTACTGTTTGCATGCACACACACAAACAAATCATGTCTACAGTTTTCCTTCTTAAGTTTACTCATTTAAACTCACTGGTGCCTGGTACATCTCAAGTACATTTTCACACTGCATTTCAAAACACTGAGGACTTCCTAGGAGTACCTTGAGTTGTTTCTGGGAGACTTTTAAGTGACCATACAATATGCAAAGCAACTCCAAGGATTTGTTTTTCATCCATAAGGAAACTAGATTTTATCAAGCAAATTAAACAGTGTTCATCTTTGTTAATACATGACTAGGAGGTACTGAAAAAAAAAAAACCTGTGAGATCATTTATTGTTTACTCTTTGTTGCTTGTTTTGTTTTCCTAGAAGCATACAAGATAAATTGTCCTTTATTCTGTACATAAGCATTATTTTTGTAATTTTCACCCGTTACTACATGGGAATAATTAGTAGGAACTATTATCTTCCCAATTAATT
This sequence comes from Homo sapiens, assembly GCF_000001405.40. Classification (NCBI taxonomy): domain Eukaryota; kingdom Metazoa; phylum Chordata; class Mammalia; order Primates; family Hominidae; genus Homo; species Homo sapiens. The sequence goes on along the minus strand of NC_000001.11, from coordinate 191,163,566 downwards.
AATGCAAAAGTACTACAATATGCTGCAAAGGCACTTACAAATCTTTGCATATATTTAAATTTTGCAAATGCTCTCTAAAGAACAAATTTTAATATGACTTATATTCCACTAAAATATGTAAAGTATTTTACAATAGTTTAATTACATTAAAATGCTAATTAATGACACTTAGCAGAAATCAAGGGCTTTCATATAAAGGGCTCAAAGTGTCAGGAAAATTGCTAATTTATTAGAGCATTACAACACTATAATTTAACATTGTACCCCATATTCTTTAACAAATTAATTTTAAACAAAGCTTGGGAGGACTTAAGGAGTTGATGAATAAAGTTGAAATTGCTAAACTTTATATTAGTTACTAAGAATAAGAGGAGTAGAAAAATACATAATAAAAAAGTAGTATCCTGTAACTCAAAAACCCACATCAAGCTTTTTCCTGATAATTTTAATAATTCCAATTTTTTGCTAAAATATGATGTGTTTGAAAGAGAAATTTTTACAAAACCACAGCAACATCATAATTAAAAGTAGTATTCAAAATATCTGTTACCTGTTATTTTCTTTCGGTCTTCTTTCTTTAAACTTACTTAAATGACTATTAGTCAGCAGTTTTATCTCCTAAAGTCATGTTCTTTTATTTCTCTACATATTAAAGTTTTCAATAAAACCATAAAAAATGAAGCTGAATATAAACACCCTAAATCCTGTATGTTTGTGAAGAGCAGCGACTGATAATTAAACAGACATGTAATGATATTGGTATTGATGCAGCAAGTGTGTCATAATAAAGAAAATTGACTATGAGTAAGAAGAAATGATTTGGGCTGGGTACGGTGGCTCATACCTGTAATTCCAGTACTGTGGGAGGCCAAGGTGGTTGGATCACCTGAGGTCAGGAGTTTCAGACCAGCCTGGCCAACATGGCAAAACCCCATTTCTACTATTAATTGTATTTAATTATATTATATAACAATAACAGAATATATAAGTATGACATATAATTTATTACATGTAATTATTATATAATTATTATTATATCTATTTATTATTATATAATGATAGTTATATTTAATTTGATTGAATTATGGTCAGTGAGCATTGCCTTTATTGAAATATACATAACTTCCTTTAATAAAGTAAAATGCATCATTATATGACATATATACAAATATATATTATATGTAAATATTAAAATATTACATTTTAAAATGTTACACATTTATAATAGCATATATATTAAATATACAGATATATTATCTTTTAAAAATTAATCAATAATCTTTCACCAGATTTTCTCAATTCAAAATTTCTTATTGTAAGCCCTAAACAAAATTCGACAATAAGATAATCCTTTTAAAAAATAAATTATAGGTTGCATTGTAGGGCTTATCATAATTCAGAGCCATGTCACATTAGGACTTAAGCTATTTGGCTGATTTTCATTACTTCTGTAGGAAATTATTTATAATTGTATACAGCTGCAATATATACCCTAGTGTGTAGCTTACTATTTCAATGAACATAATGTTGGTATCTTCTACAGTAAATCTAAAAGAAATTCTCATATATTATTTTTACATTATACTGTCTCTTCAATTTTTTACAATCTCATTATCTATGAAAATGTATGTTTATTGTGGAGTATTTTTAAATTATTTAGTATTCAATATCATATTTTTGTAAAATATTTTTGCAAATCAATTTTAATATATTGGTATAATTGGTTTCTTCACACTATTTTCATTTTTTAGTTAGACACATGATATATTACAGGTTTGGTACTAATGCAAGTGTTTAGTTTGGGAATCTGTTTTACTTAATTAAACTGTCATAGCTGTCTCTAAATTTTTCATAATTAACACATAAAATTGTACATATTTTTGTGTACAGTATGATGGTTCAATGCATCTATACATTCTATAATTGTCGATTCTGGGTAAGTAGCATATTCATAATTTTAAACATTTAACATTTCTCTGTGGTGATAACATTCAAACATTCCTCTTTTCTTGTTGTTTTTTAGGATACATTATTACCTGCTATAGTCACTCTACTGTGCAATACAACAGGAGAAATTATTCTTCATATCTAATTGTAATTTTGTACCTCTTCAAAAACATCTCCCCATGGTCTCCTCCCATCCTTAATAATCACTATTCTGCTCTGTGAGATCAATGTTTTTGATTCCACATATAAGTAACGTCGTGTAGTGTTTGTCTTTTTGTCCCTGGCTTATTTCACCTAATATATTGTCCTCCAGGTTCATTCATGTTGCTGCAAATGACAGGATTTCGTTCTGCTTTATGGGTGAGTAGTATTTCACGGTGTGCATGTGTCACATTTCTTTACTCATTCATCCATAGGTGGGCACTTAGTTGGATTCCACATCTTCGTTAATGCGAATAGTGCGCCAATAAACATGGAAGTGCAGATATCTCTTCAACATACTAATTTATTTATTTTTAATAAATAAATATTATAATAAATGACATACATATAATATAAATAATTTATAAATAAGTCATTTATAATAAATAAAAATTTATTTATTTTAAATAAATTTTTAAATAAATAAACAAATAAATTTTAATATATAATTGTTTTGAGATGGGGAGATGCGGTTCTCACTTTATTGCCCAGGCTAGAGTGCAGTGGTGCAATCATCCTTGCTGTCTTGAACTCCTAGACTCAAGGGATTCTTCCACCTCAGCCTCCCGAGAAGCTGTGACTACAGGCACACTCCACTGTGCCTAGATAATTTTCCCCTTCTCCGACTCCTCCTCCTCCTCCCCCTCCTCCCCCCACCCTCCCCCTCCCCCTCCCCGTCCCCTCCCCCTCCTCCTCCCCTCCCCATCCCTCTCCCCTCTCCTTCCCTTCCTTTCCCTTTACTTCCCTTCCTTTCCCTTCCTTCCTCTTCCTCTTCCTCTTCCTCTTCCTCTTCTTCTTCTTCTTCCTCTCCCTCTCCCTATTCTTCTTTTTCTTTTTTTTTTTGAGACAGAGTCTCGTTCTGTCACTCAGGCTGGAGTGCAATGGCACAATCTCGGCTCACCACAGCCGCTCCTGGGCTCAAGTGATTCTCGTGCCCCAGCCTCTCAAGTAGTTGGATTACAGGCATGCTCCAACGCAACTGGCTAATTTTTGTATTTTTAGTAAAGACAGGGTTTCACCTTGTTGACCAGGCTGGTCTTGAACTCCTGACCTCATGTATTCCCCCTGCCTCAGCCTCCCAAAATGCTGGGATTACAGACGTGAGCCACCATGCCCGGCTGCACCTGGATAATTTAAAAAAATTTTTTGTAGAGATGAGAGTCTCACCATCTTGCCCAGACTGGTCTTGAACTCCTAGGCTCAAGCGACTCTCTAGCCTGAGCTTTCCAAGGTGCTGGGATTGTAGTCTGGAGCCACCGCACCAAGCCCATTTGCCCATTTTTAAATTGGTTGTTTGTGTTTTTGCTATTGCATGGTTTGAGTTCTTTACATATTTTGGATATTAACTTCCTGTCAGATGCAGAGTTTGCAAATAGTTTCTCCCATTCTCTGGATTGTCTCTTCACTCTACTGATTATTATTTCCTTTGCTGTGCAGAGGTTGTTTAGTTTGATTTAACCCCACTTGTTTGTTTTTGCTTTTGTTGCATGTGCTTTTGAGGTCTAATCCAAAACACCCTTGCTGAATCAACTTTCATGTAGCATTTTTTTCCTATGTTTTCTTCTAGTAATTTAATAGTTTTGGGTCCTACATTTAAGTCCTTAATCCAATTAGAGTTGATTTTTTGTATATAATGACAGATAGAGGCCTAGTTTTATTCTTCTTCAGGTATGTTCCTGGTACTGTTGTCAGAAATCAGCTAACTATGAATGTACGCATTTACATATGGGTTCTCTATTCTGTTAATCTATGTGTCTGTTTTGATTGCTGTAGCTATGTATTATATTTTTAAGTCAGGTAGTGTGGTGCCTCCAGCTTTGTTCTTTTTAGTTAAGATTGCTTTGACTATCAAGGGCTTTGGCATTTCTATATCCATTTTAAGATTATTTTTCTATTTCTTTGAAAAATGTCATTGGTATTTTGACAGGAATTACATTGAATCATTAGATCACTTTGGATAATATGAATATTTTAACTACATTAAATCTTACAGTTCATGAACAAGGAATATCTTTTTTATTTCTTTTGTGTTTAGGGTTTTCTATATGTGTGATCATGTTGTCTGAAAGCAGATAATTTGGCTCTTTCCAATGTTTATTTGTTTTGATTGCCTAATTTTCAGCACTGTGTTGAATATAAGTACTGAAAGTGTGCATCCTTGTCATGTTTCAGATGTTAGAATAAAAGCTTTCAACTTTCCACATTCAATATGATATTAGTTGTGGTTTATCATATATGGCCTTTATTGTGTTGTGATATGTTATTTCTGTACCTAATTTGTTGTGTTTTTATCATAAATGGGTGTTAATTTTATTGGATTTTCTCAATATCTCCCAAAATTATCATATGGTTTTTATCTTTGATTCTGTTAATTTATTGCATCACTATATTAATTTCAATATATTGAACCATCCTTGCCTCCCTGAGATGAATCCCACTTGATCATGGTGAATGAGCTTTTTAATTTGTTGTTTGATTCACTTTGCTGGTGTTTTCTTGAGGATTTTTGCATCTATGCTTCTCAGAGAGAATGGCCCGTACTTTTCTCTTTTTTGTGTTCTTGTATAGCTTTGGTATCAGAGTAATGCTGGCCTCATAAAATGAGTCGCAAAGTATTTCCTCCTCTTCAATTTCTGTGAATAGTTTGAGTAGCGTTGGCATTTATTTATTTGTTTCTTTATTTTATTTATTTATTTTTTTGAGATGGAGTCTCGCTCTGTTGCCCAGGCTGGAGTGCAGTGGCGCGATATGGGCTCACTGCAAGCTCCACCTCCCTGGTTCACGTCATTCTCCTGCCTCAGCCTCCTGAGTAGCTGGGACTACAGGTGCCTGCCACCACGCCCGGCTAATTTATTTTTTTATTTTTTTTTTATTTTTAGTAGAGACGGGGTTTCACCGTGTTAGCTAGGATGGTCTCGATCTCCTGACCTCGTGATCCGCCCGCGTCGGCCTCCCAAAGTGCTGGGATTACAGGAGTGAGCCACCAAGCCCAGCTGGCATTTGTTTTTAAATGTTTGTTAGAAGCTGGTGAAACCATCATATACTGGGCTTTTCTTTGATGGGAGATTTCTTATTACTGCTTTTCTCTCATTGCTTGTTATTGGTGTGTTCAAGTTTTCTATCTCTTCATCATGCAATTTTGATAAGGTGTATGTGTTCAGGAATTTATTTGTTTCCTTTATGGTTTCCAGTTTTTTTTTTTGGTATAGTTGTTCATAATTATGTCTTATAATTATAATCCTTTGTATTTCTGTGTTGTCCATTGTAATGTCTCTACTTTCACCTCAATTTTTGTCTTTTCTGCTTTTCTTTAATTAATCTAGTTAAAGGTTTGTCTATTTAATTTTTTAAAAAAATACACAGCTTTTTGTTTCATTGATCTTTCATGTTTGTGCTCGGGTTTATTTCTGCTTAGATCTTTATTATTTATTTCCTTCTACTTATTTTTGGTTTAGATTGTTTTCATATTTTTATCTCATTGAGGTGTATCTCTTTTACGCCACTTGAGATATTTCTACTTTTCTGATGTAGGTGTTTATTGCTAAAAACTTGATTTTAGAACTACTTTTGCTATATCCAACAGGTTTTGGTAAATTATGCCTCCATTTTCATTTATCTGAAGGAATTTTTAAATTTCATGTTTAATTATTTTATTGATTCATTCATTATTCAGAAACATGTGGTTTAACTTCCATGTACTTGTCCAGTTTCCAAAGTTCTTCCTGTTATTTATTTCCTGTTTTATTTCATTGTGGTCTGAGATGTTACTTGGTATAATTTTGATTTCTAAAAATTTTTTAAGACTTGTTTTGTGGCCTAACATATTACTTATCCTGAAGAATGTTCCAGGTGTTGCTGAAAAAAATGTGTATTCTTTAGCTTTTGGATGGACTGTTTTGTAAATGTCTGATTGGTCTATGTGGTCTAGAATGTAGTTTAACTCTGATGTTTCTTTACAGATTTTCTGTCTGGATGATCTGTCTGTTGCAAAAGTGGAATGCTGAAATCTCCTACTATTGTTGTATTGAAGAGAATCTCTCCCTTTAGCTCTATTAATATTTGTTTTATATATTTAGGTATTCTGGTGTTGGGTGCACATATATTTACAGTTGCTGTATTGACCCATTTATCATTATATAATGGCCTTCTGTCTTGTTTGTTTTTTACCGTTTTTGACTTATAGCCTATTCTATTTAAATATAACTACTCTTGCTCTTTACGTTTCTATTTGCATGCAATACTATTTTTGCTTCCTTTCATTTTCATTCTATACATATCTTTTAAGTATAGTAAGTTTCTTGTATGCAGCACGTAGTTGGGTCCTGATATTTTTTATCCATCCAACCACTCTGCATTTTTATTGGAGCATTTAGGCCATTTACATTCGAGGTTATTATTGATGGGTCAGGACTTAGTACTACCATTTTATTATGTGTTTTCTAGTTGTTTTGTAACCCTTTTCTTCCTTTTTTTCTTTTATAAGGTCTGCTTGTGGTTGTGATTTTCTTGATAATACATTTTAATTCCTTTTTTTGTTTTTAGAGTATCGTTATAGGTTTTTGCTTTGTGGTTTCCATGAGTCTTAAAAAAAGTTACAATTTTAGCAGGTTATTTTGCACTCCAGACAATTTAGCTTTGATCACAAATAAAAGAAACAAACGAATAAAAAGTAAGAAAAAAACCTCTACACTTCAACATCATTCCTTTTCCATATTGATTTTATTTCTCATTTTGCATATTTTATACTGCTTACTTCATGAAAATTATTGTAGTTATTATTTAAATAGTTTTGTCTTGTAGTCTTCATGCTAAAAATATGAATGCTTTGTAACCCACAATGTATTCAGACTATTACAATATTGTGAATTTGTCTGCATACTTGCTTTTATCAGTGAATTTTATACCTTCAGATGTTTTCTTATTACACATTTTCTTTCAGATTGAAGATCTCTCCCTTTAGTATTTCTTTTAAAAGAGTTCTGGTGTTGATAAATTCACTCAGCTTTTGTTTGCCTAATAAATTATTTCTCTCTTCTTTATATCTGAAGAATAGATTTACTGAGTATGCTATTCTTCATTGAAAATCTTTTTTCCTTCATCACTTTGAATATGTCACCCCCCTTTCTTCCATCCTGTAAGATTTTCAATGAGATGTTGCTGCTGAGTGTATTGGAGTTCCATTATATATTTTTTCCTTTTTTTCTTGCTGCTTTTAGGATCTACTTTTTTTTTTTTTCACTTGTCCTTTGAGAGATTGATTATTATATATGCGAAGGGAGTCTATCTGCATTTAATCTGATTGGTAACTAAACACCTCCCTGTACCTGTATGATGCATCTTTGTAAATATAATCCAAAGAAGGTTAAGCAGTTTTTCATATTAGACAATACTTTCTGTATGATTTTATTATACAGAAATGAGAGCCGAATATGTCTCTTTTGAACTTCAGGAGACAGTATAAAAAATTAATGAGGAGGACGGAAGTTAGAATTTGATTTTGAAAATTTGTCGAAAATAAAAAGTTTAAAACACTTGATATCACAAAATAGGACCATAGGTTATTGTAAAATAAGTCATTCATTTACTCAAAGTGATAACTCAAATATTTCAAAATAGGCAGAAACCTTTATTTTTGAGAGAAGAGACTTAATTTTCCAAACAATAAGCCTTAATAAAGACAGCACAAGGCCGATTAGATCTGTCTCTCAAATATTATAAAAAAATTGTAAAATGTTAATCTTGACTATAAGATATAATTTACATAAGCTTTTTTATAACCTTTATAACCATTTATTTAAAAGTAGGTTAATGCCGCAGGAAAACCTAGTTAATCTGACACAGAATCCTATATGCTAGTCTTGCACAGTGTGCCTCTGACATTAACGATTAATTTCTAAAGAAGCTGAACTTAGTTTATCTCTCAAAATCCGCCATTACAACCTCTTCCACGATAGTCCTTGGGCCTTGAGTTGCATAGTTTTAATTTCTGGCTCTGTGTCTCACGAATGCACTATTTTGATTGGCATCTTCTACTGGGTCTGAAGACAAGGCTTTAACTGCTGTCACTTTTTAAGATTTAGCTGACACTTTTTAAGATGAGGGAGCTGAGTTATAGAGAGATTAAATACCTTGCCTGAGGCCTCATAATTGGAAAGTAGTGAGTTTAGAATTTAAATTCAGGTCTTTCTGATGCTAAAATCCTTTCTTTAGCCACAATATGATACTGCTTATCAAGGAAATAGCAAATGCTGTGTGACTTGGGGTTCTTTTTAGACCCAGGAGTCAAAGCACTGTAACTGAATGGCATAAAGACTTTAAAAGCACATACAAAAAGTTACACAGATGCAATACATTTAATTACAAAAAAATCGCAGTCGTCTTCTAAGCAAACCAGCACTGAATAATAATGACATAGGAATTATTGTGATAAAACAAAATTTGTTAGGCCAGTTACCAAAAGGCAAAAGAAAAGAGCTTCCGCAGTGTGACTGCTGTTCCCTATGCGGAGTACATTTAGATAACCTGCAAGTCAGATCTACTGAAAGCGGTACTTGAATTAGACATAGGAGGTGTTTTCTGGGTCATACGTGAAAATTTTTGGATTTGTAGAACAATTTGAAGCCAGGAGCACAGAATATTTTGTTGGAAGAAAACACTTCCTGTAGACCTTTAACATAAAACATTTTTATCATCAGGCCACAACAAACAGAACCCGAGGAAAGAAAGAAAAAAAAAAGAAAACTTAAAGGAGCTGAGAATGAGACGCAATAAACATTGAACTTTGCGTAATATATATTATGTTTTGTAATTTTATTAAGAGTAAAACAATTCCTTAAAAAGTCTTATTGTTCTAAGCAATTATTTAGCATATAAGTGGGTTTTCTTTACATATCAAAACCCAATCTCTAGAAAGACCATAATAAATAATTTTCCTTTAATTATAGACAACTAGATCATAGAGAAGTTTTTTGGTTTTTTTTTTAATATAAATCCTCTTATTATGTCTCTCACAGACCACACATGACATGCTTGGTACATGGTTTGCCCTGAACATCCCTCTTTCTTAGACAATCATTTTATTCTAGGGCAAAATTTTACCGTACAAGTTTCTTTCTCATAAAATTATTTTTCTTTAAGCTTTCTTTACCAAAAATGCCCTCCATATTTCTATAACTTTCTTTACGTCTTTCTTATTTCTTAATTCCTGGTTCCTTTTACCTTGTTTTATACATAACCTTTAAATGAGCTTTGAATTAGACAAAAATTATTCACCTTTTAGCATCAACACAGTTTTTTGTAGGAAAAAATGCTTTTCTATTATATATATTTTTTAATTGGAAAATACCCATTTAAAAAATCCATTATTTAATTTAACTTTAGGTTCTAAATTATGACAAATTTTTCTACAAGTATTTATCCCATTACCTTTTCCTAATTGTTTTATTTTACTAGTTTACCTAATTTATGAAAACTGAGATAGTGATCATTTAAAGTTATTTGCCTGTCAGCCATTTTATAGCCTGTGAATTTCAAGTGTTTACATAAGAAACTTAAGAGTCAACATATGGTTATTTTACTAAATAATTAAAGACTGGGCTGTTTTCATTAAACCAATATTAATGTCTTATTTATAAAAAATACAAGCGAAGATAATTCTGTTTTGGGCTGAGTTTATAGTTTAATAACCCTTATGTCAAATTTTGACGACTTATAGTATTTGACAATAATAAGTATGACATCTCTTGATCAATAAATGCAAACAAAAATGTGTGCAGACATTTCTTAACACATTTGTAATATTCCTTTACAAATAACTTTAAAGCTAGCTTATTAAAGATTTTACCTAATTCACATGAACTTGAAAAGCATTTGGGATTATTTAGTTTTTGAGTATTCTTTAAGCCAAATTTTGTACCTAGTGGCCAAAAACATGTTACAAAATATGTGTACATATACATAAACCCACACATATAAACTCATGCAAAGATCCTATAGCTTTTACTTCAGAACCCTAGCCATAAGATATTAATACAAACTCATTGGTTTGCAAAAACTATAGCAAAATAAATGGTTGGATGCAAACAGTGGATTTTTATCTCAGTAGAGAAGTCACAGCAGACTTAAAACAGGCAGAAAAGAAAACAGAGTGATGGAGAACTTGGGAACTTTATAGGTGCAGGTCGACCTTCAGGCTCTGAATTTTCCTTAATGCAATTTACCTGTCAATTTAAAATGTTCACAAGAACAGACCTAATGTGTAACCACCTGGAGAACTGAAAAACCTGGCGTGCCCTTCCATTTACACAACCACCTGCAAGTAGGGGCACCATAAAACCAAATAGGGTGCCTGAGAGGGGTCACTCTTCTTGTCTTTCATTATTCATAGACGATTTGTTTTTCACATTTTTTTTTTCTCAAAATGAGGAACTGAGCTGTGGCCAAGGTTTTTAGTGGAGTGAGTCGTGTGTGCTGATTCTGTGTGGGACTTCATAGTGTGTCACCACTGATTCATTTCCGCCCTCTTACTTGCCTCAGTTTCTCTCTCCATTGGTCTAGCACCTCCAGGAGGGCTCAAAGTGTGGAGTGATCAGCTTCTATATGCACTTCCTGTATGAGCATTTTAAAACTAATTTTGTTAGGAGTTCCCTGTAGGGACACTGCACATTGTGGGGGGGGGCGGGGGAGGTCAACCCCCCCAGACACTCCCACTTGGCCCCTGGTTACCCAGGGGCGCCTTTCAGCTGGGAGGAGCAAAATGCCCTTTTTCTTCAGAGCTGAGAAAACTCAGTTTTTCGTTTGTTTATGAAAACGACAGTTCGGTTCCTCATGCAAATACGCAAACAAGCCAATCGAAATTAATACCAGTAGGCAAGGCAATGGAGAATACTCTTTAGAATGCACCTCTGAATTAGAATTAGGATCCTAAACAACAACTTCCTAGGAGGAAAAAAAAAAAAAAAGCCAAGACCACTTCCTGAAAACCGTCATCAGCCATCTTTAACTTTGTAGTTCTCATTCACCATTATGTGTCCGGAATTGGTGGCTTCTTGGTCTCACTGACTTCAAGAATGAAGCTGCAGACCCTCGTGGTGAGTGTTACAGTTCTTAAAGGCGGAGTGTCCGGAGTTTGTTCCTTCTGGTGGGTTCCTGGTCTCGCTGGCTCAGGAGTGAAGCTGCAGACCTTCCTGGTGAGTGTTACAGCTCATAAAGGCAGCGTGGACCCAAAGAGCAAAAGAACAAAGCTTCCGCAGTGTGGAAGGGGACCAAGCTGGTTGCCACTGCTGGCTCGAGCAGCCTGCTTTTATTTTCTTATCTGGCCCCACCTGCATCCTGCTGATGGGTCTGTTTTGACAGGGTCACAACAGCTGAGTGGTCTGTTTTGACAGGGCGCTGATTGGTGCGTTTACAATACCTGAGCTAGATACAAAGGTTCTCCACGTCCCCACCAGACTAGCTAGATACAGAGTGTCCATTAGGTGCATTCACAAACCCTGAGCTAGACACACGGTGCTGATTGGTGTATTTACAATCCCTTAGCTAGACATAAAGGTTCTCCAAGTCCCCACCAGACTCAGGAGCCCAGCTGGCTTCACCCAGTGTATCCCGCACCGGGGCTGCAGGTGGAGCTGCCTGACAGTCCCGCGCCGAGCGCCCGCACTCCTCAGCCCTTGGGCCGTCGATGGGACTGGGCGCCGTGGAGCAGGGGGCGACACTAGTCGGGGAGGCTCGGGAGGCACAGGAGCCCACGGAGGGGGCGGAGGCTCAGGCATGGTGGGCTGCAGGTCCCAAGCTCTGCCCCGCGGGAAGGCAGCTAAGGCCTGGCGAGAAATTGAGCACAGCAGCTGCCGGCCCAGGTGCTAAGCCCCTCACTGCCCAGAGCCGGTGGTGCCGGCGGGCCGCTCCGAGTGCGTGGTCTGCCAAGACCACGCCCACCCGGAACTCGCGCTGGCCCGCAAGCACCATGCGCCGCCCCGGTTCCCGCCAGCGCCTCTCCCTCCACACCTCCCCACAAGCTGAGGGAGCCGGCTCCGGCCTTGGCCAGCCAAGAAAGGGGCTCCTACAGTGCAGCGGCGGGCTGAAGGGCTCAAGTGCCGCCAAAGTGGGAGCCCAGGCAGAGGAGGCGCCCAGAGCCAGCGAGGGCTGTGAGGACTGCCAGCATGCTGTCACCTCTCAATTACACACCATGGTCAAATCCTCTCATAGTACAAGGTAATCTCTGGTACCCCCAAAAGCCAAAGGGGTTAGGTAATACAAATACAGGAGAGAACAGTTTTAGACCTAAAGAGAATCTGCCCATAACTCTTGAAACTCCACAAAGAAAACATGGCGCTTTGTTTTGAGTTATTTAAAGGGTTCAAGTCATTAGAAGTCTCTAGATTTTCTTGTTACCAAAAATGGCGCAGGGAGAAGGAGGAATAAGGGGAAAGAAAAGTAAATGAAAGAACAATTGCTTTTCTAAGACAGGAAGCAAAAACAGAAACCAAGTGCATGGTTTTGTTTTGTTTTGTTTTTACTCTTTTGCAGGCGCGAGGAATTTTAGCCAATTCAGTCAGGGAGGCCTTGTTATCCATGATTGGAGTTGGTCAAATCTGATGACAGAAAGACGGGAACAAACAACAAAAATACCCTCACAATATAATTACTGAGTATTCTAATGGTGAGGAGAAATTAAGACCAGCTGGCTGTTAATCGCAACTTTAGCCAAGCCAAGACCCTAATTCAGCTACTTAACCTCGGAGTGGGTCTTAGACTGCTCTCTACCATTCTAGAAGCAGAAAAAAATTCAAACTTGCCTTCCCTGTTGGAAGCGAGTTCAAACTCCGGAAAGGAGTCACTGCCTTCCATCATTATGGAAGCAGGAAAACTTGCCTTCCTTGTTGGAAGAAAGTAAAACTCCAGAAAAGGAGTGGTACAGCAAAATAAACTTTGGATCTCAACCAGATTTTGGGAGATCAGGGATTCTCTGGAGGGAGGGAAGCTCCCAGACCTCAGCAAATTGTCCTATTGATTTGAGCCATAAAGAAAGCTCAAGCTGGTACCAAGCACCAATAGGAGATTTGTGAAAGGTCAGAGCCACCTCCACCTCTGCTCAGAGTCCCTTGCATTGGTTGCCAAATTGTGAACCCCAAATATCTGACACACATCTCAGTCGATCTAGAATGTTTATTTTGCCAAGGTTAAGGATGCACCGGTGACACAGCCTCAGGAGTTCCTGATGACAGAAGCCCAAGGTGGTCAGGGTACAGCTTGCTTTTATACATTTTAGGGAGACATGATGTGTAATCAATATGTGTAAGGTATACATTGGTTCAGTCCAGTAAGGCAGGACAACTTAAGGTGGTATTCCAGGTCATAAGTAGATAAGAGACAAAAGATTGCATTTTTTTGAGTCCCTGATCAGCCTTCCACTGAACACTGGCTCAGTGAATCTGCATTTTTACATAAACAATAGGGTGGAAGAAGCAATCAAATGTGCTTTTGTTTCAGGTGAGCCTCAGAGGAAGACTTTGAGTTCTGTCTGTCCTTTGTCCACAAGGCATTTCCTTGCGGGGAAATTGTGAGGGTGGTATGTAACTTTTCATCTTTGTAGCCATCTTATTTAGGAATAAAATGGGAGGCATGTTTTTCTGTCATAATTCCCGACTTGGCTTTTCTCTTGGCTTAGTGATTGTGAGCTTCCGAGATTTATTTTCCTTTCGCAGTATATACATTTACTTATACTTTGCTTTTCAAATCTTTTAGGAATTCTCGTCATTTAAAATATTCCCTAGATATAATATTTACCAGATGCAAAATTTTAGATGAAATGCTCACTTTTCATAAATGAACTGTTTCTTTGGAGAATGTTGGAAATTTACATTTATTAATTTGACACAACGTTAAAAACAAAACGTGGTTTGCTGTTAATTAAAGTCTTGAAAAATTTGGTCTCAATGAGAGTTTATTATTATCCAATGAAAATAATTTGCTTATCCCAGCCCAAATTCTACACTATCTTTCCAATGTATTCTGATAATTTCCTTTAATATAAGTTATATAAAGTTAGTTTCAGTAATTTTTAAGCTTTTTTTTTTTTTTACCCTGAAGGAGATCTTAAATTTGTGGGCTATAGAAAGGATATATGTAATAACCCCTCAGTCATTTTAAACTATGCATAATATAAATTAAACCAATAATTATGTATTGAATACATTAACTGGCAATTTTTTTCTAAGCTGTTACATTTTCAAATATGATGTAATATGTTCTCTAAAAGTTATGTATATTTTTGGGTGGTTTGTTGCTGTGATCTTCAACATTAACACTTCCTTGACATAGTTATTTTCCTAGTCACTTCTAACTCACTTTCTGCTTGGAAACTCTGTCAAAACATCTTTCTAAAATGCTTCACATCCCCCTTTACCTTTTGCTGATGGGTGACCTAATCTCCTAAGTTACAGAAAAAGTAAATGCCTCTTAGCACCTATAACTTCAGTCCACTAACCTATAGCTGCAGAGATCTTCCTGAATGGAAAAATTCTTCATGTTAGGACCTTTCAGTTATGTCGCATTGTGTTTATAGAAAGCTTTTTTGCATGTGCTATAGATCGTGCTATGGATGGGATTATGAAATACTTCTTCAAACTACCTTCTTCCTTTCTCAATTGTATTACAAAGACTGCATCATTAAACATTAAGAATCCTACCTCCCTTGCAGCTATATATCAACATAATATTGGCCATGCAAATTATTGGGGAAGAATAAGACTTTTTTCTTCCCAAATAATGATATAGATACTTAGGTAGAGGAGGTTGCTCTTGGCATAACTCCTAATGATACAAGGCAAAGTATAATATTTATAACATTAATACATATTAGACACAAAGGATTAAAATTTCCCTAGTACTCTGTTAATGTATGTATATGCCATATCTCCCTACTATTAGAAAAATCATAGAAGGTAGAATTATTATTTCAGTTTTATACATCCAAAAACATATATTTGAAAAGAAGTTTAGTGCCTGGCCCAAGCGCACATATCTAATAAGTAACAAACTTGGACACATACTAAGAACAATATGAGCCCCAAATCCATATGTTTGGATACTATCAAGCTTCACTATGCTTTACAAGACCCTTTATTAATAGCCCACTTCTAACCTACTCGGTTTTCATCTCACTCCTGTTTCTATTACTTTTCTATTTTAAGGTAATATGGCACATCTCTCTATCACTTTAAGACACTATACTCTTTGATTTATTTGGGCTTTGGCTGATAATCTCTGTTCTTCTTCACGTCTTTCATTTCTATCTTGTGAATGTCCTGCTAAGTTTCAAATGGCCTTACCACTTAGTTTGCTTAGTTTTCATTATTTTGTACTCCCACATACTCTAGTTCTTCTATCAGGGTGTTTATTATTAAAAATGTATTTTATGTCAAAGCATAAGAGGCTATCTCTTGACACCCAATATGTGCTCTGTCTCGTGTATGTTTCTATAAAAACGTCTAGCCCACATGAGCAGAGGATGATAGGCTGGCTCGAAGGAAAGAAAAGTGAGCCTGTAGACTTGGGATTTAATCTCCAACTAAGATAGTAACAATGTTTCAGTTTATTTTTTATGCAGAAATTAAATATATTGCACAAAAACTCTATTTAGTTTCCAAAATGATGCATTGATGGCACTATTTAATTGAAACATAATAATAAAAGAACTAGTCTAACATTCATGATTATCACACTGCATGAGAAATAAAATATATTTTAATATACTGATATTCAAAGCAAGCAAATGGGATGAATCATGAGTGAGTGTCTTTCTCAAAAAACATTATACATACACGTATGTATGTATTGTGCATGTGTGTATTTGTGTGTGTATATAGCATTATATGTAACAGTTTTGCAAAACTTGAACTACATAAAATGTTAAATGAATTTTTAATATTTATATGTTTCAGAACTATTGACAATACAAAAAATGTGTTATGATCCCTCACAGAACCAAACAGAAAGTCTAAATAAAATGGATTGATGGCAACTTTAAAAAACTAAACTTTGTTTTTAAATTAAAAAGTTCAATTACAGATTTCTTATACATTTTCATTTAAACATCAATTAACATAAAACAAATTTGTTTTATATTCCCCAGGGACTCAAAGTTAAATTGGATTTTACTATCCAAATAAGTAAACGAAATTGGTAAAAGTAAAAATTAATAAAGTTTTTGACTTGCAGAAATTGATTTATATATTAAGCAAAAGATTAAAAATTAAGTGGGTCATAGAAAAGTGTTTTTATGCAAAGGGATAGAATATTCTGACAGATGTTAAAATTATGCTAATAGTAAAATCATGTTTTTAGTTGGCTTAAAATACTTTACATTTTTAAGAAGTTTAATAATTTTACAAAATCACACTTTCTGCCTGTGGATGGCACCCAGGAAGCATTGTCAAAGTCTCTCTTCTTCCTGCCGTCATGTCTAAGTCAGAGTTTCATAAAGAGCCTGAACAGCTGAGAAAGCTCTTCATTGGAGGGTTGAGCTTTGAAACAACCGATGAGTGTTTGAGGAGCCATTTTGAGCAATGGGGAAAGCTCACAGACTGTGTGATAATGAGAGACCCAAACACCAAGCACTCCTGAGGCTTTGGGTTTGTCACAAATGCCACTGTGGAGGAGGTGGATGCAGCCATGAATGCAAGGTCACACAAGGTGGATGAAAGAGTTGTGGAACCAAAAGGAGCTGACTCAAGAGAAGACTCTCAATGACCAGGTGCCCACTTAACTGTGAAAAAGATATTTGTTGGTGGCATTAAAGAAGACACTGAAGAACATCATCTAAAAGATTATTAAGTGATTGAAATCATGACTGACAGAGGCCGTGGCAGGGAAACAGGCTTTGCCTTTGTAACCTTTGATGAACATGACTCCGTGAATAAGACTGTCATTCAGAAATACCATACTGTAAATGGCCACAACTGTGAAGTTAGGAAAGCCCTGTCAAAGCAAGAGATGGCTAGTGTTTCATCCAGCCAAAGAGGTTGAAGTGGTTCTGGAAACTTTGGTGGTGGTTGTGGAGGTGATTTTGGTGGGAATGACAACTTTGTTCATGGAGGAAACTTCAGTGGTAGTGGTGGCTTTGGTGGCAACTGTGTTGGTGGTGGATATGGTGGCAGTGAGGATGGCTACAATGGATATGGTAAAAATGGAAGCAATTTTGGACATGGTGGAAGCTACAATGATTTTGACAATTACAACAATCAGTCTTCAAATTTTGGACCCATGAAAGGATGAAACTTTGGAGGCAGAAGCTCTGGCCCCTATGGTGGTGGAGACCAATACGTTGCCAAACCACAAAACCAAGGTGGCTCTGGCGGTTTCAGTAGTGGCAGTAGCTATGGCTGTGGCAGAAGATTTTACTTAGAAAACAAAGCTTAGCAAGAGAGGAGAGCCAGAGAAGTGTCAGGGAAGCTGCAGGTTACAAAAGGTTTGTGAACTCAGCCAAGCACAGTGGTGGCAGGTCCAATGAAGACAGTTTTAGACAAATACTGCTGTGTATGGGCAAAAAACTCGAGGACTGTATTTGTGACTAATTGTATAACAGGCTATTTTAGTTTCTGTTCTGTGGAAAATGTAAAACATTCCAACAAAGGGTTTTAATGTAGATTTTTTTTTTTGGCACCCATGCTGTTGATTGCTAAATGTAATAGTCTGATCATGATGCTGAATAAATGACTTTTAAAAAATATACCATGTAAAGTTAGTCTACTCCGAAGCCAT
Source organism: Homo sapiens (assembly GCF_000001405.40). Taxonomy (NCBI): domain Eukaryota; kingdom Metazoa; phylum Chordata; class Mammalia; order Primates; family Hominidae; genus Homo; species Homo sapiens. Next base: position 191,145,659 of record NC_000001.11, on the reverse strand, counting down.
TTTTGTAAATTTCCCCAAGAGTGTGAAGTTTGAATTCCTTCAAGGTGATGCCAGGTTCTATTTGGAATGTATATACCAATAGCTTGGGTGGAGAAGCCATTGTCTTCAGAAACCTTGGTGTAGTTGAACTGATAGTTACTGTTGTGACCTGAAGTTTGCCATTAAAAGGGATTACTCAAGCAAAATCATGGAATTATTGGTTATAAAAATCATTGTTGGCAAATCCTATGCAATATATCTAAATCAAATAATGGTACCAGATAAAATTATAGATGGGAATGAAGCTTGTGTATCATCCATTATCATGTGTAATCAAGAAATGATTTAATTCTCTTGAAAATAAATAAATAATTTTACCAGTATCACAAATGTTACTTCAAGTATTTCATCTATAAAATGTTATTTAGTGTTGAGAACTTCTATTTTATGAAAGTGAAAAGGTGGTTTGTTTATTTATTTATTTATTTGTTGAGACAGGGTCTCACTCTGTTGCCTATGCTGGAGTGCAGTGGCACCATCACAATTCACTGCAGCCTCAATTCCTGGGGATCAGGTGATCCTCCTGCTTCAGCCTCCCAAGTAGCTGCAATGCTAGGCATGTACCACCATTCCTGGCTAATGATTTTTTGGTAGAGACGGAGTTTTCCCATGTTGCCCAGGCTCTTCTCAACCTCCTGAGCTGAAGTGATCCACCTGCCTCAGCCTCCCAAGTTGCTGGGATTACAGGCATCAGCCACTGCATCGACCCAAAAGGTGATACATGATTTAGATGCACCTCATGCTTTATGAAGACAATGCACAGCACACAGAGGCATTAGAAAGTTGTTTTAACATGTGGTTGATGTAATGATTCCTATACTTTAATATATCCTTAAAAATTATGGAAGTCATTATTTTCTGCCTATTATATAAGACTTGAAGTTTATTTGTATAAACACTGAAAATTGGCAGAGGCAAAAAGCTGAAAATTGAATAATAGCATATTGTTTTGAGTGTTATAAGCACTACTGTTAATTAATTATATATATAAACACAAATATATGTATACATGTACCTACACAAAATATATAGACTTATGCACTTACAGAAATTGAGGTAATTCAAATAATAAAAACTATATTCCAACATAAATACAATGGGACAAAACTTCATAAAGAACACCCAGCATTTTTGATGAAGCTCTTCTATTCACCATCATGTTTTTCACTAGCTATATTCTCATCAATTCTAATGATTACATCCAGTTTTCATTTAGCATCACTCTTGCATCATTGATCTTCTTTTGGTGAAGATGCATTTCTCTGTGTTCATATTTATAAAAGAGATAATAACCAGGGCCTAGTAAAACCCAAAACATCTCAGAGTGAATATTATATTAAGCTTTCTGCATTCAAATTACGGTTTGGTTCCTTTTTCTTTGTTGGACCTAACTGATAAGAAAGCAGTAAGTTATGAATCCAAAAATTACACTAAGAATTTTGTTTCCATAGGACCTGTGACTCCATATATTCCTATTTTGTCTTCAAGAAACAGGAGGGAAAGCAAATTAAGATTATACAGAGTCACAGATCCTACAGAAACAAAAAAATATGGTCCATAAAATTACATGCTACTAAGAATTTAAGACTGATGAGAACTAGGAAATGTCCATTAGAATTGTTTATTCTATATTGAATTCTATACAGAATTGTATATTTAAATGAATACTTATTAGTACACTCAGGAGAGCCATTTTATTGGAATCTTGAGAGATGTTGAATTGGTGAAGATTGGAAAGTGACTGGGAAGTAGAAAAATAGAAACACTCACTTAGATGTCTGTTAAGCAATCCAAGGCAAATTATTTTCTGTCATCCAGTAAGTTGCATTTTTACCCTGTTAATTATTTCCTTTGTTGTACATAAGCTTTCTAGTTTGATATGGTTTTAGTTCTCTAAATTTGCTTTTGTTGCTTATTCATTTAGCAGCATACCCAAAAAATCATCGACAAGCCCAATACCATGAAGCTTTCCCCCTATGTTTTCTTCTAGGAGGTTTATTGTGCTAGAACTTATGTCTTGTGTTTAAATCTTTAATATAGTTTGAATGGATTTCTGTGTATGGTGTAAGATAAGGGTCCAGTTTTATTTTTTTGCATGTGGATATTCAGTTTCCCCAACCCTTAAGAGGAAATAAAGAAAAAATCCCATTTATAATGGCATTAAAAATAATGAAAAATACTTAGGAATACTTTAGGCAGTGAGGTAAAACACTTGTACACTGAGACTATAAATCACTGATGAAAAAAATTAAAAGAGACAATAAATGGAAAGAAAACTGAGCTGATGTTCATGGATTGGAAGAATTAATATTGTTAAAATGTCTATACTACCCAAAAGCAAGCTACAGATATCAATGCAATCCAAATCTCAATGGAACTTTTTTTACAGAAATAGAAAAATCAATTCTAAAATTTATAGGGAACCACAAAAGACCCAGTATAGCCAAAGCCATTTTGAGAAAAAAAAAAAAAAAAAAAAAAAAAAAAAAAAAGGCTGGAAGCATCACATTAACTGACTTCAAACTATATTACAAAGGTATAGGTATCAAAAAAGCACAGTACTGATGTAAAAATAGACACATAGACCAATGAGACAGAATAGAGAGGCCTGAAATAAACCCTTACATAGATGGCCAGCTGCTTTTTGCCAAGGGTGCTAAAAATGCGCAGTGGAGAAAGGACAGCCTCTTTATACAGGCTTCTGAAACCAAGTTTATTGAGAGAAACTCAAAGAACAGTGGCAGGTAGGCAGTTCTCTACTTGCTTGGTAACTTCTCAGCAAGATTACAAACGTGGTAGTGGCACATACCAGATTTCTGGAAAGGGATTGCTGTCCTTGAATTGTGGGTTTTTTAAGTTGTACGTCTGGAGAAACATCAGCCTCTCCCTGTCTCGCAAAAAGCAAAAACAAAAACAAATTTTCTTAAAAGCTTACAGTTTGAGCATCCCAGAGGCTCACTATCTCAATTTGCCATCTCAGCTTGCATCGAGTATTGACATTAGTCTGAGACTCTTATCATAGATCTTTTAAAGATTCCAGTGTTACTCTGGGAGGCCAGCCTGGAGGAATTCAATTTTGAAAAAGTTTACCCTTTCTACTATTCATTAATAATGGGGAAAATAAAGTTAGGCAGGACAGATGGGAACACTGAGATCAAGGTAGAAGATCATGAAACAGGCTTAACTGCTGCTGGAACTGACTTAGAATAAAAATGAAAATTACGTGAGGGAAAGCAATTAAAATATTACATGAAGTATCTCTATGTTCTCAAATATGCAATTATCTACTATTTATAAAACTTTTCAAATGATTTGATAAGTGTCACACATTTAATAATGAAAAGGAGCCAATAGCCAAGCAAGAAATTGACAATTGCCATATTGCAGGTATAAACAAGGCAAATTGAAGAGCTATTATTGGATAATATAAGTATGCCTGAACTTGTATGGATAGGCTTCATGTATGACATCATATCAGCTGAAACCTAAAAGGAGATGCCTCAGTCCTGTGAAAACTTTAGAAGCTATTATTTCCATGAATTTAAATAAACAATTTTTTTTTACATAGAGTTGCTATTTTGCATGAGTTTTTGTTGGTGCAAATATCCTCTTAATTTCTTTTACATTGGTCCTGCTTTTTGAAAATTGTTATTAAAATAATCAACAGGTTATAATAGATACTTAAAGCAGATAAAATACATATATTCTAATTTATATAAATTTGATAAATGTATTTATCTAACAAAAAAGTGAATAATGGACTTGAATTTTCTAAGAGTGTAATTAATTTTTTATACTTAATTGGGAAAATTTAATTTTAAGCCTACTTCAGTAAATATGTTACAACTAATTAAACCATCCTGTAAACATTATGGCATATTTGAATTTTAGAAAGTATAGTTATCAGCATAAATTCTGCCAGATATCATAGATTGAGATGAAGATTTGTGTACACAATACCTAATGAGAAGTTTAATCCCAAGGATTAGAATGTGGGACAGTGTGAATGAAACAGAAAAAGATGGAGAGCCAATTCCGGGATATTGTGGAGTTAGTCACTAATATGTGCAGCAGATTCTTTAATCATTTGAGACCATCTTAGTATACCTATAAAACTGATTTCAGTTTTGTCCATCTGGAAGAAAAAGAGATATTTATCCACAAGTTCCTATTGGCTTATGAGGCTTTTATTGCCCTATACCTCCAGATAGAAGATGATATCAAAAGAGAAACCCCAGGGAGAAAAGTGAAAAGATGATTTTGGCCTGAAATGAGAAAATGTCAGTTTCATCATCTTGAAGTTAGATGAAGTCTGCACAATCCTGATCACCACATTGGTGGCTAATGTAAGAAACAAATAAGGTCTATACATGGATTTAATGTGATGCATAAGCATGACAATACAGTAAAAATCAACTATATATAATTTATTATCTTGAGTGGTTCGATAAAAATTAAAAAGAAAAAATGCAATCACACATCTTTTCTATAAGTTGCACTTTGTCTCACATTTCTCCATTCATACTCAGCATAGTATTTTACATAAGAATGAAAAAGAATCCTCATAGACCTTCCTTTGTGATCTTCCAAATCTATGGTAATTAATCCAGAATAACTCCAGGTACTCTGCTAACTAAGGAAACATTTAATTAATTAATTTATTTATTTTATTTATTTTACAATTAACGAAGCCCCATAAATGGTGCATAATTTAGTAAACTTACTATTTATTAGCTTATATTAGCAAAAAATACAATACCTCATTAGCCAGAAATCTATCACATTTTGGAATAAAGATGGTCCTGGAAATTAGTGTGATTCAGATTTATAGAAATGAAAAATATGTTTAGAAAATATAAAAGAAGTATATACATTACCTCTAGTTTGAACATAAAAATAAAATAGTAGTCAATTAAAATTAATTAACATTTCTTTGCTTAAGTGTTTTTAACTACTGTTACGTTGGTTGAATTATGTTTTAACAGTCGAGAAGAATTAAAATGAGCAGCAGGGGAAAGATAACATTAAGGCTCAATTTATAAAAGAATTTTGAAAGTGTATAGCAATTTTGAAACAAAGTAAAAATGGTAGAAAAAATATTTACACACACACAACTTACATTTAAAAATTGTGAAGAAAAATAAGACAAAGGTAATAGAATTTAAGTAGTATCATAATATTTACATAGAAAATTATGGAAATAGGTATTTGGCTAACAAAAAAACAAAGCAAAAGAAAACCATTTCCTGTTTTTGCTGGAAACTTTCATGAGAAAAAGCATTAATCTTCCAGTTTATAAAATAAACATTCAGCAACATTTTAAAACTTGAATTCATAACTGTAGAATAAATAAAACACGTAGAGAAATTTGATGAACAAATCAGACTAGTATTGCATCACTTTTAATGATCCTTTTACCATTATTTCTCCTGTTACTTATTTTATATAGCCCATAGGTAGGTTTTTGTAAGTAATCTCAACTATTGTTTGGAATAATAAAGTATTTAAATTAAAAACATTGTGCCAGCAAAGAAAAAATGAAGTTTTTTATTCTTGATAGTGTCCAGAATAGCAGCATGATATTTATAATAATGTTTCTATAGTGTACTCAAAATGCTCTGTTTTAACATTTAAGTATGCTTTTCTGATTAACACTTTCCTGAATGACTTAGCAGCAGTGAAAAGAATGTCTAATATAAATTTAGTGTAAGAAGTATAAAATAAGTCAGAAGCAAAAAACTGTATAAAACAAATACTTGAAATTATATAAGAGTGCATGCAACCTAGAAATAAAATTATATATAGTCTTCACATAAAAAATAATTTGTTGAACTGGGATCTAATTTTATTTCTTTGTAAACTGAGTTAGAACATTAGAAGCCAGTTCTAGCATCATAGTTTAAAAATTGCACTGACAATATTATTTTAAAAAGTTTTCAAATCTGTGATAACCTTGCTTCATAACATGTGCTGGCCCATTATGATTAATGGAGATTGCTGTATACACAACAAATCAACAAAACAAAATAGAAACAAAGTCTTTTTTTTTATTTAGTTTTTGTCTTTGGTTTTTTAAAAATGTTTTCTCCACCACCAAACAATTGCTTTTCTATCTCCATTTTGTAAATGAGAAACCTAAGAATCAGAGAGATCAAGCATAAAGTAAGCATTATAATAATGCTTATATTTTAGCTACAATTAAACCCTCATACCTTTGAACTTTATAAGCTATTACATTTTTGTTATAAAAAGTTTCATTTATTTTACTCAGTCATTTCTACTGCTGTTGTTTCAGTAATCATTTTTTGTCCATTCATATATTTAGTATTCAATGGAAACATTTACCTGTATAAATATTATGTTTTAATGGTAAAAGATATAAATTAATATTTTTGCTGTGTATTTTATTTTTCATATTCATACAGTTTGTTAAAAAGTTATATGTGAAGATAATTTTAATTTTTTATTGATAAACATTTGAAGATTTGGCAACTATTAGGTATATTTGATTGAATGACAAACTAATGAAGATTCCAAACATACTCATATAATACCCTTGTCTTCTCTTTTGCCTCGTTTTATTACAGTCTGTGTTGACTCCTATCCATTAGTAAAACACTCAGTGTATTTTGTGTACTAAATTATATTAATATATTAATAATCGTTTATTATTAAAAATGCCTCTAAGTAGTTAGGAATTTTCAAATTGTAAATCAAACTTCACTTTGGATAATAGATCAACATTAAAGTTAATATTTAAATGCAGTGACCAATTTCATCCATATTTGTATTATCCCGTCTTCAGATGTCATGAAAATTTTCTTTGCATTTTATTATCTGCCTCCTAGTTCTCCTAAATAAATTAACCAAGTAAAAACTCTAAATGTATATATAAACTAATAAAACAATGTTTATGGGTTCGTGGCATCCAAAGAGTGTAAGTGGTTCATAATGATAAATCACTACATTACATTCTTTCATAAAATATATTTTGTATATTAAAACAATTTATATACCCATATACATATTTAGAAACAAGGACTTGCTCTGTCATCCATGCTGGAGTGCAGTGGTTTGATCATTGCTCACTGAAGCCTTGAACTCCTGGGCTCAAGTCATCCTCCTACCTCAGCCTCCCGAGTTGCTGGGACTACAGTGGTATGCCACTGCACCTGGCATGCAGCTAATTTTTTGTAATTTTTTTTTTTTTTTTTTTTTTTTTTTTTTTTTTTTTGTAGAAACAGTCTTAAAATGTTGGTCAGCTTGATCTTGAACTCCTGGCCTCAAGCCATCCTCCCATCTCAGCCTCTCAAAGTGCTGGGACTAGAGGCATGAGCCACTGCTGCCAGCCTGAACTGTATATTTTAAAGTGAATAAATAAACTTAAACTAAGATAGTAATTAAAATTGTACATAGAAAAATGGAAGTGGGTGCTTAAATCTTTAAGTCTGTACTCATAACACAACTTAGAGCATTTTGGGGGAAAGTTTCAATGCATAAACCTTACCATACTCACTTATTGATGAGATACATTTCTACCAATCTGCAGATAATTGCCATCTTATAACCATATTGTCAAAAAATAAATTACATATATGTCTAAGTTATAGTGGTTTTCTGATTCAGACGAGACTCAGTATAATTAATTACTGATTTTATATAGGTTCCCAGGATTATAGTAAGTAAATCACTTGGAAAATCAGGTACTAAAATAACAACAAAGTTTAACAAAGAAATATAAGTTAACATCAAGTACAACCAAAAAAAGTTAGAAAAGCTATAATAATTTCAAGATAAAATTTTTTTACATAAGAAATAGAATAAAAATAAAATGATTATACTTTTCCGGAGTGATACTGTTATCATCACAATTAATTGCTTTATTAAAGTTTTTCTTTTCTGAATTCCACAAAGTCCTCTGCAGATTTTTTACATCTTTTCACAATAATTATCCAATTTGTAAATATTCATTTATCCAAAGTGAATTTCATATGTAAGTAAATCAATACTGATAAATTATTTTTATCTTAACAAAAGAGTTTTTAAGGTACCACTACAGTTAAGAGATAAGTGGAGAACATAAAAGCCGAGCATCCTTTGGGGTAGTTTATTTTAACAACCTTATTTTATGATAATGCTACCCAAAAAGGTTAAGTGTCTCAAATGATGCCAAAGAATTGGTGAATGTTTTGTTTCTAATCTTTAAAAAAGATTTTATTTTTTAGAGTGGTTTTTGATTCACAGTAAAATTGAGAGGAAGGTACAGAGCGCCTGTACCTCCAGACATGCATAGCTTCTCCCATTATCAACACCCCCCACCAGAGTGTTACATTTGTTATAACTCATGAGCCAACATTGACACGTCATTGTTATTCAATGCCTATAGCACACATTAGGGTTCAATCTTGGTGTTGTGTATTGCATGGGTTTAGATAAATGTAAAATGACCTGTATCCATTATTACAGTATCATACGGAATAGTTTCATGCCCTAAAACTCCTGTCTTCTGCTTATTCATTCTTCCCTCCCACCTAACTACTGGCAAACACAATTTCTGTTTTTATTGTCCGTACAGTTTTGCCTTTTCCACAATGCCATAGAATTAGAACTATATAGTATGTAAGCATTTTTTAATTGCTTCCTTTCACTTAGTAGTAAGCATTTAAATTTCCTCCATGTTTTTTCATTTCTTCTTAGTAACAGCTTATCTTTATCTGTTTGCTTTTATTCCATGTGTCATATGATTCTATTTTCTCTCCCCTAGCATATCATTTATATAGTTTTTTAACTCTTTAGTGGTTGCTCTAGAATTTGAGAAACTAATTTACAACTAGCACAATTTCACTTTCACTTAAGAATATACTGTTTCATAGATAGTGTAATTACCTTATAATGAAAAGATAACAATAATTTATCCCTCATGCCCTTTGTATCATTGCTGTCATTCTTTCCACATATATGTAAGCATACATATTATATATATATATATTTGATATATACGTAAGCATACGTAATTGAATACATTGTGGTTATTACTTTGAACAAAATGTTATCTGTTAAGTCAGTTGAAAATAAGAAGAATAAAAGTTTCAGTTTGGCTCATTTATTCCTTCTTTGACCCTTTTCCTTTCCTTATGTATAGCCAAGTTTCCAACCTATATTATTTTACTTCTCACTTGAGAATTTCTTTTTACATTTCTTGCAAGGTAGGTCTACTGACAGCACACTTTTTCAATTTTTATTTGTATAAAAAAAGCTTTTATTTCTCCTTCACTTTTAAAAGATAATTTTGTGGGGTACTAAATTCTAAGTTTAGTTTTTTTTTTCTCAAAACTTTAAATATTTTACTCCACTCCTCCTCTGCATAGTTTCTGAGGAGTTGAATGTAATTCTTATATTTGCTTTTCTGTAGTTTGAAAATAATATAACTAGTTGTAAATTTTTTGGCATTTAACCTGGTTCTCTGCTGTTCTCTAAACTTCCTGATTCTGTGGTTTGATGGTTTGACATGAATCTGGAAAAATTCTGTCATCATTGTATTAAACACTTCATGTGTTTCTTTTCTTCTCATATCCCCATTAGATATATCTTACACCTCTATTATTTATTTAGTATTTGTCACTCAGTTCTTGGACATTTTATTCTCTCTTTTTTAATCTTTGTACTTTTTTCTTTTTATTTTGGAAGTTTCTATTCCATTATCCTCAAATGGAGAGATTCTTTTCTCAGTTGTGTCTAGTCTACTAAAGGCATTCTTCATTTTGGGTACCATGCTTGTCATCTCGAACATTTTTATTTCTTGGTTCCTTCTTTTTTATTAATTTATTTGTATTTGGTTCTTTGTTAAGATTTTCATTTCTTTGCACGAATTGCTCATCTTTTCTTGCATGGTATGTACTTATTCTCATTATCCTTTAGCATATTAATCATAGTTGCTTTAAATTACCAGTCTTATAATTCTGACATCCCTGCCATGCCTAGTTCTGATGCTTACTCTTTGTCTTCAAGCTGTGTTTTTGTTTGTTTGTTTTTTGCCTTTTGGTGTGCCTTGTCATTTTTCTTGATAGCTGTACGTGATGTACTGAATAAAAGGAACTGCTATATTTAATAGGTCTTCAGTAATGTGGTTGTAAGGTGATCTAGATGAAAAGCATTCTTTAGTCCTGTGATTTGGTCTCAGTCTTTTAGTGGAACTATGCCTGTGGACTATGAACTTCACATGTGCTTCTCAGTTTTCATCTGCCCCCTTAGGTGGGACAGGATGATAGAATGAGCTAGAGTTAAGTATTTTCCTTCTTCCACATGGAAAGCTAGAGGGGCTGGAGATATTTTTTTTTTCCCCCAGGTCACTTAGGCTCTGATAAAACTTCAGCAGGTTGGGCTCCCTTAAATAGTTACTCCTGAGAGCAGGTCTTGCTAAGAAGAAAATGCTCTGGTGTATTTCAAAATGGTTCGTTTTTCTTTCTCCCTGACAAAAGCATGAAGAGATTTTTTTTCCCGGGAATTTACTGTGAGGCCCTGGTCAAACTCCTGGAGGTAAAATTCATGAAACTGTGGGAACTGCGTTGGCTGGGTTCCCCGGAATAACTCTCAGGCTTGTTCACAACTTAGCTTCCGGCAATTCATCAATTACAGCGCAGGTTTTCCTGTGCCAGCACTGATTCCGGCAGTGGTTTCTGCTCTTGAGTTTCTCCTCTGGTAGGTTGTGATTCTCTGTATCTACCTGTTTCTTCAGTGTTGGGGCAATAATTTGCCCTGTGACCTCAATTCTCTTATATACTTAAGAAGAGTTGTTGATTTTTCAGTTTGTTTAGCTTTTTAAGTGTTAGGATGGAGTGTCAATATCCAGGATGCTTACATTCACATCCAGAAAGTGGAAATCTTGTTTCTAATGTGGAAAGATTTTGTGTTGAATAAATAACTAGCACTTTACAGAAAAAATGTACTAAATAATTGCAATACAAGTTTTCTAGAACGAAGTAGCAAGGCCCATCTTTTTCTCCATGCAAATTGAAAACCACTGATGTGAAAACTGTTTTATGTTCAAACTTTCTACTTCTAATGTTTAATCATATTCACAGCAGGTTTGGTAATTGACACTTTAATGCTACATATTTGCATCCTGCATGATTATAGTAAATCCAATATATATTTCATTTTTCAAAGGCTAAGAGTCTCCAAATGATCAGAGATTAGAAAATTCAGTCTACTTTTGTGATATACTTCAGTATATACATGCTCAATTTGTTATTAAATATATTACTGCTTATATTTTATACATGTATTAAATTTTAAGCAGCAAGTAAATAATGTAACAAAAATCAGGCATATTTTTATATTTTGAAAATATTTGATATTTGGGTGTAATAAGTTGAATGCTTCATAAATTAAATTTGGAGGAGGTTGAGATGGTATATTTTCATTTACTCTTTTTTTCTTTGAGTCTTTGTAATTTACATAAAGGCCAGTATTTGTAAAAGTATTGTTCAAGTAAAATAAGCAAATGCATTCACCTGGGTAACAAATAACTGTTGGCAGTAAATACTGGTAACTATATAAGGATGTTGATACATTGGGTAGCATAAGAAGTGTTGTCTTTATAAAATATTCTTATATATCTGGGGAAATGCTTTTGTTTTTTATGTTGTATTTTAATTTTAGATGTGGAGATTGAACTAGTGAACCTCATTGTTTGGTACACTGCTATTGGTTTATTTCAGTCTTTACTCTTGTTTAACTTTATGCCTTCATTCCTTCTGGCTATTTCGTTTTTTTTTCTTTTTTTATTTCTTTTTTCTTTTATTTTTTTCCTTCCTCCTAAAAGCAACCATTTTAATGGAATAAATCTATGCAAATAAATATGTGTATATGGATGAAAACAAGGGTAATATTTCACTCAGACAAACGCATTTGGATAATTTGAAGGAAATTCAAAATGCCTTGCTAATTCTTTTTTCAAATTGTGAGATAAATAAACCTATTTTATAATATTTATCCCACCTTTTTTAGAAGCTTATTGGAAAATGGTATAATCTTTTTTTGTGGGAACACTTTTTTATAGAATTATGAAATCCAGTGTATAAAATGGTGTCTTAGAGTGGTGCTGTGTAATAAACTTTTCACAGATGATAGGAATCTCTATAATAAACAGTAGCTACTTGCCACATGTGGTTACAGAATACTCAGAATCTGAATGGTTTGAATGAAACCTGAGTTTATAATTTGTTTAATTTCATTTGAACTTACACAGCCATAGTTGAATACTGCAGACTTAGAATGTGGGTTTTCTTAGATATACCCATGCATTTCTCAAATTTACTTTTTGAAGAGATGTCTTTTAGAGAAGGAAAGATATAATATAAAATATTAATTTAAATATCAGAAATTCTGCAGGATGTAATGTGCTGTGATATGAAACTAGTAAGAGGAAGAGTTTGAGGAGATAAATAGGTTGCTGATTTTCTATTAGAGTATAAACAATAATAGATTTTCAATAAAACTTATTTTGTATACTTCTTCATATTCAATTAATATGTGAGTTGTTCGGTATTCTATTTGACTGAGAAAGCATTTACTCATACACAGAGGCATTGACTACAAAATATACCTACAATATGCTTGAAATTTATTGAAAATTTTTATGTATTTGACTCAGTCAGAGAAAGACCAGTTCTACTTCCTATACAGAAAAGAATATGCATGTCTATGCAAACTATCAAATCCCATCAGATGTAATTTTTTTTTTTTTTTTTTTTTGAGACGGAGTCTCGCTCTGTCGCCCAGGCCGGACTGCGGACTGCAGTGGCGCAATCTCGGCTCACTGCAAGCTCCGCTTCCCGGGTTCACGCCATTCTCCTGCCTCAGCCTCCCCAGTAGCTGGGACTACAGGCGCCCGCCACCGCGCCCGGCTAATTTTTTGTATTTTTAGTAGAGACGGGGTTTCACCTTGTTAGCCAGGATGGTCTCGATCTCCTGACCTCATGATCCACCCGCCTCGGCCTCCCAAAGTGCTGGGATTACAGGCGTGAGCCACCGCGCCCGGCCCAGATGTAATATTTTTATCTGCTACAAGAACCTGAAAAGTCTTTTCTGACTACTCTAAATCTTATGCCAAGATAACTAATTAGTAGAATTGCTTTAAGTAAACATCAGTATGATTGGTTTTGAAAAACACAGTATCAACTAGGTAAAAAATAAGCTGAAAAACAAATTGGGCTTTTGTATTTTGGGGAAATTATTAAAATATATTTAAGTGAGTTATTAATATATGGGAATCCCACTTTTCTAATACTTCCTATAAAATAGTATTTGTTATGCAAATATTTATCTTCCCTACCTATCTACCTTTTATTTACCTACCTCTCAGCTCAAAATATTTTTTAAATAATTTCAACTTTTTTTTTAGATCTGGGTGTACATATACAGGTTTGTTAGGTAGCTATATTGCATGAGGCTGAGGTTTAAGATACGGATGATCCCATCACCCAGGTAGTGAGCATAGTGCCCAATAGGTAGTTTTTCAGCCAATGCTTCCCTACCTATCTCCCTCATCTGGTAGACCCCATTGTCTGTTCTCTTTTTTGTGTCCATGTGCCCTCAATATTTAGCTCCCACTTAAAAGTGAGAACATGCAGTATTTGGTTTTCTGTTTTCATGTTAATTTGCTTAGGATAATGGCCATCTGATGCATCCATGCAGCTGCCTATGGGACATGATTTCTTTCTATAGTTGCATGGTATTTTATGGTATATGTATATTTTATTTATGTAATCCACCATTGATGGGCACCTAGGTTGATTTCATGTCTTTGCTATTGTGAATAGTGCAGTGATAAACATAAGCGTACATGTATTTTTGTACAATGATTTATTTTAATTTGAGTATATACCCAGTAATGGGAATGCTGGGTTGAATGGATAGTTCTGTTTTAAGTTCTTTGAGAAATCTCCAAACTGCTTTCCACAGAGGCTGAACCAATTTATATTCACATCAACAGTGTATAAGCATTCCCTTTTCTCCAGAGACCTGCCAGCATTTGTTGTTTTTTGACTTTAATAATAGCCTTTCTGAACTGATGTGAGATATCTCATTGTAGTTTCAACTTCTATTTTCTGATGATTAGTGATGATGAGCATTTATGCATGTTTCTGGGCCACTTGTATGCCTTCTTTTGAGAAGTATCTGTTCATATCCTTTGCACATTTTTTATAAAGTTACTTCTTTTATGCTTGTTGATTTGTGTAATTCTTTATAGATTTTAGCTATTAGAACCTTATTGGATGCATAGTTGCAAAATATTTTCTCCCATTCTGTAGGTTGTCTGTTTACTCTGTTGATACTTTCTTTTGCTGTGCAGGAGATCTTTAGTTTAATTGGGTCCCATTTGTCAATTTTTGGTTTTATTGCAATTGCTTTTGAGAACTCAGTCATAAATTATTTGCCAAGTGCAATGTCCAGAAGTGGTTTTTCATCTAAATTTTTTTATAGTTTGAGGACTTACCTTTAAATCTTTATCCATCTTGAGTTATTTTTTGTGTATGGTGAAGGTAGTGGTCCAGTTTCATTCTTCTGTATGCAACTAGCCAGTTATCCCAGCACCATTTATTGAATAGGGATTACTTTCTCTATTGTTTGTTTTTGTCAACCTTGTTGAAGATCAAATTGTTGTAGGTGGGCAGCCTTATTTCTGCATTCTGTGTTCTGTTCCATTGGTCTATGCGTCTGTTTTTGTACCAGCACCATCTTGTTTTGATTACCGTAGCCTTACAGGATAGTGTGATGCCTCCAGGTGTGTTCTTTTTGCTTAGAATTTCTTTGGCTATTTGAGCACTTTTTTGGTTCCAAATGAACTTTAGAATAGTTTTCCAATTCCCTAGAAAAATAACGTTGGTAGTTTAATAGACATACCATTGAATCTATACATTGCTTTGGGCAGTATGGCCATTTAACGATATTGATTCTTCTAATCCATAAACATGCAGTGGTTTTCCATATACTTGTGTTGACTTTGATTTCTTTTAGCAGTGTTTTGTAGCTCTCCCTGCAGAGTTTTTTTTTTTTTAATTCTTTGGTTTGAATTATTCCTAAGTATTTCATTTTTTTGCAGATATTGTAAATGAGATTGTGTTTCTGATTTGACTCTCAGCTAGAATGTTATTAGCGTATAGAAAATGCTACTGATATTTATACCTTGACATTGTACCCTGAAATTTCACTGAAGTCATTTATCCATTTTAGAAACCCCTTGGGAGAGTCTTTAGGGCTTTCTAGATATAGAATCATGTCATCAGCGAAGAGAGAGAATTTAACTTCTTTTTTCATGTTTAGAAGGCTTTTATTTTTTTATCTTGCCTGACTGCTCTGACTAGCACTACCAGTAGTATGCTGAATAGGAGTAGTGAGAGTGGGTATCCTTTTCTTGTCTCAGTCCTTACATGGAAGAGTTCCAGCTTTTGCTCATTCAGTACGATATTAGATGTGTGTTTATCATGAAGAGCTATTATTTGGAGGTATGTTCCTTAGATGTCTGGTTTTTGAGGGTTTTTATCATGAAGAGATGTTATATTTTTATCAAAAGCTTTCTCTAAATCTGTTGAGATGATCATATAGTTTTTATTTTTAACTCTTTTGTGGTGAATCACAGTTATTGATTTGTATATGTTGAATCAACCTGGCATCTCAGGTATAAAACCTACTTGATCAATCTGAATTAAATTTTTGTTGTGCTGGTGGATTGAGTCTGCTAGTATTTTTTTAGGCTTTTTCATGTATGTTCATTGATATAGGCCTGAAGTTTTCTTTTATCTTTGTGTTTCTGCCTGGTTTCGATATTAGACCAGTGCTGACTTCATAGATTCAGGTAGGGAGAAGTCCCTCCTCCTAGATTTTTTGGAATAGTTTCAGTAAGATTGGTACCAATTCTTTGTATATTTGGTAGAATTTGGCTGTTAATTCCCAGGCTTTTCTTGGTTAGTAGGATTTTTATTATTCTCCCAGTTTTGAAACTTGATATTGGTCTTTGTTTTAATTTGTTCCTGATTCAATATTGGGAGTTTGTGTGTTTCCAGCAGTTTATCCATTTCCTCCAGATTTTCTAGTTTGTTTGCATAGAGGTGTTTATAATAGCCTCTGAGGATCTTTTGTATTTCTGTGGGATCAGTTATAATGTCTTTTTTGTCATTTCTGATTGTGCTTATTTGGATTTATTATTTTTTTCTTTGTTAATTTAGCTAGCAGTCTGTGAATCTTGTTTGTCCTTTCAAATAACCACCTTTTGGTTTCATTGATCTTTTGTATGGACTTTTTAATTTCAATTTTGTTTCTTCTGATAGCTTCAGGGTTGGTTTGTTATTTTTTTCTGGTTTCTCTAGGTGTGATGTTAGATTGTTAATTTGAGATTTTTTCCACTTCTTACTAAAGGTGTTTAGCACTGTAAATTTTCCTCTTAACACTCCTTTAGCTGCATTCCAAAGATTTTCATAAATTTTATCTCTATATTCATTAATTTCAAAGAACCTTTTTATTTCTGCTATAATTTTGTTGCTCAACAAAAAAAAATTCAGAAGCAAGTATTTAGATTTCCATGTATTTTTGCAATTTTGAGATATCTTCTTGGTATTTATTTCTACTTTAATTGCACAGTTTTCCAAAAATATCCTTGATATGATTTTGATTTTTTTGAATTTAATGAGACTTGCTTTATGACCAAACATGTGGTCTGTCTTACAGTATGAGTATGTTCCATGTGCAAATGGGTAGAATGTATAGTCTGTGGTTGTGTGGAGTATTTGCTAGAGGGCTTAGATTCAATTGATTGAATGTTAAATTTAAGTTGAGAATTTCTTTGTTATTTTTCTGACTCAGTGATCTGTTTAATGCTGTCAGTTGGGTGCTGAAGTCCCCTACTATGACTGTGTAGCTGTCTAAGTCTTTCTGTAGGTAAAGAATAACTTTCATGAATCTGAGCGATGAATGTTGGGTGTGTATATATTTAGGACAGTTAAGACATCTTGTGAATTAAACCCTTTATTAGTATGTAATATTCTTCCCTGCCCTTCTTGATTGTTGTTGATCGAAAGTCTGTTTTACCTGATAATAGAATAAGAACTCCTGCTCATTTTTGTTTTCGGTTTCCATGGTAGATCTCTCTCCATCCCTTTTTTTTGAGCCTATGTATATTGTTACATGTCAGATAGGTATCTTGAAGGCAGCAGACAATTGAGTCTTGTCTTTTTATCTAGATTGCCACTCTATGCCATTTAACTGGGGCATTTAGGCCATTTACCTTAGGATTGGTGTTGATATATGAGATTTTGATCCTGTCGATATATGAGATTTTGATCCTGTCATGTTGTTGTTAGCTGGTTGTTTTGTCAATTGGATAGTGTAGTTATTTTATAGTGTCCGTTTTTGTTATAGCAGGTATCATTCTTTTGTTTCCATGTTTGGTACTCCCTTAACAACCTTTTATAAGGCTGGTCTAGTGGTAATGAATTCCCTTAATATATGCTTGTCTGGAAGACATTTTATTTTGTCTTCACTTATTAATCTTAGTTTGGCAGAATATGAAAATTATTGCTTAGATTATTTTTTCTTTAAGAGTGCTGAAAACAGAGTCCTAATCTCCCTCCTATGGTTTGTAGATCTTCTGCTGAGAGGTCTGCTGCTAGCCTGATGGTGTCCCTTTGTAGGTGACCTGATTCCTCTCTATAGTTGCCTTTGATTTTTTCTTTCATGTTGATTTTTGTGAATCTGATCACTATGTACCTTCAGGATGGTCTTCTTATATTGTTTCTCACAGGGGTTCTCTGTATTTCTTGAATTTTCATGACAAACTCTCAAGTGAGATTGGAAAAATTTCCATGGATTATAGTCTCAAAAGCGTTTCTCAAGTTAATTACCCTCTCTCCTTCTCTCTCTGGAATGCCAATGAGTTGTAGGTTTTGTCTCTTTACATAATCTCATATTTGTGAGAGGTTTTATTTATTTTTAATTTCTTTTAAAAATGTTTTGTCTTACCAAGTTGATTTGAAGAACTAGTCTTCAAGCTCTGAGATATTTTCTTCACTTTGGTCTATTCTCCTGTTAATGCTTCTGACTGTATTATGAATTTCCTGTAGTTAATATTTCAATCCAGAAGTTCAGTTTGGTCCTTTCTTAAAATGGCTATTTCACCTTTCAGCTCTAGGATCATTTTAGTGGATTCCTTGGATAACTTGGATTGTGTTTCGAATTTTTACTGTATTTTTATTAGCTTCTTTGACACCTAGATTCTGAATTCTTTGTCATTTCAATCATTTCAATCTGGTTAAGCACCATTGCTGGGAAGCTGGTGCACTTGTTCGGAGGTAAAGAGACATTTGACTTTTTGAATTGTCAGCATTCTTGTGCTGATCCCTTTTCATCTGAGAGGACTAGTGGTCCTTTTCCTGTGATGTAAGTCAAATATAGTCAGTTGGCTTCATTTTTGTGTGCTTTCAGTGGGCCAAAGCTCTGTAGAGAATTTTCTTGTAACTGGATTCTTGACCTGGTTTAAACAGGTGATTATTTATTGGCTGAATTTTTTGTTGCCATTTGGGATGCAATCCAGGAGATGGCGCTTAAGTGTAATGGCCAGCAGATAGGCTCTTACATTGCCTCATGGCTCTTCTGTATTTCTTTATTTAATTTTTATTTATTTATTTATTTATTTATTTGAGACGGAGTCTCGCTGCCTCCCAGGCTAGACTGCAGTGGCGCGATCTTGGCTCACTGCAAGCTCCGCCCCCCGGGTTCACGCCATTCTCCTGCCTCAGCCTCCCGAGTAGCTGAGACTACAAGTGCCCGCCACCACGCCCGGCTAATTTTTTTTTATTTTTTTAATTTTTTTTTTTATTTTTAGTAGAGACGGGGTTTCACCATGTTCGCCAAGATGGTCTCCATCTCCTGAGCTTGGGATCTGCCCGCCTCAGCCTCCCAAAGTGCTGGGATTACAGGCGTGGCTCTTTTGTATTTCAAAGCATTAGCGACAGTGTTCTGTGGTGGTGGTTGGGGGGCTCTGACCCCCACCAGGTCTGCTCCTGGACCTTGGAGGAGCCCCCTCCAATCACTGGCACTGCACCCACATTTCCTTTGTTAGCCGTTCCAGGCCATGAGGCTCCCTTTATCAGAGGCCAACTGGCGAACAGGCTATAACCTTCCTAGAGCAGCCCTGTGGAGGGAGGCATACCCTGCTCCTGCACCTGCCCATTTCACCCTTCTCAGTGTTCAGAAAGTGGGAGCTCCTCCTCAACTTGAGCATTGGCAACAGATCTCCACTTGGCACTCCTGAGCCACCTGCTACAGCCCTTGGGCTTTGGGACCAGCCTACCAAATCCACCTTCCAGTCCTTTGGGGTTGGACCCTGGCTGCACTGTGGGATCTGAAGTGCTCCTCAGCTGCTGCCAACAAAGCACCCATGCTGTGCAGTGGTGGTTGTGCTGTGCACATGCTCCTGTGGGAGCGGCCAGGCAGTGGTCTTAGGAGGGGCTGGCAGTCAGGAGGGCCTGAAGAACAGACGTGTCCCTGTCCCACTGGAAAGTCGGCCCTGCTGTCTTTTGGTCTGACAGTCAGTGGGGTTGGAGCTGCTCAGGAAGATGGGGAGCCTTGGGGGATAGGCATCTTTGGCCACATTCCACTGTAACTTCCCCATGCACAAAAGCCCCTAGGCTCCATGAAACTTCGAACTCTGCCTCTGCCTCCCCTCCAGGCAGATCCCCTAACCAGTTGAAATATCTTGGGAGGGCATGGAATTTCCTATAGCTAGAGTCCCAGAGATCTGTGGTGAGAGTGGGCTGCCCTGCCATCCCTTCTCTCACTCTTTCCCTAGGGTCAGGGCTGGGAACTAGCCCTGAAGTTTAGCAACGCCATGCAGAGTTCCTGGCTTCCTCCCTCTTCAGCCTCGGCTTCTGTATGGACTCTCAGTTTTTCACTCTGAAGAAATCTGTTCAAAGTATGTTGATTTACTCGATATTTGTGTTTCTCTCCGTGAGAGCAGCACTTCCTGGCTGGGTCTAGTTGGCTATTTTGTCTCTCTCCCTAACAATATTTTTTGGAGCATCTGAGTGAGTCCTTGAAACAATGTTAAAAGCACTTTCTCTAAGCAAATCACCTATGAGAAGTTCTCATAGCTGAGGATGGGGTTGGGAGAAGGCAGAGAGACTACATTTACTTGATTAAAATCAGAGTACCAGGAATTTATTCCCTTTTTTGAGTACCAAAAGCATTAATTCATCATTTCTTCATGTAACTAATATCCCTTGACTGAGAATATATTAAATAAGATAAATTGCCATAGATATTAGGCGATATAATTAAGGGAGCTTTGGTCTTTGCCTTAAGGAGTTCAACCTACTAGAGAATATTACTATAAAAATGGATGAAAGATCAGGCAATGCACATAGACATCATGTGTGCAGTGGTGGCTAGTAGACAGAGTGATGAGCTCTGCTCATTAGAGCAGGATGGGAGTGGTGAGGAGAAAGAGACTAATTGAAGTGGTGCTTGAGAACTGAGTAAAAATAGTTAAATTGACTAATAATATTACAAGTAGAGGAAAATGTTTTGTAAAAGACATCTTGAATGTACGGTGTTGTGTTTAATGATCTGTCCATAGGTCACAATGAAAAGCATAAAAGAAGAAAGGAATAGGTGGGTGATACTTGAAGGTAATCACTCTGAAGTGACTAGTTGTAGCAGTTACGATGACATGTTAAAGGTTTCTGAGTGTTCTCTTCAAATGATATGAACCCATTGGGTAATTTTAATCAAATTATTATTTTATGAGACATGGGTTCTGGAAATATTGTTCTTGGTGGTTTTATGGATGGTGAGAATGAGGGCTTTGTTAGGTCCTGTGGGAGGAATGAATGGCCAGTTGGGAATAAAATCATTGTGGTGGCAGGAACAAGAATATAAAGAGTCTAAATTAAAGCATTAGCAATGTTGTGCTGGATGGATGCAGTCAACAATAACAAAAACATCAATTCATAATATTCTCCTGTCTCTCTCACTCTCTTTCTCCCCTTCTCTTTCCAAAACATTACAGAAAAACCCAGCAGGATTATTGACTTTTAAAAAGTTGCCATTATTTTGAATTCCTTCCACTGTCTTATATAGGTAGAACAATAAGGATTTCGACATAAACACAATTTTCAAGAATCTCTTATATTAGTTCATTAACTATAGTGCTACAAAAATTCTATTAAGTTATAAACATCCCAACAGTAGTCGGACTTTCCTTTCAAATTTCAATTGATTTTTGCAATTGCATGTTTAATCTATTTCTATCAAGGTGATATCTACTATATTGTTCAGCTCAGTAAAAAGACCACTGCACATCATCAGGGTAGCCAAATTATATTTTGCCACAATTTCTTAGTAGTTCTAGAAAACATCCTATTAATTTGTTATACTTTATATTAATATCTGTATAATTATGATTGCCACAATTTCCCAAAATGGGTTTCCACAATGTGTCAGATACATCTTCCTGATTTTCTGGAGCTATATTTCCTTCTTTATTCCTTATTTTTTTCTTTATAGCTATTAACTAAGAAAATCCATTTGTCATTATGTGTATCAGTATAGTAAAACTATAAAAAGTTGCTTCCTCCTTATTACTAGATAAGAAATATTATCTGCATGGCATGATGGTACACACCTGTTATCCCAGCTACTCTGGAGGCTGAGATGGGAGGATCATTTTAGTTGAGGAGTTTGAGATCAGCATGGAAAACATAGCAAGACCCTGTCTCAAAAAAAAAAAAGAGGAAAGAGACAAAGAAAGACGAAAGAAAGAAAAAGAAAGGAAGGAAGGAAGGAAGGAAGGAAGGAAGGGCTGGGTGTGGTTACTCATGCCTGTAATCCCAGCACTTTGGGAGGCCTAGGTGGGTGGATCACAAGGTCAGGAGATCGAGACCATCCTGGCTAACACAGTGAAACCCCGTCTCTACTAAAAATACAAAAAATTAGCCAGGTGTGGTGGTGGGTGCCTGTAGTCCTAGCTACTCGGGAGGCTGAGGCAGGAGAATGGTGTGAACCTGGGAGGCGGAGCTTGCAGTGAGCCCGAGATCCCACCACTACCCTCCAGCCTGGGGGACAGAGCAAGACTCCATTTCAAAAAAAAAAAAAAAGAAAGAAAGAAAAGAAGAAAGACATAAAAAAAGAGAGAGAAAGAAAGAAAGAAAAGAAAAGAGAAGAGAAGAAAGAAAGGGAAGGAAGGAAGGAAGGTTCTTTATGTTCTAAATTAAATGGATTAAATGGAAATTACTTTTTTAAAATCCAAGTTCCTTCTAAACAATCTTAAATTGTGCATTTGCTTTTACCAATTTCTGCTCTCCAAAATCTGTAGGAAGGAACTAGCATTTATTTGGTACTTCACAAACATATCACACAATGATATGGTTTGGCTGTGTCCCCACTCAGATCCCATCTTGAATCATAGCTCCCAGAATTCCCTCATGTTGTGGGAAGGAACTGGTTGGAGATAATTGAATCATGGGGGCCGTTCCCCTAAACTGTTCTTATGGTAGTGAATAAGTCTCATGAGATTTGATGGTTTTATAAGGGGAATCTCCTTTTTCTTTGCTCTAATTCTCTTTTCTTGTCTGCCACCATGTGACACATGCCTCTTGCCTTCTGCCATGATTATGAGGCCTCCCTAGCCACATGGAGCTGTGAGTCCATTAAACCTCTGTCCTTTTTTAATTGCCAAGTCTCAGGTATGTCTTTATCAACAGTGTAAGCATGGACTAATACAGTCACTGAACAGTTAAATCTAAGAATAACAGGTTCAGGTTTATGTCTCTGAAATACCTTTAAAGTCCCTGTGTGAAGTGAGTGGTCATTTATTAAGAGACTATTGCAGAATCCATCCAGAAACCATACATATTGTCTTTATTTTGCAGATATCAAAACTAAATTAGAGCACTAAAACAACCAGACCTAATGACAAGTTTAGTTACTGTCAAAGAATTCCTGCCTGAATCTAAATTCAGTGCATTTTCCATTACACTCCAGTGCTATCACTTGGTATATATCTGTTGGTTTCAGTCAGGATGTGGAAGATTTATGGTTACACTGATTTGAAGTGTAGATCACTCAAAAGCACCTTATATTTGGGGTAGTTTATGGGTTTTTTTTTTCTATCCAATTTCATTCTTGATGGAAAATATTTAACAAGGAAAAGCAAAAAGCAAAATGTAATATCTTAAATATATTCAAAGTGGGAATAGATAACTTGACAAGTAAAAATTAGCAGATGAAATGTTTAAAGTTAAATTATAGCACAAGATAAAATGATTAGTGTTGTGATTTGGTAAGCATTTCATTTG
Source organism: Homo sapiens (assembly GCF_000001405.40). Taxonomy (NCBI): domain Eukaryota; kingdom Metazoa; phylum Chordata; class Mammalia; order Primates; family Hominidae; genus Homo; species Homo sapiens. The sequence goes on along the minus strand of NC_000001.11, from coordinate 191,122,269 downwards.
GCCAATGCTCTTTAAATAGGGAACAGTTCCCAGTAAGGTGAGAGCTCAAGTGATATTGGAAAAAAGTATATTGAGAAATTATTAGGTGACAGTATTAAAAGGTGGATTTCAAAGTGAGTAGAGTTTAACATTAGTTTAGTAATAAATTTTTAAAGATTTGACATGCCAAAATGTTCTCTTATTAAGAATAGAATACTAGATTCCCAGAAACTTGAGGGAACATTATGGTCATAGTATGACTAATCAGGTTCACATCTGTAATTCATCTTTTACTGTTAATTAGTTTTATATTTCAGTGATAGAGAAATCTCTTCCTAAAGTCAACCCATTATATTTTGAGGGCAATTCTAATATGATCCAAGGGCAATCAGTCAAAATCTTTTTTCCTTCTATCTTCCACATCTTGATTTCAATTCTACCCACTAAGTAAATGAATACTTACTTCAAACTTGTATCCACAATTTAAAAACTCATCAAAATTTAGGAGCTTCAGGGATGCTGAAAACATCCTAATCCTAATAATTATGAAACATTTTATCATGTACCTTCAAAATTATTTTTTTCTCCAGGTTAAAAATCCTCAAATCCTTCAACTATTTAGTGTTTTCAAACTCTTTCCCATTCTAGACAAATTACTCTGAATATATTTTAGTTTTTCTGTAATGCTCTGCTTCATCCAGAATTCAAAACAATGCCTATGGATTTCCATATTCTCAGAAGGTTAAACCAATTTTCTTCCTAGTTACACTATCTAGATCTTCATATAAAGCATCACATTTACCTGTTGATTTACATGGACACCACTCTCAAGTTCCAATCAGAGTTAACTACAAGAGTTCAACTGATAAAAAACAGTCAAGTTACCAGATAACATTAACAGATCCAAATTGTATAGTAGTTGTAATTAGAAAGAGGAAGAATACAAGAGTAATATTAGGAACTCTAAATTATAATTTAGTGTAACTGTGTTTCACCCTAAACTCAGTCACATATTACGATGTGATATTGGAGAAGTTCCTCAATTTTTGAGCTTCTGTAAAATGAAGTTTAGCAAGATGAGAGATTCTCACTCAGATGAACACTGGAGAACCACTGTGGGTAATAAAGCATATTACTAAAACAAATGTGTTGTGCTTGTGAAGTGTGGAACAGTAGGTGGAAATGTTTGAAAACACTGAACTAGATAACCTCTGAACTCTTAATAATCCTTGGCTTTTATTGACTATTTTGTTTCCCAACTTCTTTGGATACAGCATTTTTCAACGTATGTTCCATAGAACACCAGGATCTCCCTATATCTGCATATGCTTTTTAAAATTTCTAATGTTAATATAATTTTATGAAATTCTACATACTACATCCACCTCTTGGAATTTAGGTGATCTGTGTAAAGAAGCCTATTAAAATTAACCACTGCTACTATTTTTCAAGAGTGCTGTTTATCATAGATCTATTTACATTGTCATCCTATTTATTTATTTTATTTGTGCTATTCCATTTATTTATTTATTACATCCGTGTTATAAACATTGAATTTTGTTGTCATCCATACATCCCCAGAACACACAGGATTAAACAAAGATTATATGCCAATATTATTGTAAATAAACAACTTCAATGCTCTGGGTGTAGAAAATATACATAAAATCAAAAAATACATATTTTCTATATTTACAAACACAATGGAATATTGTATATTAAATATATATAATAGATACAAATACTATACTGTTTGCTTTTACCGATTTCTGCTCTCCAAATTTCTCTAGGAAGGAACTAGCATTTATTCGGTATTTCATATGATACTTCATTTGAATATTGAAACAATATGTATAGTCTTTATTTTGCAGATCTCAAAACTAAATTTAGAGCACTGAAACAACTAGACACAATGCCAAGTTTAGTCACCACCAAAGAATATCTGCCTGAATCTAAATGTCTTATTTATATTTTATTTGTATCTATACTAAACAAAGCACCAGGTGGGGTCGGCTAAGTGTCTCTTATTTATGTTTTATTTGTATCTATACTACACAGAGCACCAGGTGGGGTCTGCTAAGTGTCAAACAGATGAGAGATAGAACAAAAGAGAGAATTTTAAAAAGCATATATATGTATATATTTATCAACTATATATATTCTCTCCATATATATGTTAATATATATATAATATACATGTATTATATATATGCTGCATATGTGTGTGTGTGTGTGTATATATATGTGTATATATATATATATATATATATATATATATATATATATATATGCAGCTTAAGGACGACTTTAGGTATATGATAGTACTTGAACCTCAAAGGAATAAGACAGTTATTGTGAAGGCATTCTAAGTGAAACAAATCGGATAAGAAAAGAAAATTCAGTGACAGTTTGACTTCCTCTATACCGACTTGGATGTCCTTTCTTTCTTTCTCTTACCTGATTGCTCTGGCTGCAACCTCTGCCTCCTGGACTCAAGTGATTCTCCTGCCTCAGCCTCCCATGTAGCTGGGATTACAGGCATGTGCCACTGCGCCCGATTAATTTTGGTATTTTTAGTAGAGACGAAGTTTCACCATGTTAACCGGGTTGGTCTTGAACTCCTGACCTCAGGTGATCTGCCTGCCTCAGCCTCCCATGTAGCTGGGATTACAGGCATGTGCCACTGCACCCGACTAATTTTAGTATTTTTAGTAGAGACGAAGTTTCACCATGTTAACCGGGTTGGTCTTGAACTCCTGACCTCAGGTGATCTGCCTGCCTTGGCCTCCCAAAGTGCTGAAGCTACAGGCATGAGCCACTGTACCTGGCCCCTAAATATTTTTTGAAATGATATTGTTTTACTATCAAAACCTGTTCTTGATTTTATTCCCATCCACATTCTCAGGGAATTTTGCCGTAACTCATATTTCTTCAAACTTCACCTCATAATATTTCCTCTCTACTGATTATATTTTACCAGCACTTAAAATTCTCATGTCTTGATCACTTTAAAATACTCTCCTTTGTGTTCTGTCACTTTTAACTTCTTTTTCCATTTTTTTCATTCAATAACAAATTTCCAGGAATAAATTGTTCACAACTGCTTATATATATATTTTTTACTTCGTACTCTATTCCCAGCTGTTTTCTGGTCTATACCCAAACACTTTACTAAGGTTGCTCATTCTGAGCTCGCCATTAGATAATCTAATAAACTTGAAACTTCTAAGTTTCAAGCAAATACTATGAAATCTTTAAATGACTTCCTTTTTAGAATGACTCCCTTTTCATATCTTCCAAGACACCACCCTTTCTAAGTTTGCCCTTTCTATCTTTGGCTGGTTCTTCTCAGTCTTTTCTGCTGACTTCTTCAGAATGTAGGCAATTTACAGAATTTTGTCTCAGGTCTCTTCTTCATCCATACAAAGTGATCTCATATGTTCAACAGTTTTAATTAATCTATAGGTATGCAACATTTGATCTATTTTTCCAGTCTTCTTTTTTTGAGTTATGATATTTTTAGCTACATAATAATGTATATTTTCACCTGAATATCTGCAAGAATCTCAAATTTGGAATGTCTAAAATATATACATTATATATTTCCCAGCATCTTCTCTTTTAGTTCTGTATACTCATAAAATGGCAATACTCATTACGCATTTGCTCAAACTTGAAATCTGAGAGTCATTTGTGTTGCCTCCTACTTCTATTGAATCTGTAAGTACATTTATTTCAACCTTTATTTAAACACCTTTTCACCCTCACTTCACTATCCTAATACAGTTGTCTATTTTCTGGATTATAGTAACACACTTCCATCTGGATAAATGAAATCCATTCTTCTTTACTCCTAGTCTAGTCTTCAAATTGTACCTTGACTTATCCTTTTTTAAAATGGATATAGTCTTATATAATTTCCCTTTATCAAGTTCTTCAGAAGCTTCTTCTTTGTTAAAGTTTTAAAAAATTTCTAATATTTCTTGCAATGCTCTGCATGATCTGATCTCTGCTCACTAATCCGTTTTTATCTCCTGTCAGGTAGAAAACTGCCTCACACATTTATGATCATTTTAAAAATGAATGCATGTTCCCAGCTAGTGAGATTTTAGTAATTTTATTCAAAGGAGTTTGGGTCATTTCTGGAATGAATACTTTTTAAAATTTTAGTCATTGAAAATAAGTTCAGCACGGATATCTAAGAAATGACTTCATTTAAAAAAAGTTACCTCAGCATGACATTTCTCTAAGATGGAATATAATAATTTAGCTAACTTATGACAGATGTTTTTTTAAAGATATTCATCACTATAAAGGACATACTAAACATGTCCTTGTTTCCAAGAAAGCTCTCTATTTAGATTCAAACTTCTAACATCAGTCACATTCAAAAGGAACTCAAAACTTGTTCTAAAATAAATTCAATCATGGAGAGAAGGGAATGGTAGAATTGCTTAACTGGTTAATATATACTTGGAAATTTGTTCAGATAAAAACACAGTCCCATATATTCACTTTCAAGTTAGAAATAAATGTGTATTGCCACTGAAAAAAAAAATCCCAGGTTTTTAATATAAAGCATTAGCATTAGTTGATTAATTCAAATTCAATAAATATATACTGAATGTCTAATTGCCTTAATATTTACTAATTTTGTGGGAAAAAGTTGACTTATTATATTACCTAACATAGTTAAGCTCTTAGGCATTTTATTTATCATGCACAATAATACACAAACTAACACATGTACATCAATAACTGAAAAAAATTAAAGGAAAGATGGTAAAAATATATATGATTACTCATAGAAAATTAAAATCATATTCACCACAGGCAGTGTGTGGTATCAGGAGAACATTTTCTGGACAGATGCCATGGGAGGTGTTTCTTTCAAGACAGTATCAGATGCGTGGAGAAAAAGACATGTAACTGATTTTTATTTTGCATGAAAATAGGCCTATCTAAATAATAACGTTTCCAGCCTCCTGTAAAACTAAAGGAGGTCAATGAAATGCATGTGAAGTTTTGGTTTAGAAGTTATGGGAAAGCCTCTTATTAGGAGCCTGACATCATAGAAGCCCTTTTGTCTTGTCTCCATTTCTGTCTACAGTATATCTGTACCATGGACATGTTGGATAGAACTTTAGCAGGTCTCTGGCATAATGAAATGATTTTTAGGCGGGAGTCACCTGCTAAGAAAAGATAAACAGAAAGAAAGGAGTATAAAATCTAGTTCTTGGTTGCCCTCTACTAAACTAATTCTTTATTGGAAAAAGAAAAAGAAAACCTCCTCCTTCTTTTGAACTATTGTTATTTCTCATTTTTGTTACTGGTAAGCAAAAACATGTACTATTGGTGGTTAATTCAGAAATGTTTGATTTATTTAGCATTTTTCTGTGAAGATTTTGTTTGAGAGTTTTGACTAAATAAAATGCATGTAATCTCAAAATTTAAGAAAGTAATAGGTGTGTTTGAATTGAAAGACAAAATAATTCCTCTACTTTTTTTCTAACCTATAAAAATGTTTTCAAATTAATTTTTTAAAAACTGAATAGAAATCTATCTATTCTATTAACACATTCCCTCCATGTTTTTTTTAAATGCTATTATTAGTTCTAGGATTTTATACCTATGGAAAAAAATATGATTGAATATAAATTTTAAATTTATTTTATAAGAGTGGCATTCTGTTCCTTATTTCTATAAGTGTGTGCATGTATATATATATATATATATATGCAGACAGACACAGACATATATGTATATACACACATAATAGTTTTTATTATTAGTATACTAGCATATTCTCATTCCAAAGTTTCACGGGTTTGATTTGGTCTACATAGTACATTAAATAAATAGGACACATAGTAGATAATAATGACAAAAAATATCTGGTACAATATACCAAGTACTATTCTAAGTACTTTGGTATTAGTACTAAGTACTTTTGTATATTAACTTTTGTAATTCTAATTATAACTCTTTGAGGAAGAAAGCATTGCCAACAGCTGCCAAATTGGGATGAGTAAACTGAAGAATAGAGATTAGATAACTTTCCTAAGCTAATAGCAGCATTGAATTTGAAATTGGGTTGGTAGGTCTCAGAGTTTATACTCTTAATGATCACTCTCTATTTACCTTTTGCTTCTCATTCTCCTTTTTTTTTTTAAAAAAAAGCAATTTTTATTTTAGATACAGGATACATAAGCAGGCTTGTTACATGGGTGTTTTGCACCTAGGTAGTAAGGCTAGTGCCCCCAAGGTTGTTTTTCCATCCACTGCTCCCTCATTCCCTTCTGCCTTTAGTAGTCTACATACCTATTTTTCCCATGTTTTATGTTCATATGTGCTCAATGTAGCTCTCACTTAAAAGTCAGACAATGTGGCATTTGGTTTTCTGTTCCTGGGTTAATTCACTTAAGATTATGACCTCAGGCTCTATCAATGTTGCTGCAAAGGACATGATTTCATCATTTTTTATGGATGCATACTATTCGGTGGTATGTATGTACCAAATTTTCTTTATCCAGTCCACCATTGATGGGAACCTAGGTTGATTCCATGTCATTACTATTGTGAAACTGGGTTGATTCCACCTCCTTGCTATTGTGAATAGCATGGCAATGAACATACAAGTACATGTGTCTTTTTGATATAATAATATATTTCCCTTTGGGTATACACAGTAATGGGATTGCTGGGTTGAATGGTTGCTCTGTTTTAAGTCCTTTGAGAAATCTCCAAACTGCTTTTCACAGTGGCTAGACTAATTTTCATTTCCACCAACAGGGTATAAGCATTCTTTTTTTTTTTTTTTTTTTTTAGCAGCATTGGCAGCATCTGTTGTCTTTTAACTTTTTTATAATAGCCATTCTGACTGGTGTGAGATGGTATCTCATTGCGGTTTTCATATGTATTTCTCCGATGATTAGTGATACTGAGCATTTTTAATGTTTTTTGGACACTTGGATGTCTTCTTTTGAGAAATGTCTGTTTATGTCCTTTGCCCATCGTTAAAGGAGTTATTTGGTTTTTTGCTGGTTGATTTGAGCCAACGAAATCCTAAACAAAAAGAACAAAGCCATAAGTATCACACTTCTCTACATCAAAATATACTATAAGGCTGCAGTTACCAAAACAGCATTGTATTGGTATAAAAATGGACATATACACCAATACAACAGAATAAAAATCTCTGAAATAAAGCCACATACCTAGGACAATCTTATCTTCGACAAGGCTGACAAAACCAAGCAATGGGGAAAGGACTCTCCATTCAAAAAATAGTGCAGGGAAAACTTGCTAACCATATGCAGAAGAATGAAGCTAAACCTATATCTTTCACTATATACAAAAATTAACTCAAGATGGATTAAAGATTTAAATGTAAGACCTCAAACTATAAGCATCCTAGAAGAAAACTAGGAAATACATTTGTTGATATCAGACTTGTCAAATAATTCATGACTAAGTCCTCAAAAGCTATTGCAACAAAAACAGAAATTGACAAGTGGGACCTAAAGAGCTTCTGCACAGCAAAAGAGACTATAAATAAGCAGACAACCTACAAAATGAGAGAAAATATTCACAAACTATGCATCTGACAAAGGTCATATCTAGAATTTATAAGGAATTTAAACAAATCTTTGTCCTTTTCAGTTCACTCAATGGGATGTTACCAGAAAGGGATTCCAATCCAGACCCCAAGAGAGATTCTTGGATCTCGTGCAAGTTACTTTTTCAGAGTAAAGTGAAAATAAGTGTATCAAGACAGTAAAGGAATAAACAAATGGCTACTCCATAGGTAAAGCAACTCTGAGGGCAGCTGGTTGCCCATTTTTATGATTTTTTTTCTTGATTATATACTAAACAAGAAGTGGATTATTCAGGAGCTTTCCATGAAGGGGGTGGGCAGTTCCAGGAACTGAGGATTTCTCCCCTTTTTAGACCATATGGGATGCCTTCCTGACATTGCCATGGCATTTGTAAATTGCCATGGTGCTGGTGGGTGTGCCTCTTAGCATGCTAATGCATTATAATTAGTGTATAATGAGCAGTAAGAACAACCAGAGGTCACTCTGGTCACCATCTTGGTTTTGGTGGGTTTTGGCCAGCTTCTTTACTGCAAACTCTTTTATCAGTAAGGTCTTTATGATCTGTATCCTGTGCAACATCCTATGTCATTCTGCGACTGAGAATGCCTAACCTCCTGGGAATGCATCCCAGCAAGTCTCAGCCTTATTTTACCTAGCCCCTATTCAAGATGAAGTTGCTCTGCTTCAGATGCCTCTGACAGGGATAATTTTTTAACAGGTTCTGCATTATAACGTAGGTAAGCTCCACAACCCACGGCTCACTGTTCAGATAATATAAGCATTGTTGAAAAGCTCCAGAAGAAAGTTAAGCATTAATTCAGAGTACATGAGTAGCTATTCTTGGATAACCAGGTAACATCTGCCAGTTTACCTTTAACTGTAGTATGTTACCAAAAATTTTTCCCAGAATTAAAAAAAATCATTGCCAAGGTATAATGCTGCAGTAATTTCATTAATACTGTAGGAAAAAGAAATAAACTTATTTTTTCCTTGAGTCTCTGAAAATGACCTTGAGTTACATTCATTAATTTTTTTGTTTGTCAATGATAAAATGGTAAAAGATACTTCCTCAAGGAAAACGGTAACAACAATTATGAGGGTATCATAGAGAACTTTTAGACTAAAGAAAGAGACTGCATATCATTAATTCTCACTCCGATATATTTACTAGATTTCCAGTGTCATATATGTGGGTATTTCACAAAATCTCATTGTTTTCTTAAATTCTCAGAACTACCTGATTTAATTTTGTCCAAAACTTACTTCTGAAAGGTACTTACAAACTACTCCTTATGTCAAAATTATAAATTTCAGTTACTAATTTTGCCATTGCATACACCCATAAAACTTCCTTTTCAAATAATTTTATTTTGATACTAATTGCCATTTTACTCAACAAATTCAATCATGTAATATTAACAAGTACTTTAAATTAAAGTGAGAAATTCTCAACCCTATTCCTTTTTGCTTCTTATGCTATCTAGAGTGATTTTTCGGGACACCATTTAATACTATGTCAAACTTAAATTGTCAACAGACTTAGGTATATCTTTAACAAATATTTTATACAGTAAAATATTGTAAACCTTTGTTCCTGCATTCACTTTCATAACACTTAAATGCTTCTTAAAACTAGAGTCAGTTTAGCTATATTATAATATCTTGTAAAATTGTATAGTAGATTATTAAACATATGAGAACTAAACAAACATGTAGAGTATAAAATCTTCAGATTTAAAATGGCATAGTAATACATCACTGGACTTTCTCTTCTTCAATAGCATAATATTGCTAATGAGAAAAATTTAAAACACTGTTGAATATACCATTTGAAAAAAAATGAGGAGACATCTATAACCTGAAACACAATATGTAAGAGGGAGTGCTGTATGCAGTGATCTCCAAAGAAGGATGTGAAAAAAGGCTAATAGAGGATGCTAATAATCATAGGTATCATTCAAAATTCAATGGCACTCACCTGATCAAAATAAGTGAGTATCACACACCTAGGAGTACAACCAACAGTCCTCTTTTGGACAGTAGGAAAATATTTGACACTTAGCCGGAAGCAGAGTATGTGGAACATAGAGAATATGAAACTATTATAAATATAAGGTCTACTTTTAAGTAGAGGAGACAGATGGTATAGTAATCATCATAAAATACAGAATTACAAAAAACAAAAATAAGTAAACAAAAATTTTTAAAAAGCAATAAAAATGGAAGGTTAGCAAATGAGAGTCAGCATAAACATTAACTGGTATTTTACTGGGACCATGACTACTCATCCAGAAACTACATTTCCCAGCTTCTCTTGTGACTTAGTGTGGACAAATAACTAAAATCATTGTCATGGAAATACGTTACTTACAAAAAAAGAAAGACTGCTTTCCTCCCCTTCCTGTAGACTGGAATACAGATATAAAATTCAGCCAGCTTCAGTATTTTAAGAGATCCCAGAACAATAATATCGAAGGGACCTGGTGCTTAGGTGACCTTCTGAAAATTAACTTACATATTTTCTACGTACTGATATTTGAAATAGAATTAAACCTCAATCTTCCTTTGACCACAGTACCTTAGGATTTCTCTGTTAAAGTCTGAATCCTAACTAGAACAGCTTGCACATTGTTCAAAATGGTACACTGTGTCCCAGGAAATACTGACCCAGAAACAGCAACATCAAGATAGGGCATAATAAAGTTATGAAACTTCAAAGATAAGGAGAGAATCCATTGGACATGAAATCAAAAGATAAAGTCACCCATCAGGAAAAAAATCAGGCTGATTTTAAACTTCTTTATAATATTCAATGGTGCCATATCTACAAAATTCCAAAAAAGGAATCTGAAACCCAATAGTGTCATAATTTTGTCTTAAGATTTCCTTCAAATGTTTTCCTTTAAAAATAAATATAATGGCTTTTATTGTATAGATTTTCACTTTGAGAAGGCTATATGTTCCTATGATAACAATCCATAATATTCAAGGAGATTTAAAAAGTGAAAATTTTCCTCTATCTAACCACTCATTTCTCCCTGATGAGAATCAATGTTATCTGTTACTTGCATGTTCCTTAAAGATATATTACACGATATGTGCAAACTAACAGGTTCATATGTTTTCATTTTTTATCTAAATGTAAGATTATCTACTGAAAGTTAAAGGGTTAAAAAAACAAAGCTTTCACTCTCCATTCATAATATAAACATATTGACACAGGAAGATATTTCACAATCTGTAAATAAATCAGAAGATGAATGATACAGATCTCCAGACTTTAATAATGATGGAGAAATTGAGTATGCATTTGAAATATCAAATTGACAATCTACGGGTGACCATATTCTAGATGAATTTTTGCTAATTCAAGAATTGTTCAGTGAACAACATATTGTAATGACTAAATTAAAATATGCTATTCTCATTCAGTGAGAAGGATTTTACCAAGCAGAATTTTATAATAATGACATAATAATTGAACTCTTCTGTCTAGAACTGTGGTGATAGAAATATGACTTTATGATTTTGCCAAAAAGCATTAAACTGTATACTGTAGAGAGTAAAATTTGCTTCATAAAAATAATTTTTTAAGCCATAGCTGCTGGCACACACAAGTGATCATGGATCCCACTGCCACTACCCTGACAAAGTGCTTCAGCTTTTTAGCACCACCCATTGCAATGTTGTGCCCAGTGGACCAGGAACACCACAGCCCCTTCATCGCAGCTGGTTGCTAAACTTAGAGGGCCAGAGAGCAAAACTGGGGCCCTGGTACTAGTCCTCAGTGTTAGAACATGTAGCACAGGAATGCTGAGATGATCTTTGGTCAACTAAAATATTCCAGAAATGAAGCTACTCAACTAAACGCACCTTAAACCACAATCAAACCCACAAGGACATAAAATAAGATAGATATAAGCAAGTGAAAATTATAATAACTTCAAAGATTGAAGGAACCTCAGCCTAGACAGATGAGAAAGAACCAGTGCAAGAACTCTGGCAACTCAAAAAGCCAGAATGTCTTCTCACCTCTGAACAACTGCATTAGTTCCCAGAAGTGGTTCTTAGCAAGCCTGAAGTGACAGAAATAGATTTCAAAATATAGATAGGAATGAAGATCACCAAAATCCAAGAGAAAGTTGAAGCTCAATCCAAGGAATCAAAGGAAGACAATAAAACAATACAGGAGAGGAAAGATGAAATGACAACTTAAAGAAAGAAACAAACTGATCTAACAGACCTGAGAAAATTACTTGAAGAATTCAATAATACCATCACAGGCTTTAACAGCAGAATTGACCAAATTCAGGAAAGAATCACAGAGCTTGATTACCAGTTCTCTGAAATAATTCAGTCACACAAAAGTAAAGAAAAAAAAAACAAAAACAGGAGTAAACAAAACCTCTGAGAAATATGAGATCATTCAAAGAGACCAAATCTATAACTCATTGGTATCCCTGAAGGAGAGGGAGAGCAAGAAAGCAAGTTGGAAAACATAGATGAGGCTACTGTCTATGAAAATTTTCCCAACATCACTAGTGAGGCCAACATTCAAATTCAGGAAATGGAGAGAACCCCTACAAGATACTATACAAGATGACCATCCTCATGACACATAGTCATCAGTTTCTCCATGGTCAAAATGAGAGAAAAAATGTTAAAAGGCAGCTAGAGAGAAGCAGCAGGTCACCTACAAAGGGAACTCTGTCAGACTAATAGTAGGACCTTTCAGCAGAAACCCTACAAGCCTGAAGAGACTGAGGCTTATACTCAGCATTCTTAAGCAAAAAAAAAAAAAAAAAAAAAAAAAAAATCCAATAAAGAATTTTATACTCAAAGGAGAAATAAGATCATTTTAAGACAAGCAAGTGCACAGAGAATTCATTACCACCAAACCTGCCTTACAAGAGGTTCTTAAATATGGAAACAAAAACTGTTACTGGCTACCACAAAAATGTGCTTCAGTGCATACACCATTGGCACTATAAAGCATCCACACAATCAAGTCTGCGTAGTAACTAGCTAACTATATGACAGGAGCAAATCTGCATATATCAATATTAACCTTGAATGTAAACAGGCTAACTGCCCTAATTAAAAAGCACAGAGTGGCAATTGGATAAAGAAGCAAGACATTTCTGTATGCTGTCTTCAGGAGACTCATCTCACATACAATGACACCCACAGCTTAAAAGTAAAGGAATAGAGAACAATCTGCAAAGCTAATTGATATAGTGTGTATATTTATCCCTGCCCAAAACTCATGTTGAATTATAATATCTCACACTGAAAATGGGGCCTGGTGGGAGGTGTCTGGATCATTGGGGCAGATCCCTCTCATGGCTTACTGCTGACTTTGTGATAGTAAGTTCTCAAAAGAACTGGTCATGTAAAAGTGTGTGGCACCTCCCTCCACATACTCTATCTCTCTTAATCCCACTTCATGATGCAATGTGCCTGCTCCCCATTTGCCTTCCTCCATGATTGTAAGCTTTCTGAGGCTCCTGAGAATCCAAGAGGATGCCAGTAGCACAATTCCTATAAAGCCCACAGAACCATGATCCAACCAAACCCCTTTTCTTTATAAATTACCAAGTCTCTAGTCTTTTTTAATAGCAATTCATGAATGGCCTAATACACAAACAGAAAGCAGAAAAAAGCAGGGATTGCTGTTCTACTTTCAAACAAAATAGACTGTATGTCAACAACTGTCAGAAAGAACAAAGGATTTGGGCCATTACATAATGGTAAAGAGTTTAATTCAAGAGAAGACATAACTGTCCTAAATATATATGTACACAACACAAGGATACACAAATTTATAAAACAAGATCTTAGAGATTTACAAAGAGACTTAGATGACCATGCAATAATTGGGGGAGGTGTCAAACCTCACTGGAAGTATTAGACAGATCATCCAGGCAGAAAACCCACAAAGATATTCAGGTATTCAACTCAGCACTTGAAAAAATGGATATAATAGATGTCTCCAAAACTCTCCAACACAAAACAACAGAATATACATTCTTCTGCTCTGCACATGGCATATACGCTAAAATCAACCACACAATCAGCCTTTAGACAATCAATTCAAAACATCAAAATCACACCAACCACCCCTCAGACCATAGCACAATAAAAATAGGAATAAGCACTAAGGAAATCATGCCAAAGCTTACAATTTCATGAAAATTATCCAGCTCCTGAATGAATTTTGAGGTAAACAATAAAATTATAGCAAAAATCAAGAAATTATTTGAAACTAGTGAAAACAAAGATACAACATACCAGAATCTCTGGGACACCACTAAAGCAGTGATAAAAGAAAGTGTTAGCACTAAATGCACACATCAAAAAGTTAGAAAGTTCTCAAATGGACAATCTAACATCACCATAGAAGAACTAAAGAAATAAGAGCAAACCAACCTCAAAGCTAGCATAAAAGTAATAACTAAAATCAGAGCTGAACTGAAGGAAATTAAGATGAGAAAAACCATACAAAAGCTCAATGATTCCAGGAGATTGTTATTTGAAAGAATAAAATAAGATAGATAGGTTACTAGCTAAACAAATAAAGATAACAAAAGAGAAGATCCAAATGAATATAATCAGAAATGACAAAGAAGACATTACCACTAACCTCACAGAAATTCAAAAAACTGTCAGGCTACTATGAAGACCTCTATGCACACACACTAGAAAACCTAGAAGGAATGAATAAATTCTTGGAAGCATACAACCTCCTAAAATTGAACCAGAAAGACATTGAATTCCTGAGTAGACCAATAATAAGTTCCAAAATTGAATCAATAATAAAAAGCCTACCAACCAGAAAAAGCCCAAGACCAGAGGGATTCACAGCCAAATTCTACTAAATTGTATAAAGAACAGCTGGTACCACTCCTACGAAAACGATTCCAAAAAAATTGAGAAGAGGGCTTCCTTCCTAACTTATTCTATGAGGCTAGAATCACCCTGATATCAAATGCTGGCAGAGACACAACAAAGAAGAAAACTTCAGGATAAAATCCTTGATGAACTTTGATGCAAAAATCCTCACCAAATTACAAAGCAGATTCAGCAGCAAAACAAAAAGCTAATCCACCACAATTAAGTGGGCCTTATCCCCAGAATGCAAGGTTGGTTCAACATAGGCTGATCAGTAAATGTAATTCATCACATAAACTTAAGAGCCATCAATGACAAACCCACAGCCAACATCATACTCAATAAGGAAAATCTGGAAGAATTCCCTTTGAGAACAGGAGCAAGACAAGGATGACCACTCTCACCATTTCCATTCAACATAGTATTGGACGTTGTATTCATAGCAATCAGGCAAGAATAGAAAAATAAAAGGCATCCAAACAGGGAAGGAGGAAGTCCAACTGTCTCTGTTTGCAGACAATATGATCTTATACCTAGGAAACCCTATAGTCTCTTCCAAAAATCTCCTAGATCTGATAACTTCAGCAAACTTTCAGGATAAAAATCAACATACAATAAAATTTAGCCTTTCTATATACCAACAACATCCAAGCTGAGAGCCAAATCAAGAATGCAATTTATTAACAATAGTCACAAAAAGAATAAAATACCTAGAACTACAATTAACCAGGGAGGTGAAAAGTCTCTGCAACAGGAAATACAAAACATTGCTGAAAGAAATCAGAGATGACACGAACAAATGGAAAAACCTTCCATGCTCATGGATAGGAAGAGTCAACCTTGTTAAAATAGCCATGCTACCCAAAGGAATTCACACATTCAATACCATTTCTCTCAAACTACCAATGACATTCTTAACAGAGTTAGCAAAAAAAAAAAAAAAAATTAAACACATATGAAATCACAAATGAGCCTGCATAGCTAAGACAAACCTAAGCAAAAAGAACAAAGCCAGAGGCATCACTTTACCCAATTTCAAACAAAGCTACAGTAACCAAAACAGTGTGGTACCGACACAAAAACAGACATGTAGACAAATGGAACAGAATAGAGAGCTCAGAAATAATGCTGCATATCTACAACCATCTTACCTGCAACAAACCTGACAAAAACAAGCAATAGGGAAAGAACTCCCTATTCAGTAACTGGTGCTTGGATAACTGGCTAGCATATGCAGAAGACTGAAACTGGACCCCTTCCATACACCATATAGAAAAATTAACCAAAAATGGATGAAGGACTTAAATGTAAAACCACTAAGTGTAAAAACCCTGGAAGATAACCTAGGAAATACCATTATGGACATAGGCCCTGGCAAAGATTTCATGATGAAGACAACAAAAGTGATTGCAACAAAATCAATAATTGACCAATGGAAGAGCTCCTACACAGCAGATAGACTATCAACAGAGTAAATAGACAACCTACAGAATAGGAGAAATATTTTCAAACTATGCATTCAACAAGGTCCAATATTCAGAATCTATAAGGAACTTAAACATATTAAGTAGCAAAAAGTAAATCTAAGACCTTAACAAAGTTGCATATATATGTCCCTGAACCTAAAATAAAAATAAATAATCCCATTACAATGTGAGTAAAGACAAACAGACCCATCTTATACTGGTCACATGAAGATATACATGCAGCCAACACACATATGACAAATGCTCAACATCACTAATTATTAGAGAAATACAAATCAAAATCACAATAAAATACCATCTCATACCAGTCAGAATGGCTATTATCAAAAAGTCAAAAATAGCAGATGCTGGCAAGGCTATGGATAAAATAGAATGCTTATACACTGCTGGAGGAAGTGTAAATTAGCTCAGCCACGGAGGAAAGGTGTTTGGCAGTTTCTCAAAGAACTTAAAACAGAATTACCATTCAATCCAGCAACCCCGCTGCTGAGTATACACCCAAAGGAACATAAATACTTCTACCATAAAGACACATGCATACATATGTTCGCTGCACCACTATTCACAATATAAAGATGTGGATCAACCTAGATGCCCATTATTAGTAGACAGGATAAAGAAACTATGGGATCATGGAATACTATGCAGCCATATAAATGAAGATCATGTCCTTTGCAGTAACACAGATGGAGCTGGAGGCCATTATCTTTAGCAAACTAATGCAGAAACAGAAAACCAAATACCATGTGTTCTCACTTATAAGTGGGAACTAAACATAGACTACACATGGACACAAAGAAGGGAACAACAAACACCAGACCTATCTGAGAGTGGAGGGTGGGAGGAAGGTGAGGATAGAAAAACTACCTATTGGGTACTATGTTTATTACCCGGGTGACTAAATAATCTGTACACCAAACCCCTATGAAACACAATTTGCCTATACAACAAAGTTGCACATGTGTCCCTGAACCTAAAATAAAAGTTAAATAAAAATAAATAAAAAATAAAAATTAAGTTTCAAGTCATAAAAATAATTTGTATAAAAATAAGCATATTGTGGGAATTCAGGAATGAATGCAGACTATGAAAAAAATCTAACTTTATTACAAACATATGACAAACTTCTGGAAGGTTTTGGTAAAAAAGCGCTGACTTTAAGTTTGTAAAACAGTGTTTATGCTAGATGAATATTATAAGTTACAAGACAGGAGTATTTGTTTGTAAACATGGTACTTTAGTTGGTTAATTTGTTTCTTGCGGGTGTATGTGTTTGTAATTATGAAACTACTTCACATGTATATAATGAATGGACAAAGAAGTAAATGTAAATGATCATAATATGAGGCAAGTTCCTCACTCTTAGAGAAAGAAATGACAAATAAGCAAGAAAGATGACTAGAATGAACCTTGTGTTTCTGGATTAGGATTGAAGAGCTCCAAATGAGCACATGTTTAATGTAATATATATGTACAGAGAGTGATAGATACAGAAATAAAAACAGATCTATGTGCATATATGGACTTAAACCCATGCATAAATAACTAAAATTATAATACAGCCTATAGTTTGATTATTAGTATTATATCAATGTCAACTTCTTAGTTTTGATAAATATACCATAGCTATGTAAGATGATAATAGAGGAAGTGGGATTAAAGCTATATAGGAACTCTTGGTAGTATGCATGAAACTCTTCTGTAAATTAAAATATATTTCACAATATAAATTTTTAAATAAGTGAAGGGAGAAAAATCTATGTAAAATAATCTCTGCAATAAAAATATATGAAATATGTCAGCAGAATGTTAGTTATCCACAATTTTTAATAGCGTACACTTTCAATAATCATTAGGTAAAATGCATTTCTACCTGAACTTGATTATGTTTAATGAAGGAAAACCCACAGTTATTTCTTTTGTATTTATTTAAAATTATATGTCTATTCTATGTAGTTAATGCTGAAAGCTATATTCTGAAATTATTTTCCAAACACCTATGCACAAAATCTTTAGGAACACATTATTCTATTATTTCTGTAAGTGCTAATTTTAACCCAGCTACAGATTACTTGTAATTTTCTGTTTGTAAAAGTTAAGTTGAAAATTAATAAGATGTTCTATTCTAGGCATTCAAAGTAAAAATGTGTCTTTTCCTTCTTTGCTTTAACAGTATTTTTAAAATAAGAAACATTTAATTCTATAATTTTATGTAGTACAAAGAAATAGTCTCTCCTAAAAAACTTCCAAATTATTTTATTCATATAAATTTATAATGAGTAAATATTTACAAGCCAGCAGTGTGATTAGCTTCATCAAAAATATCATATGTACAACATTTTTACAATGTCACTCCATAAATAATCCCACCAAAATAGTTTCTGTTGAGTATATATTATTTGTTGCTCATGTTTGTAGGCAAAGAAGGGAAATTCAGAGAAGCGGAAATAAATGTTCTTCCCTAAATAGTTTAGTATGTTCTTGAATAGAAAGACTAATATGTATATTAAATAGTTTTAGGTAAAATACAAGCAGAATACATGTCCAAATGATGCATTGCGGAATCCTCTGTTTTATTGGATTGATGCAAGGTAAGAATTCCACATACCATTACCCACAGTTTTACATAAGATAATGCTGTCTTTTCTTAATCAATGGCTTATGGAAATTGTACCAATTATTCAGAGCCTGTCAGTTTTAAGACAAATTAAACAGATAATATCTGCATAGCAAATAATTTTTCCTCAAACTGCATTATTTACTGTCTAACTAGAAATCCAAATTTGTCCTCTTGGACAGAACATTGTATACTGCAGAATAAGGGGCCAGGATACCTTTCAAAATTATCAGTTTCTAGCCTTCAGGTTATATCTTGCAAGAAATTGCATTTTTTCTCCACTGTATTTTGAAACTGGCGAACAATTTTAAAAAGTGTATGCTCTATAGTACGTTAGATAAAGATGATAGTGGAATTATAATCTGAAATCTTTAGAACGAGCTTTCTAGGTAGAGTTAATGTTACATAACTACTCATCTGCAGTTTATTTCTGTGTAAATTGTTCTTTTCAAAATGGTCAAGAATATATGTAAACACTAAAATCTAAAATATATGAAAAAAGAACATCAAAGTCAAGCTTTTTTTTTTTTACTAAATATTATGGTCCATTATGATTATGAGCAGTCATATGTATATATAAATATAGCTTATCCCCAATGAGATATTTTATAAATTTCCACAACTCTGTAATTTCAATAACATATTTAAAAATATATATTATATGAAAATCAATATTGGAATACATTTTTTCAGAAAGTAATTTCTCATACCTCCCTCTCTAGATATTTTTATCACCTACCAATTTTCACAAAATATGTGATAGTACTGTTCATTTCTTCTACAATCATATTTAGAATTTCAATATAAATTAATGAAGAATTATCATTTTAATATCATGAGCAACTATTTTAAAATTGAATAAAATATCAAATAAAAATGAGAATCTAAACCAGTCTTAAAACCACAGCCAAATATGAGCAGTAAAAAAATAAAGAATCTTATGAATTTCATGGATTAGTGCAGGATCAAATAATAGAGGCAAAGAAAGTGGGTGGCCATTTTCCATCTCTTGACTACTCTGTTTCCTAGGAAACAAAGACTGAATGATTGCATAAATGACCCTAGGCCTGTGGATTTAAATTCATGAAATTATATAGGACTGTAATCTATGCAGAACAAGAAAGGTAATTGTTAGGATGACTGTTTATTAGGTAAAATGGAAAAGTTTAAAATACTTATTTTACTTTCCAAGAGTTTTGAAAAAAGATTATTACTAAAATATTCTCTTATTAAAGTCTCTGTCCTATCAAATCATGAATTACATTACAACCAGTCAACTGGCATGCTGATTAATCACCTTTATTTAAACGTTTCTATATAGGAGGCTATTCACTGGCTCAACTCTTGTTTCTACCGGTAGAGCTAAACTTGATTCCAACATATATCCAGATGGTACCAGTAGGATATCATTTTGTCTAGCAGCAAAGAGTTTATTAAATGGCCTCTGTCATCTGGACTTCCAGCAAAACTAATCCTGAATAAGAAGCCGCAGAGTGCCTTCACAGAATTTGACAAATACATCTCTCATAAATTTTACAGCCTCTAAGAGCCTGGTGATGTATTACCTATGATCAGTATAATAACCCTCTGTGAAAATATCAAGTAATTACTAAAAGGATAAAAGCATTTGCCTCCTCTTGAGAAAATAACCTAAGACTTCTCAAAGAAATTCTTGCAGCAGCTTAAAGAGCATGTCGTTTCATGTAGATGATTCCATTACAAGTTTTTGTTGTGATTAATACTTAATATTTCTAGTTATTTTCTCTTTGAGTTGTGTGTGTTTTATTATAAGGTAATTGAATAAAGCATCACGAGTTAAGTGAGATGATGAAAATAAAATTAAAGATTATTATTTTTTAAATTTTGTAAGTTTAATCTTTAGAAATAGTTATATATGTATTATCATATATATTAAAATAATGAAAGTAATAACCATGAGTGATAATCTCTTATAATAACTACTATGGTTTTGGTTAAAAAATAATACAATTACTTATTCACAAATATTCATATGGAAGGCACTGTTCTAAGTTCTTAGAATTTTATATATGTATAACAAAAAATTGCCCATAAAGAATTTTTAAAATATGTATATATTATGCAATCTAAAATGATTAGTTGTAGTTATCTTAAAATGGAAATTAAAAACTTGATATGATAATTATTAGATGAATATATTTTATCATGCTATATGTAACTCGGAGCACCCAATGTACCTAATGATTATTCTTCTCCTTTTTTTCATCTTGGATATAATAAATTATATTGAAATATTTAGGAATGAGAATGGCTGAAGATATAAACCTGAAAAGGCAAAAATTGCAATGTAGAAAACTGTGTTTTTAAGAACACTTTTGGAATTATAGAAAAATTATAAAGAAAGTTCACAGTTACCATGGACATTGTCCATCCTGTTTCTCCTCTTATTAATCTCTTAAGCCAGCATAGTAATTTTGAGATAATTAACCAGTCAACATAAATACATTATTGCCAACTAGCATGCTTACTTTTTTTGCTTCAGGATCCTATCCAGGATATCACATTACATTTAATTGTCTTATATCTTTAGGTTCTTCTTGGCTGTGGCTGATTTTCAGGTTATATATATATATATATATAACTGTAAATGTATATTTTATTACTGCTGAGATATTTTTTAAACAAAGTCATCAGTTAGGATTTGTGTAATTTCCCCTAAATTAGAAAGGATTTTGGGATTGTTAGTAGGAAGACCACAGAGGTAAAGTTCCATTTTTAGTAAATTATATCAAGGGTGCATAGTATCTACATGCCTTATCACAATTGATGTTATCCTTGATCACCTGGTTAAGGTAGTGGTTATTATGTTTCCGCATTATAAAGATTCTCTTTCTTCCCATTTTATATACTGTATATTTTGGAAGGAAGTAACTGTGTAACCCACACCAAAAGAAAGGGGTGTTTTGCTTCCTGTCCTAAAGAATGGAGTATCTATTTAGGATTGTTTTAAATTCTTCAGCATGGGATATCTGTCTATTCTCTTCCACTTGTTTACTTATTCAGCATTTATTTATTTATATTAGTATAGACTTATGAATATTTATTGTATACTTTGCATTATAATCCAGAACTACCTTATTTATTTGGTTCAAATTTTCCAGGTTTGACCACTGGGAGATATTTCAGTTGGTTACTGTGTCCCTTTGTAATACCCCTATAGATTTTTTTTATTGTCCCCTAACTTTCTGGCACTATCAGATGCTCCAGGCCCATTTTGCTCAGATTTGGGTCTGATTATAAATAGTATTTTAATATAAAATTCAAATTGTTAGTTGCTTATATATAGAAAAGCAATTATCTTTTTATTAATCTTGTGACCTTTCTATATTTGCTTATTATTTCAAAGAGGATTTTGTGTTGATTTTTGGGATTTTTACATAGAAAAGTATGTCAGGTAAGAATAAAAGAGTTTTATTTCTTCCTCTCAATCTGTGTACCATTTATTTCCTTTTCTTTTCTATCACACTAAAAAAATCTAGTAAGACGTTGGTTAGAAATGGTGAGAGAGGCCATCCTTCTCTTATGTCTTAGTTTAGGCTGCCTAACAAAATATCACACAGTGGGTAACGTAAAAATGTATTTCACAGTTCTGGAACTGGGAAATCTAAAATCAAGGTGTCTGCAAAGTCAGTGTCTGATAAGTGTCCTGGTTTGCAGAGAGCCACCTTCTTGCCGAATCCTAATAAAGCTGAGACACAGAGCTCTGGTCTCTACACCTTCTTAGAAAGGCACTAAGGCATCATGGGGACTCGACCTTCGTGACTTCTTCTAAGTCTAATTAGGCCCCACCTCCAAATACCATCACACTGGGGCTTAAGGCTTCAACAGATGAATTTTAGGAGAGCACATATCTTTAGTCCACAGTACCTTATATCTTATCTTAGGCTCATAGCCTTCAGTTCCTCAAGATTAAGTATGATCTTAGCTGCAGTTTTTATTATAGATATTTTATTTTGTTTTGTTTTCTATCAACTCTAGGAAGTTATCCTGTATTTCTAGTTAGCTATAATTTTTTTTTAAATCATGAATAGGTGTTGAATTATGTGAAATGCCTTTTTGGCCTTAATTGATACAATTATATAACTTTTTTTTATTCAGTTGATGTAGTGGATTATATTATTTGATTCTCAAATTTTGACCCAGGCTTGTGATACCTAGAATAAATTCCACTTGGTCTGTGTGCGTGTGTGTGTGTGTAGTGGTAAAAATAACATAACATTACATTTACCGTCTTAACTATTTTTTAAATGTATAGTTCAGTAGTGTTAAGTATAGTTACATGCTCATGTAATACACCCCTAGAACTTTTTCATCTTGCAAAATAGAAACTCTATACCCACTAAACACTAAATCCTTCTCTCATATCTTCGGCACCTACCTACTTGTGCTTCTGTAATTTTGGCCATGGAGCATAATTTATATATATATATTTTTTTTTTTTTTTTTTTTTTTTTTGAGACGGAGTCTCGCTCTGTCGCCCGGGCTGGAGTGCAGTGGCGGGATCTCGGCTCGCTGCAAGCTCCGCCTCCCGGGTTCACGCCATTCTCCTGCCTCAGACTCCCAAGTAGCTGGGACTACAGGCGCCCGCCACTACGCCCGGCTAATTTTTTGTATTTTTAGTAGAGACGGGGTTTCACCGTTTTAGCCGGGATGGTCTCGATCTCCTGACCTCGTGATCCGCCCGCCTCGGCCTCCCAAAGTGCTGGGTATATATTGTTGAATAATACATGCTCACATTTTGTTGTGCACTTTTGCATCTATGTTAATTAAAGACATTGATCTGTAGTTTTTATTTATTGAAATTCCTTTATCTGATTTCGGTATTACCATAATGGTGATCTCATAGAATGAGTTAGTAAGTTCTCCATGTGCTTTATATTTTGGAATGGATGCTAAAGCTAACATAATTACTTCCCTAAATGTTTGGTAGAATTCACCAGTGAAACCATCTGAGACTTTTGCTTTCCTTTTTTGGAGGGTTATTAGTTATTGATTCAGTTTCTTTCATAAATACCAATATGTTTGGGTTATCTGTTTTTCTTTGTGTGTGTTCTGGTAGTTTTGTACCTAATTCAATCAGTTCATCTATTTTCATTGCTCATAGTAGTCTATTAATATTATTTTAATATCAATGAGCTGAAAGGTGATGACATCTCTTTAATTTATGGCATTGTTAATTTGTTTCTTCTCTTTGTATGTTGGTTAGTCTGGTTAGAGCCTTATCAATTTTATTAATATTTTAATTTCACTGATTTTCTCTATTGCTTTCCTGTTTTTATTTTCATTGAGTTCTGCTCTTTTTTTTAATTCTTTTAATCTGCTTGCTAGAGGCTTAAATTGCTATTTTTTTTCCTCTTTCTCTCCAGCTCGGATTATTGATTTAACATCTTTCCTCTTTTCAATTATGTGTTCACAGATTTTACTCTAAGTACTGCTTTCTCTGCACCCACACATTTTGATATGTTGTCATTTCATTCTCTTTTAGCTCAACGTGTGTTTTAAATTTCACTTGAGACTTCTTTGATGCATGTGTTATTTAGAATTGTGATGTTTAATCTCAAAACATTTGGAGATTTTTTGAAGTCACTTTTTGTTATTGATTTATAGTTTAATTGTGGTTTGACAATACACTTTGTATAATTTGTCAAAAGAGAAACAGATCTGGACTTAGGTTAGGTGAGATTTTATTTGAAAGAATCATTGCAATGGGGGAAAGGGCCTATTGCAAAGGGAGAGTGGGAAGATATAGCTGCAGACTATGCGGTCTTCAAGTCTCAAATGTTAAGTACAGAAGGGATTTCTCTGTATAAGGAGCAGTAAACAAGGCTAGAAAAGACCTCCTGTGAGGAAGGGGTATGAGCTAGGATGGAGAGATCAGACAACAGTTAATGTTTTATCTTGACTTCAGTCTGTACTCAGGAAAGGCCACTGAAAATGCCTTGTAGGCTGGCTGATATAGAGAACGAGACACATTTCAGGGGCCTGGCAGATGAAGCAAAACTCAAAAAAGTTTTGATGAGCATGCATTTTGTTCTGATTGATCAAAGAAAAAGTTCAGGTAACAATTTTTGATGTGAAGATAGAAATCTGGAGGGTTTTGTCTTGCCTTTTATATGTAAACAAGGGGACCTCTATACATTTTACCTTCATGAGATGGGGAAAGGTGTTTCTTTTGCAGTAATTCATTACCAGTGACAACAAAGGGTAGAGGTGGGAGAGTATTGATCGTCACTGTTTTCTAGTACCACTGGGCTCAGGCAAAACTTAACATTGTCAACTTCTATTATTTTTAATTTGTTCAAGTTCTGTCTTGTGTCCCAGAATGTGGTCTATCTTGAAGAACATTCAATATAAATTTGAGAAGAATATACTTTCAGTTGCTGTTGGATGGAATATTTAATATTTAATAATTTTTTAGATTAATTTGATTGATAGTACAGTTCAAGACAACTAAGTCCTTACTGATTCACAGATCTGTCAGTTACCATTGAGTTAATTAATTTATATTTACTAATTTACATGTCATTTTACATGTCTAATTTACATGTCTTTTAAATTAGAAATTTTTTTATTATAGATGTCCTTTTAGATTTTACTTGTATTCCATACTTTGAAATAATCACCCAATAGTATCTTACAATTCTAGCATTTGTCTGAATCTGAGCATCATCTTGTAGAGTCTAAAACTTCAGTAGGAAACTAATGTTGTATGACTTATTAATACATTTTCCATTCAAATATTAATTTCAGAAGGACGTCTAAATAAAAATGGATAATCTTTATTTGGCTAATTTGAATTAATCTGCCTTTATGTTTGAAAAGAATCCTCTGAGATTGCATGAAAGATGACATGAGATACATTGGTCTTTTGGCCCCATTTATTAATTGATTGTATTCTATATTAGCTGTTTGACTACTGTTCTATTCTATTGTTAGATTTCTTCATCATTTATTGTAGAAACAGCCAATTTTTAAATTCCTGTAATATGAGACCTTTTTTATTATTTAAATAATTATTTAAATAATAATAAATAATTATTATTTAATTAAATAAATAAATAATAATAAATAAATAGTAAATAAATAAATAAATAAATAATAAATAAATAATTTATTGTTTAAATTATTGTTACCTAACGTTAATAAATCCAGATAAGCTGGTCCTTAAAAAATAAATACTAATACAAATAAAAATTATCTTTCACTATTGAAAGATAATTTCTTGACATAAACAATTCAAAATTTTTCTTCCAAAACTTAAAATATGTCACTCCACTCTGTTCTTGTTGCATGGTTTCCAATGATGTCTGTTGTAATTCTTACACTTCTTCCTCTATAGGTAAAATATTTTTGGATTTTTGCTAGTCTAGCTTTTTTCTAGAATCTTTTTGTTTTTAGTGTTCTGCAGTTTGAATATTGTATGAGTAGGTGATTTTTTTTTGTTTAAATTTTTGTTGTTGTTTTGTTTGTTTGTTTAAATGTGTGTTAAACCTCTTGTATGATGTTTTCTGAAGTCTGTCAGTCTGTAGTTTAGTGTCTGCTAATAATGTTGAGGAATTGTCAGTCATTAGTATTCTTTTCCCCTGAAGTAAAGGCCTTTGTTATAGAGAATGCTCTGGGAATATTTCAATAAGTGATTACTTTTCTGCTTCCTTTTCTATAGTTATGAGATGATTTTCCTTGGCTCTTCACCATGAGAACAT
Source organism: Homo sapiens (assembly GCF_000001405.40). Classification (NCBI taxonomy): domain Eukaryota; kingdom Metazoa; phylum Chordata; class Mammalia; order Primates; family Hominidae; genus Homo; species Homo sapiens. The sequence goes on along the minus strand of NC_000001.11, from coordinate 191,095,955 downwards.
CTTCAGATTCTTGAAGTAATCATAGTGAATACATGAGCACCCCTAAGATTGTACTTTCTAGGAGTTTCTAACTTTCATGCTAGTTCACACTGAGTATCCAGTGACTTATAAAAATAATCACTTAACTTTTCATTTGTTTATGGTTATATACTGGTTTCTGCTCCTGTTAAGAATACTTTATGAATAAGTGTAGCCTCCTGTCTCTCTAGATTTTATGGTGGTGGTAAGCCCTGCAACATCAATATTCTGATGGATCCAATAAAAGTTTTGATTTTTTCTTTGTATTTTCTTTGATATTTTCCTGTTGTAAAGATGGAAATGATGATATCCAAACTCTTTACAAAGTAGAATTGATATCAAAAATCCTCTGCAATTATTTTAATCTTAAAATTGATGGTATGTACTGCTACAACATTCTGACCCATTACCTGAAGAGAGCCAAACTTCTAAATCTGTTCAAGATTGTTGACAGCAAATAAAAATTTGGGATTCCTTAAGCCACACTCAGATTTGATAATTTTCTATAATGATGCACAGGACTAATTGAAACCTATTGTTCACATGAATATATTTATTGCAGAGAAAGGATACCAATTAGAACCATCCAAAGGGATAAATACATAGGAGTCTGGGAAGAGACCAAACGTGGAATTATGGTTGTTCGATCCTCATGAAGTCATGGACAGTATTCTCTCTCTCCAGACATAATGTGTGAAAATATGCATAGACTATAGCCAACAAGGGAAGCTAATTTAAGCTTTAAAGTTTGGAGATTTTACTGGGGTTTTATTATATAGTTTTAATTCATTCATTTCATACAGGGTTGAACTCAGTTTTCAGCACCTCCCACTGTAACAGAGGTCAGGATGCCATTATATGTTCTGGGGGCCCGCCATGAGTCACTTTCTTAGCATAAGTTTTAGATATTGTCAAGGGGCCCATTAAGAATAATAAAGATACTCCTATCAGTGTGGTGTAGCAGTTACCTCCCAGGACATAGGACAAAAACTGTCTTTCTTTGGTCAAGACCAAATTTCTCACCACATAAAGGTCATATCTTTTTTACTTTGATAATTGACCAATTAATATGCAGGGCTATAAAATGATTTGTATATTCATTTAACTATCTAGCTAATTAACAGTCGATTTCAACCGGGAAATCCCATTTGCTCAGGTGTAGGTTTGAACAGTGGCACAAGGAAATAGTGAAAAAAAAAAAAAAAGAGTAGATGTCTCACTGGGTAGAGGAGAATGTGGTCATAGTTTGGGTTGTACAAATGACTAAAACCTGACTGTAGATCTCTGGAAAGAAGGTAGTATCAAAAAGAAATCCTGTAAAATATGCATAATTATTTTTCTTAGGTATTTTAACAACTTGCAAAACCCCTATCTGCAATACTCAAGAAGACTAATTTCAGAATACTTATCTGTGAAGCTGGAAAGCCAAAATGAGATTTCAGAGCCCTCACAGTGCTGGAGGAACAAAGTTGAACTTTAAGCTCAGCCAGGGTGCAGTGTACTAGGTAAGAATCATCTGCTGAATTGAGACACTCCGATTACTATACCTGACGCGTAAGTATTGCATTAGTCTGTGTTCTCCAGAGGCACAGAATCAATAGGAAGTTATACACATGTATATACACATAATAGTTTCCTTTTAAAAACTGGCTCACATGATAATGAAGGCCAAAAATTCAAGATCAGCAGTCAGCCAGCTGGAGACGCAGGAAAACTGATAGTATATTCCTGAGTCTAATGAACTAAGAACCAAGAAAGCCCAGGATATAAATTCCAGCTCCCTTTATATTCCTTCAAAGGACATGATCTCATTTTTTTAATGTTTGTGTAGTATTCCATGGTGTATATGTACCACATTTTCTTTATCTAGTCCAACATTGATGGGCACCTAGGTAGATTCCATGTCTTTGCTATTTGATATTATGAGTTATTATATAAACTCAATAATGGGATTGCTGGGTGGAATAGTAGCTTTGTTTTAAGTTTTTTGAGACATCTCCAAACTGCCTCTTTCCACAGTAGTTGAACTAGTTTACATCCCCACTAGTGTTATATAAATATTCCCTTTTCCCAGCAGCATTGCCAATATTGGTTTGTTTTGGACCTTTTAATAGCCATTCTGATTGATGTAACATGATATTTCACTGTGATTTTGATTTGCATTTCTGTGATAGTAATGTGGAACACTTTTTTATATGTTTGTTGGCTGCTTGTATGTCTTCTTTGAATAAGTGGCTATGTCTTTTGACAATTTTTAAAGGGGTTATTTTTATGCCTGATAAATTGCTTAAGTTCCTACAGATTTTGGATATTATACTTCTGTCAGATGCATAGTTTGTAAATATTTTCTCCCATTGTGTAGGTTGTCTGTTTGCTCTGTTGATAGTTTCTTTTGTTGTGCAAATTTTCTGTAGTTTAATTAGGTTCTATCTGTCAATTTTTGTTTTTGTTGCAATTGCTTTAGAAGACTTAGTCATAAATTCTTTCCCAATGCCGATATCTAGAATGGTGTTTTCTAGGCTTTCTTTTAGAAATCTAACAGTTTGAGGTCTTACATTTAAATCTTTAATCCACATTGAGTTGGTTTTTGTATATTGTGAAAGATATGCATCCAGTTTCATTCTTCTACATGTGGCTAGCCAGCTACACCAGCACCATTTATTCAATAGAGGATCATTTCCTCATTGCTTATTTTGTCGCCTTTGTCAAAGACTTAATGGCTATAGGTGGGCAGCTTTATTTCTGGGTTCTCTATTCTGTTCCATTGATCTATGTGTCTGTTTTAGTGCCAGTACTATCCTTTCATCAGAGTAACATGCTAATGATCAGAGAAATGGATGTCAAAACCACTATGATATATCGTGTCAGACCCTTCAGAATGGCTAGTATTAAAAAGTCCAGAAACAAAAGATCCTGCCAAGGCTACAAAGAAAGGGGAATGCTTATACACTGTTGAAGGGAATGGAAATCAGTTCAGCCACTGTGAAAAGGAGTTTGAAGATTTCTCAAAAAATTTAAAACAGGGCTAACATTCCACCCAGCTATCCCATTACTGGGTTTATTTGCAAAAGAAAACAAATCATTCTACCAAAAACACACATGGACTGTCATATTCATAATAGCATTATTCACAATAGCGAAGACATGGAATCATCCTACTTGCCATCAATGGTGGATTGGATAAATGTTGTCCATGTACACAATGGAATACTATGCAGCCATATAAAAGAACAAAATCAGGCCCTTGGCAGCAATATAGATGCATCCAGAGGCCATTATTGTAAGCAAATTAACACAGGAAGAGAAAACCAAATGCCACGTGTTCTCACTTATAACTGGGTGTTAAACATTGGGTACTCATGGACATACAGATCACAACCACAAAAACTGGGAAACTAGGGGAAAGGAAAGGGTTGAAAAATTAGCCATTGGGTACTGTCCTCAGTACCTGGGTAATGAAATCATTCGTAATACAGTCTTTAGCATCACACAGTATACTCAGGTAGAAACTTGAACATGGACCTCCTGAATCCAAAGTAAAAGTTGAGGAAAAAGAAACAGGAAAAAAATTAAATCCAAAATGAGAAATGTATAACAAAGAATTGAAAAAAATGAGATAGAAAATGGAGACATGATCAAGTAAATCAATAAAACTAATTGCTTCTTTTTTAATTGTTCTGTCAAATTAATAGATCTTCAGTTAATTTGATTAAAAATAAAAGATGCCTGGGACAGATTAGTACTATCAGAAATGAGAATAGGAACATAATGCAGTAGATATTATACACAATATAAGGATAGTAAGTTAATTTTATGTGTAAAATTATGTCAGTGAATTCAACAATTTCAGTCAGTGGAGAAATTATTTGAAAGACAAGAATTGTCCTGGCTGGGAATGGTGGCTCACGCCTGTAATCCCAGCACGTTGGGAAGTTGAGGTGAGTGGATAACTTGAGGTCAGGAGATTGAGACCAGCCTGGCCAACATGGTGAAACCCTGTCTCTAATAAAAATACAAAATTAGCCAGGTGTGGTGGCACACACTCTAGTCTCAGCTACTGGGGAGTCTGAGACAGGAGAATCACTTGAATCAGGGAGGCCAAGGCTGCAGTGAGCCGAGTTCGTGCCACTGCACTCTAGCCTGGGCGAGACAGAGCGAGACCCCACCTCAAAAAACAAACAAACAAACAAACAAATAAAACAAAGAATTTTCCATATTGACTTCAGCTGAATTAGAAAATTTGAATAGCCCTGTTTATATTAAAGGAATGTGATTTTAAATGAAGAAACCTCTCCAAAGAAAATTATATGTGTAGACAACTTCAGTGCTGATTTCTGTTAAATATGTAAGGGAGACATGTTTTACAGCTATATAAATTATTTCAAATAAAGAGAAGATAGGATAAATTCCATAATCATTCTATGAGGCCAACATTTACTGGATTCCAAAATCAAAGGAAAATATTAGAAAGAAAAGAAAAAATATGTACCAGTATGTGTCACTAACACAGACACAAAATTACTTATAATGTGTTGTCACATTAATTTCAGCACCAAATAAACTGGATAATGCTGATTAAGACAATCTCTTTATCATGTGGCTTTTTCTTTTAGTTGGGCATGATAAGATACAGGAATAAAGACAGTAACAAAAACAAAAAGACAATTTATAAGCAGAATTTAGAAACTATATGGGAAGACAAAAACATGATCTGTTGTAAAGTAGAACTGTTCTAATGCCCAGACTCTTAAGCAAATAAAACAAATAAAAATATCCTTAAAGATTAAATTAAGGGTATGACTGTAAGACATTGTTAATATCTCAGAAACATTTAAGATGATGCCTGGGACTTCCCTAGCTAGACAGAAGCGATTCTAAGAATCTTAAGGAAGGACACTGTCTCACAGACATCTGATACTCCACCCACAGCAGTCAAAGGTCTGTCTTAAAAAGAATGAGGAATGTGATTTTAGGGGTCATGCTGAAGGCAAAAGTCATATTCATGAGAAAAACACAAACTTATTAAGAGAGTTTAACCAGATTGAACTAAAAGGACAGAGACTGTACAAAAAAGAAAAAAAAAATTCTTTGTGGCCTCTATGTTCTATAGACAGCAAGTAATCTTAGTGATATATGCAAACATTAACACAAACATGGACCACTTCTCATTGTATAAGAAAGACACCTCAAAAGGTAGAATCAAGAGGAGAAAAAATGCATCATTTTGAAACGTCATTCAGGGAGCAGAATTGGACTTAATCAAGTGATAATCACTGTACCTAGAATTGAGAAACAGGTGGCATATGATTGATTAACTTTCAGGATAGCTATCATTCAATGAGAACTATGTGCTTCTGCTCTTCCCACAATGGGAATATGTACGGTGAAAATAAGGGGCATATAAGTCATGTTTTTATTTCATAAGACTTGAGGTCATGAGGAGCCATAACCAAGGGCCTCATCAGTATGTAAACTAAATGCAAATTACACAGTCCTTAAGCCATATATCATAATTGTTGAGCATTTTGTGAGTCTTGGTAGGATTTTAATTTATTTCACATGTAGCAATAAATATTGTGACCAGAGCACACACAGTGGTAAAGGAAATATGGCCATGTCTTTTGCAGAACACCACCAAGGGCTAGAGTCTATATTTCCATTCGTTGAATCTGGTTGGGACTTTTAACTTACTTTTCCCTAACAGAATGCAGCAGAGGTGAACTGTGTAACTTGATTCTAAACCTCAAAAATCTTACGATTTTTACTGTCTTTCTTGTTTTTTTATTTCAATTTTTATTTTAGAAACATGGGGTACATATGCGAGTTTACTACATGGATATATTATGTGATGTTGAGGTTTGGGATATGAATAATCCCATGACTCATAGTGGGCATAGTAACCAATAGTTTTTCAATGTTCGCCCTCCCATCTCCCTCCTCTTCTAGTAGTCCCCAATGTCTATTGTTGACATTTTTATGTCCATGAATACCCAATGTGTGGCAACCACTTATACATGAGAACATGAGGTATTTGGTTTTCTGCTTCCACATTAGTTCACTTAGAATAATGGCCTTGACCCACATCCATTGCTGCTGCAAAGGACATAATTGCATTCTTTTTATGGCTGCATAGTATTCCATTGTATATGTATATTTAAAAATAATTCTACACGTATATATATTTGTGTGTATATATACATATATACACATATACATATATGTGTATATATGCATATGTGCATATATATACACACATGTGCATATATATACACATACATATATGTGTATATATGTGTATATTATATACATATATATGTGTGTATATATATATTATATATATATTATATATTAATATATGTGTATACACATATATTTGTGTGTATACATATACGTATATATACACACAAATATATACGTATATGTATACACACAAATATATGTGCGTATACATACACATGTATACACACAAATATATGTGCGTATACATACACATGTATACACACAAATATATACATATATACATATATGTGCATATATACACACATATATGTATATACACTATATACACATATATGTGTATATATACATATATACACATATACGTATATGTGTATACGTATACACACAAATATATATGTATATGTATACACACAAATATATACATATATCTACACACACACTTAAGAAACCATACGAACATGTTGATAGATTTGTAAAAAAAAATTATAAATTCCACAAACTTTCATACAGAAACTTTCAGTAAGAAAGAAATGAAATGGGCTTCCTTAACTTGAAAAAAACAGTTATCTATGAAAAACCCTAAAACCAATCAGTAATGAAAAAGTAAAACATTCTGTCTATGCATAGGGAAAAGACAGAAATATCTGCTATCTAGTAAGCATTTTTTTCTGGAGGATACAGGCAATAAAATGAATCACAAATGAAAAATACAAGGCATTCATGTTAAAGAGGAAGACATAAGCCTCTCTTTGGTTACAGATGACATAACAAACCCATCATAAAAATTTTAATTCTACCTAATATATTTAACAAGGTTACCTAATGCATGGGCAATTTTAAAAAATCAATTATATTGATATATACTAGGTTAGTACCTATGCTGCTATATAATACATAGAAATATATGCATTTCTATGTACCAGGAGCTACTTTGGAGCATCTGGCAAGGTTCATCTAAAATTAGAAAATAAAACTAATTTTGCCAGACACACACACACAATTAGTTTAATGTAGGCTTGAAAATAGGCTTCATCCACGTTGCAAAAATAGCTCCCTCTCTAGATTCTAAGTATAAATCCTGAACATTTTTCTCCAAAGAAAAGAATGTTCACTCTATCAAATATTTGATCAAATAATTACTATCTAGAAATTATTATTTTAGGTATAAAGGGGCATAAAAATTAGTTGCACATACTGTCATGCTTTAGAGAGCTTGTATCAAGGGAGATAAGCAAAGACATATTTAATGATCTGAGATATGTAGGAGATAATGGCATTATTGTATCACTACCTCAAGCAGAAGAAGCTGTAGAACTCCAGTGTGTGAGATTATTGGTTGCTATTGCCAGTGAAACTAAATCTATGGTTCATGACGGTTTGAAACCAGAAAATAGGCAGAAAGGAGAGTAAGAATGAACTAGGTTGGGGCAACAGGTAAAATGTCTAGTGTTAAACAGGGATCCATTAGTGTCCTGCTGAGCTAGAAAAAGTGATTTGGTTTTGTAAACAATTTTGGATCAAGGATGGTAACCCATAATATCTTATTGTTTTGTCTTATCAGAAATTCTTTCTCTGAAAGGCTTTTTTTTCTTTTTTTTTGCTTTGTAAAGTGAAATGATCCTCCCATGGTTTAGTCTTGGAGTTTTGAGCTAGATAGCTCCTGCTGCTTGAGGTAATTGATGATGCTTGCAGGCAACAGTTTTTTTCTGTGCGACAATTCAGTTAATATCTTGCAATGCCAATAATATATAAATATTGGAAACAAAGAAAACTGTGCAGATGATACATCCAATAGAGAGTATATTATCAAAGGTAAGCATCTCCTCTAAGTTGTCTATATTACCTGTAACTAACTTTAAAATGTTTTTCGAGGTATGTTATGTCAAGCTATTTATACACCTGATTTTTTCCTCTTAAAAAATATTGAATTACCTCTCACAAACACAAAAATTGTCTTATAATCACTATTACACTTTCTTGCACTCCCACAGTAATACAAACTACTTAAAAGGCAATTTAGCACACTCACATAAACATTCACACACTTATTCTGAAAGCAAAAAAGGACATTTTTTCACATTTTAGTAATTAGAAAAAAAAATGAAAAAATTCCAACTACTGCTTACTTTGTGTCGAAATAAAATATGAACCTGATAAGAGAAAAAATTATCTCATTTTTTTCCTTCACATTCAATGTACAACATACATTGTGCATATGTGTATTAGGCCTTTGTTAAAGTACAATTCAAGAATAGAAACAAAACATAGTCAACAAAGAAATTAAGAAATATATGCAAGAGATTAAAACTTTATTTTAAAATAATAAATACTGGAAAATAAAATTCATAATTGAAATGTTGTATACTATTTATAACAATAAATTTCAGCACAGAAGTTAAACACTGAGAGATTTCAAAACTTATTAAATGTTATAGTAATCAATACACTGTAGTACTGGCACAATGATACACGTGTAATCAATGAAATGAAATTGTCAGTACAAAATTAAACTCGCATTTGTAGTAATTGATTTTTTCTTTTGGTTATAATAGGCCCATAATTGTACATGTTTTGAGTACAGGGTGATGTTGCAATATATATACATAAATGTGTAATGATCAAATCAGGGCAATAAACATATCCATCACCACAAACATGTATTATTTCTTTATGATGTTAACATTTAAGATGCTCTTTTCTAGTTATCTTGAAATATGTGATACATTACTATTATCTACAGGCACCCTACTATGTACTAGAACACCAGAACTTATTCTTTCAAACTTTGTGTATGTTTACTCACCTCTCTCTATCTGCTCACTCTCCACCTCTCCCTCTGGGAAATATTATTCTACTCTCTGCTTCTATGAGAACAACTCTTTTAGATTCCACATATGAGTGATACTATAGGATATTTGTTTTTCTATGCTTGGTTTATTTAACTTAACATAATGTCCTCCTGATTCTAGCTAGCACTTCCAGTTCTATGTTAAATAAACCTAGAGAAAGTGGGTACCCCTGTCTAGTTTCAGATGTTAGAGGAAAATATTTCAAATTTTCCCCATTCAGTATGATGTTAGCTATACATCTGTGATATATAGTATGTATTGTATGGAAGTATGTTCTTTCTATACCTAATTTGTAAAGACTTTCATTACAAAAATATGTTGAATTTTATAGAATCTTTTTTCAGCACTGTAAAAAATGATCATATGGTTTTTGTCCTTGCTTCTGTTAATGTGATTTATTATGTTTATTGATTTACGTAAGTTTCACTATCCTTGCATCCTTGGGATGAATCCCAACTGGTTATGATGAATGACCACTTTAATGTAATGTCGATTCAGATTGCTGATATAATGTTGAGGATTTTTGCATCTGTGTTTATCAGGGACATTCCCTTTAGTTTTCTTTATTAGTTGTATCCTTTTCTAGTTTTAGTATCAGGGAAATGCTGGTCATATAGAGTATGTTGGAAGTATTCCATTTTCTTCAATTTTACTGTGAACACTTTGAGAAGAATTGGTAATCATCTGAAAATGTTTGTAGAATTCAGCAGTGAAGCCATTTCAGCATGGGCTTTTCTTTGATGGGAGACATTTGTTACTGTTTTAATCATGTCACTTGTTATTGGTCTGTTTAAGTTTTCTATTTCTTCATCATTCAATCTTGGTAGGTTGTATGTGTCCAGGAACTTATCCATTCTCTCTAGAGTTTTGAATTTTTGGCATATAGTTGTTTATAATAGTCTCATGATCCTTTGCATTTCTGTGTATAAGTTTTAATGTCTCATTTTTCATCTTGATCTTATTTGAGTTTCCTCTATTTTTTTCTTAGTCTAGCTAAAGTTTTGTTAATTTTGTTGTATTTTTGAAAATCAACTCTCTTTAGTTGATCTTTTGTATTTTTATAAATCTGTTTTGTGATTTCTGCTATGATCTTTTTCATTCATTTTGTTCCTGAGTTTAGTTGGTTCTTATTTCTCTAGCTCCTTGAAACATAATGCTAGATTGTTTATTGGAGATTTTTCTACTTTTTTGATGTAGACATGTATTGTTTAAAATTCCCTCTTAGACCTGCTTTTGCTGTATCCCAAGGTTTTGATATGTAATGTTTCCACTTTTATTTGTCTCTAGGAATGTTTATGGTCTTTTTAAAATTCTTCATTGATCCATTTGTTGTTAAGGAACACATTGTTTAATTTCATGTATTTTTACACTTTCCAACTTTCCTCCTGTTATTTGATTTCCAGTTTAATTCCCTTGCAGTCAGAAAAGATACTTGATATGATTTTGACTTTTTTTTTCTTTTATGTCCTCATATGCAGTGTATTCTGGAGAGTGTTTCATGTGCTCATGAGAAAATTGTGTATTTGGCAGCAGTTGGATGGAGTGAAATGATCTGTAAATGTCTGTTGGGACCATCTGGTCTAGAGTACAGTTTAACTCCAAAGTTTCTTTGTTGCTTTACTGCCTGGATGATCTGTCCAGTGTTGAAAGTGTGGTGTTGAGGTTTCCTATTGTATTGTATTGAACTGAATATCTTCCTTTAGGCCTATTAATATATACTGTATGTATTTAGGTAATCCAGTGTTAGGTGCATATATATTTATAATTGTTATACCCTCTTGCTGTGTTGACCACTTTATCATTATATAATGGCCTTATTCATCTTTTTTTTTTTTTGCTTTACATTAGTGTGAAATATATTTTTTCATCCTTACACGTTTCAGTCTATGTGTGCCTTTATAGGTGAAGGTTCGTGTAGTCAGCATATAATTGTGTCTTTTTAAAATTTTTTCAGCCACTCAATATCTTTAAATTGGGGAATTTATTCCATTGACATTAAATGTTATTATTGATAGATAAGGACTTACTACTTCCATTTTGTTACTGGTTTTCCTGTTTTCATAGTTTCTTTTCTTTCTCTCTTAATGTCTTCCTTTGTGGTTAAGTGATTTTCTTTAGTAGATGTTTTGATTTCTTGCTATTTATTTTTAGTATATTTATTTGCTTTGTGGTTACCATTAGGCTTACAAAAATATAATATTAATCAGTTATTTTTAACTGTTAACAACTTACCTCTCTTTGATTGCCAAGAATAAGAAAGAACAAAAACAAACTCTGTAACTCCATTTCCTTCTCCCCACATTTTGACTTTTTGATGTCTTGTTTCACATCTGTTTATATTGCCTACATCTTAACCAATGGTAACTGCTGTTACCTTTAATAGACTTGTTTTAAATTCTTCATAATAAAGATGTAAATGGATGTGAAAAAATTGTTGTCCTCTTTCACTGCAGGTAAGGACATAAAATGCTACAGCCACTTAGAAAACCAGTATCTCTTCTCGTCCAGGATTGCCTTGGCTATAGGGGCTCTTTTTTGGTTCCATATAAAGTTTAAAGTAGTTTTTTCCAATTCTGTGAAGAAAGTCAGTGGTAGCTTGATGGGAATAGCATTGAATCTATAAATTACTTTGGGCAGTATGGCCATTTTAACAATATTGGTTCTTCCTATCCATGAGCATGGAATGTTTTTCCATTTGTTTGTGTCCTCTTATTTCCTTGAACAGTGGTTTGTGGTTCTCTTTGAAGAGATCCTTTACATCCTTTGTAAGTTGTATTCATAGATATTTTATTCTCTTGGTAGCAATTGTGAATGGGAGTTCACTCGTGGTTTGGCTCTCTGTCTGTTATTGGCATATAGGAATGCTCGTGATTTTTGCACATTGATTTTGTATCCTGAGACTTTGCTGAAGTTGCTTATCAGCTTAAGGAGATTTTGGGCTGAGATGATGGGGTTTTCTAAATATATAATCATGTCATCTGCAGACAGAGACAATTTGACTTCCTCTCTTCCTATTTGAATACCGTTTATTTCTTTCTCTTGCTTGATTGCTCTGGCCAGAACTTCCAATACTATGTTGAATAGGAGTGGTGAGAGAGGGCATCCTTGCCTTATGCTAGCTATCCATCTGACAAATGGCTAATATCCAGAATCTACAAAGAACTTAAACAAATTTACAAGAAAACAACAAACAACCCCATCAAAAAGTGGGCAAAGGATATGAAACAACAGTAGCTGGAGAGGATGTGGAGAAATAGGAATGCTTTTACACTTGTTGGGAGTGTAAACTGGTTCAAACATTGTGGAAGACAGTGTGGCGATTCCTCAAGAATCTAGAACTAGAAATACCATTTGATCCAGCAATCCCACTACTGGGTATATGCCCAAAGGATTATAAATCATTCTACTATAAATACACATACACACGTATGTTTATTGCAGCACTATTCACAATAGCAAAGACTTGGAACCAACCCAAATGTCCATCAGTGATAGACTAGATAAAGAAAATGTGGTACATATACACCATGGAATAGTATGCAGTCATGAAAAAGGATGAGTTCATGTCCTTTGCAGGGACATGGATGAAGCTGGAAACCATCATTCTCAGTAGACTGACATAAGGACAGAAAACCAAACACTGCATGTTCTCGCTCATAAGTGAGAGTTGAACAATGAGAACACATGGACACAGGGAGGGGAACATCACATACTGGGGCTTGACAGGGGTTGGGGCCTAGGGAATGTATAACATTAGGAGAAATACCTAATGTAGATGATGGGTTGATGGGTGCAGCAATCGACCCCGGTATGTGTAACAAAATTGCACGTTCTGCACATATACCCCAGAAATTAAAGTATAATAATATTTAAAAAAAAGAAAACCAGTATCTCAAAATGTTTAACATAAAGCAACCTATGAATCAGCAGTTTTATTCCTTGATACATTCAGGAGAAATAAAAATTTGTCTACACAAAAATTTGCACATAAATGTTCATAGCAGCATTATTCCTAAGAGCCTACATATCTCCTGCCAGATGGATGAATAAACAAAGTGTTAAATAACTTTTTCAATTTAATATTACTTGGATATAAAAAGAAATATTAAGATATGTTATAGCATGATGAACCTTGAACACCCATTACACTAAATGAAACAAAAATCCACAAATTGTTTCACCTCATTTATGTGAAATGTACATGATAGGCAAAATCTAGCAGTTGCCTGGGGCTGGAAAATGGTGGTATGAAAATGTATAAATAAATTCTTCACCCAAAAACAAGACCCTTATAAATGTGGAGTCTCATTTTTGAGTGAAGAAAATGTTCAGATATTAGATTCTTATGATAATTGCATACCTCTGTGGCTATACTAAAAACAGTTAATTGTACAATTTAAATGAATGAGTTTTATGGTATGTAAAATAAAGCTGTTAAAATTTGTAAACACAGCTGAAGACAGAATTAATGGATAGAAATCTTGGTCTTAAAAATCACTTAAGTACTTTATAATAAAATAAAATGAAATAAAACAAAATTATGACAGAAGTTAATATATAGGAAGTACAGATTTAATAACCAAAATATACACCTAAACAGGTAGAGAATCATTTAATAAAGTACATCAGAGAGAAAAAGGTAAGCAAAATTTTGAGTGGTAAGAATTTTCTGGAATTGAATAATGATATAAGATTTTAGTTTGAAATAGAAAATAATCAAATTTACCTTCATTCGTATACTAGTATTATCAAAAGCAAATTTTAAAAAATAACTTAGTAAAATGACGGAATCTCATAAAACAATGCCAATCAGACAGAGCACTTTTCACTTTCCATTACTGCTAAATATGCCAAATACAGTGGAATCATATTACCCTACCAATGTCAAGAATAATATGAACTCTGAACCTCCTTCCATGTAACATAACAGTTTAGTATATTTTTATCTCTAATGTCTTCACCTATCAGCATTGGCTACATTGATGTGGGCTTTTATGTAAAAATCATTATGTGAATTTTTTTTTAAAATATCTGCTTAACAAATTACCCCACAACTTACTGTCTTAAAATAATAAACATTTATGATATCACAGTTGTGTGGATCAGAAATTTTGGCAAGGCTTAGCTGAGCCCTCTGGTTCAAAATCTCTTCAAGGCTGCAATCAAGTTGTTGGCTGTATGTATTTCAAGGATAAACTAAGGGAAAATTTGCTTCCAAGACTTATACATGGCTGCTGAAAGGAATCTGTTCTTCACTCCCTCTCTATATAGTAACCAAACATAACAGGCAAATTCCTCCAGAACAAGAAAGTAGGAGAGCAAAAAAGAGACCAAAATGGAAGGTTTAGTCTTTTTCTTATTTAATATCATTATCGTTGTTATCATCTACTCATTACAAGTAAGTCACTAGGTCCAGCCCACATCCAAGTAGAGGAGGTTACACAAAGACATGAACACAAAGAGGCAGAGATTATTGAGAGCCATTTTAAAGGCTGCCTACTATTTGAAGATTATGTTTCTATGTATGTATGTATGTATGTATGTATGTATGTATGTATGTATCTATCTATCTATCTATCTATCTATCTATCTATCTGTATCTTTTTAGTCATGGGAATATAAAGATAAAGGAGGTGATGTAATCTCTTCTTTATGACCATGTAATTTCAAAATATCAAGAATACTAGATGATGTGCCTGGAAATTATGAGAGCCCTACCAGGGGCTGTGGCTGGGCATGATTTTTGTATATCGGGTGTAGTTTCTTCTTGCTATGTAAAATTGGGGCTAGATAAAGTCTATCGTGTCTCCTTATTTTTATTGTGATTTGAACTGTAATCATTGCTACCAGTCAAGCAGAGCAGATGTTTATTATCAAATCAGCTTCCTTTTTATTTTTCCTTTGGCTTTTGGAATTTATTAATTATTTAATTTGTAATTAATATGTAAATATTAGTCTATTACACTTTCATAAAATGATTTATTAAATCTTACTGAATACTAATTGAAAGTTTTGAAATTATGTTCTTTTTCTTGGCGAATTTTATTTTTACATAAAATGAAAGGCAAAGGAATTAGAACTATTTTTCCAAAATAAAACTCCTTCTGCCCTTGAACATGGCTTTTTGAAAAAAAGAAAACAAATTAACAAATCAAAATTAAGCCTAATGTTACACATTTACATCTGTATGGTGTACCCACATATAATTTCATGAATTTTGTTAAGTTTGCACACTTTCAAATAACAGTGAATAGTTACGTGCTTATTAAAAGGTCATTATTTATACACATTTAACTTTTCAGTTCTTTTTGTTTTCTTTTATGACACTTTCATATATGCACATTGCATCCTAACCACACCAGACTTTCAAGAGCCTTTGCCTTTGTTTTTCAGATCTTAAACTAAATCTTATCTAACACCACCCCATCCAGGACCATTTTGTTTTGTTTTTTTGCTACTCTTTCTGTTGTTAATGCCTTTTCTTCTCATTTGTTGCTAATCACAGATACACGGACTTTGTGAAACTAAATGTTATTCATCATTCATCATTTATGATACTTGCTCATAAAACTACTTCTCCAACATCCTTGGATTAGCATAGCCCCATTTGTAATAAAATCTAGTAACAGCTGCTATTTTCTTCAGTAGCATATTTTGCAGTATAAAGCATTTAATATTAAATATTTTTCTAAAATTTTGTGAATTTTATCATCTACTCACTAAGCTGTAAATTTCTTGAGAACAGATAATGTGCTACTGTTTTTTAAACCATTGAAAATATAGTATTAGAATGGTGCCTAAAAAGAGTGAGTTGTCATGTGTGTTTTTATGCCAGTACTATGCTGCTTTAATCACTATAGCTTTGGCATATATTTTAAAATCTGGTACTGTGATGCCTCCAGCTTTATTCTTTTCGATCAAAATTGCTTTTGCTATTTTGGCACTTTGTAATTCCATAAAAATTTTAGGACTTTTTTTTCTATTTATCTGCAGAATGACATCAAAATTATGATAGGGATTTCCTTGAATCTGTAGATTAATTTGGGTAGGATGAACATTTTTTCAATTTTATTTTAATCCATGAACAAGATCAAATGCCTTTCTAGTTACTTGTATTTTCCTCAACTCCTTTCATCGGTGTTTTATAGTTTTTAGTGCACAGATCTTTCACCTCTTGGATTAAATTTACTCCTTGTAGTTTTATTTTTGATGTTACTATAAATGGAATTGTTTTCTTAATTTGTTTTTCAGATAGTTTGTTGTTGCTCTATAAAAATACTGCTGAATTTTATAAGCTGATTGTGTATCCTGAAACTTTACTTAATATGTTTCTTAGTTCTAACATTTTTTTGTGGAATATTTAGGATTTTATATACATAATATGTGACCAGTAACAGAAACAATTTCACTTTTCCTTTTCTATTTTGATGCCTTATATTTCTTTTCCTCATCTAACTACTCTGACTAGAAATTCCAGGCCTATGTTGAACAGAAATGATAAGAATGGGCATTCTTGTCTTATTCCTTATCTGAGAGGAAAAGCCTTCAAGTTTTCATCATTCAATATGATGTTAGCAGTTGGCTTGCCATATATGGTCTTCTATACCAAATTTACATTGCCAACTCAATCCTAAGCCAAAAGAACATAGCTGGAGGAATCACGCTACCTGACTTCAAACTATACTACAAGGCTACAGTAACTAAAACAGCATGGTACTAGTACCAAAACAGAGATATAGACCAATGGAACAGAACAGAGCCCTCAGAAAAAATGCCACATATCTACAACCATCTGATCTTTGACAAACCTGAAAAAAACAAGAAATGTGGAAAGGATTCCCTATTTAATAAATAGTGCTGGGAAAACTGGCTAGCCATATGTAGAAAGCTGAAACTGGATCCTTCCTTACACCTTATACAAAAATTAATTCAAGATGGATTAAAGACTTAAATGTTAGACCTAAAACCATAAAAACCCTAGAAGAAAACCTAGGCAATACCATTCAGGACATAGGCATGGGCAAGGACTTTATGTCTAAAACACCACAAGCAATGGCAACAAAAGCCAAAATTGACAAATGGGATCTAATTAAACTAAAGAGCTCCTGCACAGCAAAAGAAACTACCATCAGAATGAACAGGCAACCTACAGAATGGGAGAAAATTTTTGCAGTCTACTCATCTGACAAAGGGTTAATATCCAGAATCTACAATGAACTCAAACAAATTTACAAGAAAAAAACAAAGAACCCCATCCACAAGTGGGCGAAGGATATGAACAGACACTTCTCAAAAGAAGACATTTATGCAGCCAAAAGACACATGAAAAAATGCTCATCATCACTGGCCATCAGAGAAATGCAAATCAAAACCACAGTGAGATACCATCTCATGCCAGTTAGAATGGTGATCATTAAAAAGTCAGGAAACAACAGGTGCTGGAGAGGATGTGGAGAAATAGGAACACTTTTACACTGTTGGTGGGAATGTAAACTAGTTCAACCATTGTGGAAGTCAGTGTGGTGATTCCTCAGGGATCTAGAACTAGAAATACTATTTGACCCAGCCATCCCATTACTGGGTATATACCCAAAGGATTATAAATCATGCTGCTATAAAGACACATGCACACGTATATGTATTGTGGCACTATTCACAATAGCAAAGACTTGGAACCAAGCCAAAAGTCCAACAATGATAGACAGCATTAAGAAAATGTGGCACATATACACCATGGAATACTATGCAGCCATAAAAAATGATGAGTTCATGTCCTTTGTAGGGACGTGGATGAAGCTGGAAATCATCATTCTCACCAAACTATCGCAGGGACAAAAAAACCAAACACCACATGTTCTCAGTCATAGGTGGGAATTGAACAATGAGAACACATGGACACAGGAAGGGGAACATCACACACCGGGGCCTGTTGTGGGGTGGGGGCAGTGGGGAGGGATAGCATTAGGAGATATACCTAATGTTAAATGACGAGTTAATGGGTGCAGCACACCAACATGGCACATGTATACATATGTAACTAACCTGCACGTTGTGCACATGTACCCTAAAACTTAAAGCATAATAAAAAAAAAGAATGTTCTTTCTATACCTAATTTTTTGAGAGTTTTTATCGTGAATATTGAATTTTGTCAAATACTGTTTTCTGGATTTACTCCAATGATCATATGGTTTTTTTCATTCTTTATATATAGTGAATCACATTTATTGATTTGTGCATATTGAATCATCCTTGCATCCCAGAGATAAATCCCATTTGATCATGGTGACTGCTTCTTTTAATTTACTGTTGAACATAGTTTGCTAATATTTTGTTGAGGGTTTTTGCATCTATGTTCGTCAGGGATATTGGCCTATAGTTTTCCTTCCTTGTAGTGTCTGGCTTGGTATTAGAGTAATACTGGCCTTGTAAAATAAGTTTGGATTTATTCCCTTAATTTGATATTTGTTCCAATTTTCAGAAGCATTGATATTAATTGTTCTTTAAATGTTTTGTAGAATTCAGCTATGAAGCCATAAGATCTCAGGCATTTTTATGGGAGATTTTTAATTACCGATTAAATCTCCTTTCTCATTATTGCCCTTTGCAGGTTTCTGATTTCTTTATAATTTAGTCCTCATAGGTTACATGTTTCTAGGAATTGATTCATTTCTTCAAGATTTTTCAACTATTTGGTGTGTATTTATAGTAGTGCCTTATCCTTTGTATTTATGTTATCAGTTGTGTATTAATCCATTCTCACCCTGCTATGAAGAAATACCCGA
Source organism: Homo sapiens (assembly GCF_000001405.40). Lineage (NCBI taxonomy): Eukaryota > Metazoa > Chordata > Mammalia > Primates > Hominidae > Homo > Homo sapiens. Next base: position 191,077,065 of record NC_000001.11, on the reverse strand, counting down.
GACTGGGTAATTTATAAAGAAAAGAGGTTTAATTGACTCACAATTCCAGATAGCTGGGGATACCTCAGGAAACTCACAATCATGGGTGAAGGCACCACTTCAAAGGGTGGCAGTAGAAATAATGAATGCCAGCAGGGGAAGTGCCAGATGCTTATAAAACCATGAGATCTCATGAGAACTCACTCACTACCACGAGAACAGCACAGGGGAACCAGCCCCATGATTCGATTACCTCCCAATGTAGTCATTCACTGCTATAAAATTCCTTCCTAGCACTGCTTTTGCTGCATCCCATACGTTTTCCATTTCATTTAGCTCAAGGTATTAAAAAATACATTTTTTATTTTACTAATAGATTTTTTCAGAATCATGTTTAAAAATTTCTACATTTAATTTTCTGTGGCTCCTCCTGTTACTGAATTATAGTTTTATACCATTCAGATTGGAAATGATACTTTCTATAACTTTGATTTTCTTAAATTTAAGGCTAATTTTGTAGCCTAGCATATAATCTATCAAACAGAATGTTCCATGTGCATGTGAAAAAAAATGTGTATACTTTTCTTATGTCATGGAGTATTTAGTATATGTTTGTTAGATTCATTTGGTTTAAAGCATAGTTTATATCCAATGTTTTCGTGATAGTTAATATTGGTGTCGAATTGATAGAATTAAGAATACCTAGAGAACTGTTAAAGATTTATTTTGGGTATATTTGTGAGGGTATTTTCAGAAGAGATTGGCACATGAGTTGCTGCACTGAATGGGGAGGATCTGCCCCCTATGTGGCCATCCAGTTGGCTAGGAGTCTGGATAAGAAAAAAAGACAATTTTCTCTCATTCTGTCTGCTGGAGCTGGGTCACTCTTCTCCTGGCCATGGACATCAGAACTCCAGGCTCTCTGGTCTTTGGACTCCAGTATTTACACCAGTGGGCCTCCAGGTTTTCCGAGCTTTGTCTTTAGACTGTCACTTACAGCTACACTTCTCTGGTTCTGAGGCCTTCAGACTTGAACTGAGCCAAGCAATAGGCATCTCAAGGTCTCTAACTTACAGAATACCTGCTGTGGGACCTTTCTACCTCTATATTCATGTAAGCCCATTCTGTTAATAAATTTCTTCTCATATATCAGTGCATATTCTATTGGTTATGTCCTTCTGGAGAACCCTAATATAGTTTCCACATTGATTTTCTGTCTGGACGATCTGTCTCATGTTTTATGCAACATTATTCACAGTAGTCAAGATATGAAAACAACCAAGGTGCCCACCAACAGATAAAGAATTGTGGTATTTATATACAGTGAAATACTATTCAGCCTTAACAAAGTGAAAATTCTGTCATTTGTGTCAATATGAATAAAACCAGAGGATATAATGCTAAGTGAAATTAGCTAGACATAGAAAGATACATACCTTATGATCTCACTTTCATGTGAAATCTAAAAAAGTGGAACTCATAGAACCAAAGAGTAGAGTGGTGGTTACCAGAGGCTGAGGGGGAAGGGTGAACAGGGAAAGGGGTATGTTGGCTGAAGGGTACAAATTTTCAGTTAGACAAGAATAGGTTTTGCTGATCTATTGCACAACATGGCATTATAGTTAATAGCAATGTATTATATATTTCAAAATAGCTAAAATGGTGGATGTTAAATGTTCTCACCACAAAATGATAAAAATTTGAGGTGATGGGTATGTTAATTAGCCTGATTTGATCATTTTACATTGTATGCATGTATTGAAAACACATTGTACCCCCAAAATATATACACTTATTATTGTCATAAAAAATAAAACTTAAGAAAGAATGGGTTCTTTATAATATTGGTTGAATAAATAATTATAATAAATACATAAGATATAATTAAGATTTAGTAATAAAATATATGTTTTTGCACCTCATTTGTTGCAATTCAGCCTCACAAAGGGGCCTGAACATGGCTTGAGAAGGCAAAGACTGGAGACTGGCTTGTGGTTAGTGGGTGGGGTTGGGTTATCTTGTGCAGTCTGAGGCTTGTATGGTTTTAAACTTCACTAGGGGCAAAGAGGGTAGCATTTATCTTTTTAATAATCTGTCCCAAAATGTAGAGCATTAGAGAAAGAGGGAGAGAGGAGACTTAAAAACTGTCATTAGTCAAACATAAAAAATTTGGGTCCTTTTTTGTAATGAGGTCCTTACAACCTCATTAGGTATAGAATAATAATCCTATAGCATAATAATCCCCACTTCTACATATTGAGCATTCATTTAAAATTCACTTAATTTCTGGCTCTGCTCTTTACAAATCGTGTAACTGTAGACAAGTTGAACAACGAATCTGAATAAGGATTTCTACCTGGTAGATTTTTTTTTGAGGATTAGGAGACATAATGAAACACCTACCATAAGTGACTTTCAAACCATATGGTCAATTCTATGTATTGAGTATGCATTTACTTAATCCATAGAAGTGGGGATTATTACTCAATAGAGGTAGTAATGACCTCATTACAAAAAATGACCCAATTTTTTGATGTTTGAGTGATGACAGCTTTTAAGCCTCATTTCTCCCGCTTCCACTACTGCTCTACTAATTTATTAGCCACTATATTACATTATTTTATTCCCATCATCCTTATTACGGTCTTGAAGTGCCAATGATATTATTGCACAAGATAGAAAAATTATTTTTGAAGAATTTCACGATTTTAATAGCAGAACTAGGAATAAAAGTCAGGTGTCTCTGACTCTGAAACCTGTTATCTCAAATATAAGTTGTTCTTGACTCTCCTGACCAGCATGTCTTATTCCCTTTATTATTTTTTTAAGGTATACATAAGTATAAATGTATTTAAAAAGTTTTTCCAGGTTATTTTCTCTCTTGCATAAATCACATTGAGACTGAAAAAATAGCATAAAGACAACAGTATTTTTAATGTAGCCTCTTAGTAATATTGATAGCTTCCAATTAAAGCAAATATATACAGGATTTAAAAATGTAATATACACATGGTCCTACTGCATCCTTAATGGGATTTAGTATTGTTAATTTTTTTGGTCTTTAACAATTATTTGTCATATTCTAATACTTAAGCACATATCTAGTATTGTATGGCATACAGAAAAAATTAGTAACAATCTCCATTCCCACCACCCACTATTTCCACTTACCTCACTTAAGCTATGAACTCAGGATTTCACTTAATTCCTGGCTCTGCTGTTTATAAATTGTGTAACTGTGGACAAGTTGAAGAACCAATCTGAATAATCATTTCTGCCTGATAGATTTGTTTTGAGGATTGGGAGAAATTAAATAAAATGGTTAGCATAGGTTACTCTCAAACCATATAATCAATAATAATTTGCTTTCTTCTTTCTTTTCTCTCTTTCTACACTTCTGTTTCATTATCTCTGTAGAGTTTTTAATTTGCTCATTAAGATTTCATAGCTTTTTTGATAGAATAAAAATGATATATACAAAATTTATCTGGTAATACACCATTCATAATATCATATGCAGATATATTTGAATCTGTAAATCATGTTTCCTTATAAGTACCATTATACTAATATTCTGTTAGTAATAATGTAGTTCTCTAACAATTTAAACTGCATTGTTATTTTATGGAAGATAAATTATTTTAACAACATCTCTAATGGACTGTTGTTTAGTTTCTGTTTGAACAACCCTTACAAAGTGCACTAACTCATACTATCATGTGTAGTATTTATGCCCTACAGCATAAAACAGCTTTTGTCTTATGTTCTCTTATAGGCCCTTCGGAAATTCCCATTAAATTATAGAAAAAATGAGGGGAAATCAGCAGCTCTGAAATTCACTAATAATAGTCAACTGTCTACAATATTTTGGGAGAGATTTCAATTAATGACAATAAAACTACATAAAACTCAGAAACACAGTGTTGGGTTATGATAAATTTACCTTCTAAGCCAGTAAAATAATATAGAATTTTCTACTCTCAAAAACTCTCTATTTTTTGCTGGGAGATGCATGATGTATACTAGAAAGAAAGCCAAGGACCTCATTCTAACAACACAGGCCTTTCTGTACTTGTTTCTTACTGGTTTAATTGACACTACACTTCTAATCACATTAATTCTTACATATCTACAATACAGGTATGTTTACTATCTCAATCCCTTCATTAAATTAACACAATAATTTCTATTTTATTTGGTAAAAAATAAAGTATTTTTAGTGTTATATTTTTATGAAGTGTACATGCATTTGTTAATCACACTTTATTGCATTTATTGTATACATTTTAAATAAAAGTGATGGATTTATCAAGCTTTTTGTACAAAATAGAAATATTGCTAAACACTTTAGTACTTTAATTGCATTATTTTGAGCTTTTCATAACCCATAAAGTTCCTGCTGTTTTTATAATTGCCATTTTAAAGATCATAGGCTTGATGTTTGGGGAAGTTCAACAAATTGTCCAAAGTCATGCAGCTAGTAAATACTAAAGCCGGTATTCAAACCCAGACTGACATAGGGATACTATGTAGAGATACAAACTGATTCCAGAAATAAGACAAACATCTATGAAATATTATTCTTATGAAAAAAATTGAAATTGGCCTATGGGGGGCTGGAAATGATAGCTAGTAGAGCTGGAGAATTGCTTAGAATTATTAGTAGACAATGAATAGGACAGATTCAAAAGCAAAACTAACTCTTTTGTGGTAGCATTTCATGCCCTTTGGATGGAATTAGTATTTTAATATAGATAATAATACCTATAAATTTGAAAGAAGTATAGAATGGTGAGAGAAAATTGGTAAATTAATGCCAATATATTTTTTATTTTTTTATTATTATTATACTTTAAGTTTTAGGGTACATGTACACAATGTGCAGGTTAGTTACATATGTATACATGTGCCATGCTGGTGTGCTGCACCCACTAACTCGTCATCTAGCATTAGGTATATCTCCCAATGCTATCCCTCCCCCTTCCCCCCACCCCACAACAGTCCCCAGAGTGTGATGTTCCCTTTCCTGTGTCCATGTGTTCTCATTATTCAATTCCCACAGTGAGAATATGTGGTGTTTGGTTTTTTGTTCTTGCGATAGTTTACTGAGAATGATGATTTCCAGTTTCATCCATGTCCCTACAAAGGACATGAACTCATCATTTTTTATGGCTGCATAGTATTCCATGGTGTATATGTGCCACATTTTCTTAATCCAGTCTATCATTGTTGGACATTTGGGTTGGTTCCAAGTATTTAATGAAAGTGAGTTACTATAATGTATTAATGTCTGTGCTGTATTCAAGGGGAAATGCTTTTGTTTTAATTCATTAACATATTATTTTAAGTTGAATGATTACATTTCACAAGGTGATGCCAATTTAACCCTTTCAACTTGAGTAGGCATATAAATGAGGCCTCCATACTTCAATCTTAAATGAGTCTGGAACAGTAAACTTTGCATTTGAGCATTTCTTCTAATGAAAGAAAGTTATCTTCTGGGAAAAAAAAAAAGAAAAGACAAGAAAAAAATAAAAAAAAACAATTTTTTTAATCATATGATCACATTTTTACTCTTAAATAAAAGATTTCAATAATGATTTGAATGTAGAAACAGTCAAATTGCACATGTAGTGACTAGAAACAAAAACAGTAAATAATTTTCCACTTTTATTATTAGGTCAAATTAAACTTTTGTTAGTTTTTTTTTGTTTTGTTTTTTTATTGCCACTTTCTTCTAGCTGGTTAAAGCAATGCCATAGGAAAATGAAACAGCATGAGGGAGAAATTTCTTGTTACATTTATATAGAGTTTATTTTTTCAATAAGCAAATTACATGTAAAATAATATTTGCATTTAAGATTGAGAAAATTCTTCATTAATCCAGAGAAATGTGTAAATTAAGAAATATATTCAGTTTGCCACAGGGCTGGTTCAGACTGTTCTGTGTAAATGAACGAAGATTAAGACTTATTTCAAGTCTGTGTGAAACTAAATAAAATATGCTTCAAAATAATTCTAGTAAACAACTCAAAATCCTTTGCAAAAAAACATTTTTTTTTCTTATTATACTTTAAGTTCTGGGATACATGTGCAGAACATGCAGGTTTATTACATAGGTATACTTGTGCCATGGTGGTTTGCTGCACCCATCACCCCGTCATCTACATTGTTTATTTCTCCTGATGCTATCCCTCCCCTAGGCCTCCCAGCCCCCAACAGGCCCTGGTGTGTGATGTTCCCCTCCCTGTGTCCATATGTTCTCATTGTTCAACTCCCACTTATGAATGAGAACACGTGGTGTTTGGTTTTCTGTTCTTGTGATAGTTTGCTGAGAATGGTTTCCAGCTTCATCCATGTCCCTGCAAAGGACACGAACTCATTCTTTTTTATGGTTGCATAGTATTCCATGGTGTACATGTGCCACATTTTCTTTATCCACTCTAACATTCATGGGCACCAAGTTTTGCTATTGTGAATAGTGCTGCAATAAACGTACGTGTGCATGTGCTTTTATAGTAGAATGATTTATAATCCTTTGGGTATATACCCAGTAATTGGATTGCTGGGTCAAATGGTATTTCTAGTTCTAGATCCTTGAGGAATTGCCAAGATATAGGCATGGGCAAGGATTTCATGACTAAAACACCAAAAGCAATTCCAACAAAAGTCACAATTGACAAATGGGACCTAATTAAACTAAAGAGCTTCTGCAAAGCAAAAGAAACTATCATCAGAGTGAATAGGCAACTTACAGAATGGGAGAAAATGTTCACAAAAAATCTTAATGTTATTAACAAAGTGTTCTGTTCTGTATTAACATGGTCTGACATAATGCCTGACATGAAGTACACACTCAACTAAATGCCTGTCAAATATATACGAACAGGTATGGACTCCTCTTTTTAAGTAATCTTTTTTTTTTAATTATACTTTAAGTTTTAGGGTACATGTGCACATTGTGCAGGTTAGTTACATATGTATACATGTGCCATGCTGGTGTGCTGCATCCACTAACTCGTCATCTAGCATTAGGTATACCTCCCGATGCTATCCCTCCCCCCTCCCCCCACCCCACCACAGTCCCCAGAGTGTGATATTCCCCTTCCTGTGTCCATGTGATCTCATTGTTCAATTCCCACCTATGAGTGAGAATATGCGGTGTTTGGTTTTTTGTTCTTGCAATAGTTTACTGAGAATGATGATTTCCAATTTCATCCATGTCCCTACAAAGGACATGAACTCATCATTTTTTATGGCTGCATAGTATTCCATGGTGTATATGTGCCACATTTTCTTAATCCAGTCTATCATTGTTGGACATTTGGGTTGGTTCCAAGTCTTTGCTATTGTGAATAATGCCACAATAAACATACGTGTGCATGTGTCTTTATAGCAGCATGATTTATAGTCCTTTGGGTATATACCCAGTAATGGGATGGCTGGGTCAAGTGGTATTTCCAGTTCTAGATCCCTGAGGAATCGCCACACTGACTTCCACAATGGTTGAACTAGTTTACAGTCCCACCAACAGTGTAAAAGTGTTCCTATTTCTCCACATCCTCTCCAGCACCTGTTGTTTCCTGACTTTTTAATGATTGCCATTCTAACTGGTGTGAGATGGTATCTCATTGTGGTTTTGTTTTGCATTTCTCTGATGGCCAGTGATGATGAGCACTTTTTCATGTGTTTTTTGGCTGCATAAATGTCTTCTTTTGAGAAGTGTCTGTTCATGTCCTTTGCCCACTTTTTGATGGGGTTGTTTGTTTTTTTCTTGTAGATTTGTTTGAGTTCATTGTAGATTCTGGATATTAGCCCTTTGTCAGATGAGTAGGTTGCGAAAATTTTCTCCCATTTTGTAGGTTGCCTGTTCACTCTGATGGTAGTTTCTTTTGCTGTGCAGAAGCTCATTGTTCTCAGTGTCATGGGGTTCTACTTCCTTATTCGAAGATCCTTAGTAATTTTAGGCAACAAATGTCCAAAGTTCTTTGTAGGTACAGTTTTTATGGAGGCTTAAATCCCCTCATAGGCAGTGTGCATATGATGTCCTGAATGCATACCTTATTTTAAGTCAAGAATAGGTGCTTCTTTTGTGTTAAACTCTAATGAAATTACTATCTAAATGTTTTTGTCTTGCATTCTACAGGGACTATTTTTCTGTGTATCATCCATAAGCCTCTGACATGCACTAAACAATGAATGTTAAATTGCCATCAGTTCAAAGTTATTTCATGTTTATTGTGACAAAATCATATTTATAATTTTCAATTATGATATTCTTATTTTGCCACAAAATATGCTAACATCAGAAGTATCAACATTTACCCACTTCATACCCACTTCCGTTAAGGCTAAAGAAGAATGTTTTTATTTTAATATTCATAGAAATTAAGTACCAAAAATTTAAGGTTTTTTTAGACTTTTCCTCTTTTTGTTACTGCTAAAGGCTCTGCTTTTATACATTATATGCATAAACACAAATATATCTTTTAAGATCTATTGCTAATACATTAAAAGATATGAGCATATGCTGATACCAACAATCCCAATCCAGTATAATGAAGCTCACTCTAGTCTTCCTCTTTCTGCATTTGTAGCCATTGTGTACAACAGTGATAAACTTGCTTTCATTATTTTCAATATAAGCAGTTATTTGCTTAGTCCTAGAAGACACAAAAAAAGAAGTTTCTGGGTGAGTAACCCATATCTATGTTTTAAAAAAGCCTGTTTAATATTTGGAATACATATTTTGTACAGGTTTCTTTTGGCTTGTACTTTATGGTATCAAAATCCTGTTTTACAAAGTCAGGCTAATAATTTTTCTTTTTCTTTTTATTTTAGGTTTGGGGTATAGGTATTGGATAGGTAATCTCTTTTCGTGGGAATGTGTTGTACAGATTACTTCATCACCCAAATACTAAGCCTAGTACCCAATAGTTATTTTTTCTGATCTACTCCCTCCTCCTAATTTCCACCCTCCAGTAGGTCCCAGTGTCTGTTTTTCCTCTCTTTGTGTCCATGTGTTCTCAGCATTTAGTTCCCACTTGTAAGTGGGAACATACAGTATTTGTTTGTTGTTGTTGTTGTTGTTGTTGTTCCTCCATTAGTTTGCTAAGGATTATGGCCTCCAGCTCCATCCATGTTCCTGCAAAAGAGGTGATCTTGTTCTTGTTTATGGTTGTATAGTATTTCATGGTGTTTATGTACTACATTTTCTTGATTCAGTCTATGACTGATGGGCATTTAGGTTGATTCTATGTCTTTGCAATTGTGAATAGTGCTGCAGTGAACATACACATGTTTGTGTCTTTATGGTAGAACAATTTATATATGTATTTATATATAACAATTTATATATATATATGGTATATATCCTTTGGGTATATACCAGTAATGGGATGGCTGGGTAGAATAGCAATTCTGTTTTTAGCTCTTTGAGGAATTGCCACACTACTTTCTACAATGGTTGAACTAATTTACACTCCCACCAACAATATGTAAGTGTTTGATTTTCTCCATAACCTTGCCAGCGTCTGTTATTTTTTGACCTTTTAAGAATCAGGCTAATATTTCTCTTCTCCACTCCTTTGATGTGATCATATTATACACCCATCTGTTAGTATTGCATTCCATTTTGGTGTTCCCATCACATCATGGTTGATAAATATTTATTTAATTTTTTGAATATGTAAAATTTGAGATTGTTTTGGAAGTCTAAACTATACAAAAGAATATAGACAGATAAATGTCACTCCATTCTTATTTCTTCTCTTCCATTCCAATTCTTACATTGTGTCATTGCATGGATTCCCACACACTTGTGTATTCTCATTAGATTCTGGTTTCTCCTTGCTGTATACATGAGCAGATAACATGCTTATTGCTTATTTCCTTTTCTTTGTTACATGAAAGATTGCAGCCTAGAGATATTCTTTGTAATTTTCACTAAATGATAGGTTTTGGAAATTGCTGGATATTAGTTCATAGAGTCCTTCCTGGTTCTTTCTTTTACACCTTAATAGTGAAAGGAGGTTAAAGAGACAAGACATCTAGATGCAATGTATGATACAGGCCCAGAAAAAGGAAAATAGTGGGACAGTTCTAAAATTTGACTATGGTCTCTAGATTGGATAATAGGATTGTATCAGTGTTAATTTCCTGATTTTGATTAATGGTACTATGGTAATACAAAATGTGAACAATTTAAAGGCAAGTTGTTAATCCTTGTTTCCCTCCTATTCTCCACCTAAGCATTCTCCCACGGTAATATCAACCAGTTTAACTACGCGCGCGCGCGCACACACACACACACACACACACACACACACCATACACTATATATATATATATATATTTTAAATATATATATTTGAAAGTTTATATTTTCAGCACTGCCCTTATCCTGCAACATGTATTTAAATATAAGTAAATAGTTCTACTTGTATGCTAGTCACAAGAAAGCACTATATGTCTTCATATCCTATAAGAACTTATCAAAAACTGCTCCTTCCACAGCTGTCTTCTTCTCAATGAATAGTTATACTACATACCCAATAGCTCAAACTGCATCACCTAGGCTAGTCCTCCTACTGTTCTCCTACCATGCCAAACTTTTATTTTAGATAAAAACTTTTATCTAAAAGTTTTTAACCTTTATTTTAGATAACTCTCTATTTCTCGATTACAGATTATCAAATCATAATTTTTATTTCTTTTACAGACTGTGACCCATTAGAAATTATCTATTTCATTTATTTATTTTCCATACTCAGTAACTCAATTTAAACCCTATGAAAGCAACATAGTGTACTGTTCTGCTAATGATCTTTTCATTAAAACTAATTAACTAATTCCAATTTTTTTTTAGAAAATACAAAGTTTTATGGATATATTAACCTGTGTCATCCTGAAATGTATTCCAAATTTTCCTTTTACTATTTTTATAGATCCATCTGGTGGTTCATTTTAAGTGACAGACACATTGTTACATTTTCTTGTGAAGAATATGAGTGTATTGAGTTGAGAGGAAAGAAAAAAGGGAAATTAGCTTGTTATCTGTTTGACTGATTCCAATTACTTGGCATAAGTCAGAACACAGCAAGGGGAATACTGCCAAGAAAAGAAAGAAAAGTTGCAGTCTTATCATTTCTTTGCAGGTGGTCATCATTCATAGCTCAAAGTGGCTTTCTTTTGCCTTCAGTGTAAGCAGTTTCAGAGTTGTAGATATTGACACACTGTAGAAAAGTTCACCTTTGTCAGTTAAAAAGAAGAAAAGTTCAACATCAGTTTTATTTAAGCATTCGTTTGCAATTCAAGTAAGTGTTATCATATAACCTAAAGAAGAAAAAATATTATACAAGGATGATCATGAGATGTACACCGTTGACACATATGTAATGCTGAAACTTCTCTACTCTAAACATTTTACTCAGGTTCAGTATTTGCCTGAGCATCATAAATAAATGCTTATCTTTCTTTATAAAACTCGAGCCCATGTGGGATGCAATGGTTCACAAACCAGTCCTGTTTGCATAATGGAGACTGTCAATCACAGAAAAGGGTGATTTATTCATTTGTCAAGGAAAAGGGAAGTATTCTTATTAACATTAGTAAATCATACCACACATATTCTACAGATATTTAACTTATATCTCCCATAAGGTGCTGCTCTTCCCTTATTGAGGCACATTTTCTTTAGGAATCCGAAGAAATACTGTGTGAAATAGTAGAGAGTGCAACCAATACTTCAGCACCTTCTGCCAGGGCAAATGTAGCAACACAAAACTGCTTTTGACCTAGTGTTTAATGAATAGCCTGTTTCTTCAACACACTGTGTTGATTTGTAGCATAGGTTTTATATACAAATATAGCAATGGACACTCCCATAATGTTGTATTCTAGCTAGACAACATTGGTTATTTAATCTTTCCCCAAAGTCAAGCATCTATTATTGTCTTCCTATTGAAAGTCACCGCATGTTCTCACTCATAAGTGGGAGCTGAACAATGAGAACACATAGGCACAGGGAGGGGAACATCACACACTGGTGCCTATCTGGGGGTGGGGGGCAAGGGTAGGGATAGCATTAGGAGAAATACCTAATGTAGATGATGAGTTGATGGCTGCAGCAAACCACCGTGGCACATGTATACCTATGTAACAAACCTGCATGGTCTTCACATGTATCCCAGAACTCTTAAAGTATAATAATAATAAAAAAGATCAAGAGCATACTAGGAGGATATATTTGAGGCCTGGGTAATAAGAAATAATCAATAATAATGTCAATATAAAAAAATTGACAAACAACCCAATAGAAAAATAAGAAGAAACATTAACAGGCAACTAATGGAAGAAATATAAATAGCTAATTAACGTGTAAAAATATACTTCATTAACAAGCAAAGAAATGTAAATTAAAATAAGGTATGTTTTGCCTGATTGACAAACATGATAAAGGTTAATGGTATCTAACGTTAGTGATAATATTAAGTTGGTATAACTTGCTGTGAAAAGACATTTATTTATTTTTTTATTTTATTTTATTTTTTATTATACTTTAAGTTTTAGGGTACATGTGCACATTGTGCAGGTTAGTTACATATGTATCCATGTGCCATGCTGGTGCGCTGCACCCACTAACTCGTCATCTAGCATTAGGTATATCTCCCGATGCTATCCCTCCCCCCTCCCCCCACCCCATCACAGTCCCCAGAGTGTGATATTCCCCTTCCTGTGTCCATGTGATCTCATTGTTCAATTCCCACCTATGAGTGAGAATATGCGGTGTTTGGTTTTTTGTTCTTGCGATAGTTTACTGAGAATGATGATTTCCAATTTCATCCATGTCCCTACAAAGGACATGAACTAATCATTTTTTATGGCTGCATAGTATTCCATGGTGTATATGTGCCACATTTTCTTAATCCAGTCTATCATTTTTGGACATTTGGGTTGGTTCCAAGTCTTTGCTATTGTGAATAATGCCACAATAAACATACGTGTGCATGTGTCTTTATAGCAGCATGATTTATAGTCCTTTGGGTATATACCCAGTAATGGGATGGCTGGGTCAAGTGGTATTTCCAGTTCTAGATCCCTGAGGAATCGCCACACTGACTTCCACAATGGTTGAACTAGTTTACAGTCCCACCAACAGTGTAAAAGTGTTCCTATTTCTCCACATCCTCTCCAGCACCTGTTGTTTCCTGACTTTTTAATGATTGCCATTCTAACTGGTGTGAGATGGTATCTCATTGTGGTTTTGATTTGCATTTCTCTGATGGCCAGTGATGATGAGCATTTTTTCATGTGTTTTCTGGCTGCATAGATGTCTTCTTTTGAGAAGTGTCTGTTCATGTCCTTCGCCCACTTTTTGATGGGGTTCTTTGTTTTTTTCTTGTAAATTTGTTTGAGTTCATTGTAGATTCTGGATATTAGCCCTTTGTCGGATGAGTAGGTTGCGAAAATTTTCTCCCATTTTGTAGGTTGCCTGTTCACTCTGATGGTAGTTTCTTTTGCTGTGCAGAAGCTCTTTAGTTTAATGAGATCCCATTTGTCAATTTGAAAAGAAATTTATTATATTTGAAATTTTTATGCCCTTTGACTCAATAATTCCATGTTGAACAATTTATCCTTCAGATTGACTCACATAAGCAAGTAAGCATAACATGTACAGGGATGTGTTTTCTGCAATACAGCTTATGAGACTGGAAGTTTACCTAGTGCAAGGACTTTGTTCTGTTCACCACTGAATCTTCATGCCTGTAGGAATGTCCAGCACACAGTAGTAGGTGGTTCAATGAATATGCATTGAATGAAAAAATGAAAAATGAAAAAATTGGAAACAACCTATCAAAAAGACTAGTTAAATAAATTCAAGTACTTTAAAAACATCATATTGCTATATAGGGGTTAAAATAATAATTAAAAAGCTATAATAAATTCATACTGCTACTAAAAGCACAAGTTGTTGACTGTTTACATTCTAGTACTATTTGCATGTGTAAAAAATAAAAATAAATATAAAACTTATGTACATACATATATAGAATTACATAAAATTATATATAAAATTGAATTTTTTTCAAAAAGAGTCTTTAAAAAAAGAACCATTCTCAAAGCTGCAGACACATCAGTATGTCATAATATGCTTCAAAGGAGAATCACTTTTTTTATTATTAGAAATATTTCTTAGCACTTTGCAATAAATAGCTTCACTCATTCTTTAAAACAGCCATTGAGTACTTCATCAAATATATATTAATAGACTTATACTGCCAGGTTCTCTAGAGATACTAGGAATAAAATTGTGAGAAAAAGTGTGTTGCCCACATGGAGCCTAGAGTTTGTGTGGAAATAGGCATTGATGAGTTAGTCATCAGAATTCAGTGCTATAAAAAGCTTGAAAGCACATAATTGGACATAGTGGAAGAGTTCATTAGAAAAAAATTATGCTGTCAATTGGTGGACGAGTAGAAAACATGGATGAAGAATGAACTCCATGTTTATATACAGTTTTTTTTTATATGGACAAAACAAGCTTCTTATATTAACACAATATGAAGTAGAAATTATGGTAGATAAGAGGGTCATAAGATAATGAATTCATGGTTCTTCCCATGTCATCAAGGAATATATGTCTTAATAATGCAAGATCATAACAAGATAAATATGTATTAAGTAGTTCACTATGGTTTTCATGTTTGTATCTTTGTATTAATAATTAGCATTATTTGTTAATCTTACTGCAAAACAGGAGAATGCAGAGCTGCAAGAAATGCTCAGTTTGAAGAACTGACAGAAGTAGGCATCAGAAGGTGGGTAATAACAAACTCCTCTGAGCTAAAGGAGCATGTTCTAACCCAAGGCAAGGAAGTTAGGAACCTTGAAAAAAGGTTAGAGGAATTGCTAACTAGAATAACCAGTTTAGAGAAGAACATAAATGACCTGATGGAGCTGAAAAACACAGCACAAGAACTTCCTGAAGCGTACACAAGTATCAATAGCCAAATTGACCAAGCAAAAGAAAGGATATCAGAGATTGAAGATAAACTTAATGAAATATAGCATGAATAAAATATTAGAGAAGAAAGAATGCGAACGAATGAACAAAGACTCCAAGAAATATGTGAAAAGACCAAACCTACGTTTGACTGGTGTACCTGAACGTGACAGGGAGAATGGAACCAAGTTGCAAAACACTCTGCAGGATATTATCCAGGAGAACTTCCTCAACCTAGCAAGACGGGCCAACATTCAAATTCAGGAAATAGAGAGAACACCACAAAGATACTCCTTGAGAAGAGCAACCCCAAGACACATAATCATCAGATTCGCCAAGGTTGAAATGAAGGGAAAAATGTCAAGGGCAGCCAGAAAGAAAAGGTGAGTTACCCACAAAGGGAAGCCCAACAAACTAACAGCGGATCTCTCTGCAGAAACCCTACAAGCCAGAAGAGCGTGGGGGCCAATATTCAACATTCTTAAAGAAAAGAATTTTCAACCCAGAATTTTGTATCCAGCCAAACTAAGCTCCATAAGCAAAGGAGAAATATAATCCTTTACAGACAAGCAAATGCTGGGAGATTTTGTCACCACCAGGCCTGCCTTACAAGAGCTCCTGAAGGAAGCACTAAACCTGGAAAGGAAAAACTTGTACCAGCCACTGCAAAAACATACTACATTGTAAAGATAATCAACACTATGAAGAAACTACGTCAAGTAACGGGCAAAATAACCAGCTAGCATCATAATGACAGGATCAAGTTCACACATAACAATATTAACCTTAAATTTAAATGGGCTAAACGCCCCAATTAAAAGACACAGACTGGCAAATTAGATAAAGAGTCAAGACCCATCAGTGTGCTGAATTCAGGAGACCCATCTCACACGCAAAAACACACATAGGCTCAAAATAAAGGGATGGATGAATATTGACCAAGCAAATGGAAAGAAAAAAAAAAAGCAGGAGTTGCAATTCTAGTCTCTGATAAAACAGACTTAAAAAAAACAAAGATCAAAAAAGACAAAGAAGGGCATTCCATAATGGTAAAGGGATCAATGCAACAAGAATAAGTAACTATCCTAAATATATATGCACCCAATACAGGAGCATCCAAATTCATAAAGCAAGTTCTTAGAGACCTACAAAGAGACTTAGACTTCCATAGAACAACAGTGGGAGACTTTAACACCCCACTGTCAGTATTAGACAGATTAAGGAGAAAGAAAATTAACAAGGATATTCAGGACTTGAACTCAGCTCTGGACCATGGAGACCTAATAGACATCTATCGAACTCCCCACCCCAAATCAACAATATACATTCTTCTCAGCACCACATCGCACTTATTCTAAAATTGACCACATAATTGGAAGTAAAACACTCCTCAGCAAAGGCAAAAGAATGGAAATCATAACACAGTCTCTCAGACTACAGTGCAAACAAATTAGGACTCAGCATTAAGAAACTCTCTCGAAACCACACAACTACATGGAAACTGAACAACCTGCTCCTGAATGACTACTGGGTAAATAACGAAATTAAGGGAGAAATACATAAGTTCTTTGAAACCAATGAGACCAAAGACACAACATACCAGAATCTCTGGGTAACAGCTAAAGCAGTATCTAGGGGGAAATTTATAACACTAAATGCCCACAAGAGAAAGTAGGAAAGATCTAAAATTGGCACTCTAACATTTCAATTAAAATAACTAGAGAAGAAAGAGCAAATAAACTCAAAAGCTAGCAGAAGACAAGAAATAACTAAGATCAGACCAGAACGGAAGGAGATAGAGACACGAAAAACCCTTCAAAAAATAAATGAATCCAGGAGCTGGTTTTTTAAAAAGATCAACAAAATATATAGACTGCTGGCCAGACTAATAAAGAAGAAAAGAGAGAAGAATCAAATAGACACAATAAAAAATGATAAAGGAGATACCACCACTGATCCCACAGAAATACAAACTACCATCAGAGAATACTATACACACACCTATGCAAATGAACTAGATTATCTAGAAGAAATGGATAAATTCCTGGACACGTACACCCTCCCATGACTAAAGCAGGCAGAAGTGGAATCCCTGAATAGACCAATAACAAGTTCTCAGATTGAGGCAGTAATTAATAGCCTACCAACCAAAAAAAAGCTCGGGACCAGATGGATTCACAGCCAAATTCTCCCAGAGGTACAAAGAGGAGCTGGTACCATTCCTTCTAAAACTATTCCAAACAATAGAAAAAGAGGGACTCCTCCCTAACTAATTTTATGAGGCCATCATCATCCTCATACCAAAACCTGGCAGAGACACAACAACAAAAAAAGAGAATTTCAGGCCATATCCGTGATAAACATTGATGCGAAAATCCTCAATAAAATACTGGCAAACCGAATCCAGCAGTGTATCAAAAAACTTATCTAACACGATCAAGTCGACTTCATACCTTGGATGCAAGCCTGGTTTAACATACATAAATCAATAAACAAAATCCATCACATAAACAGAACCAATGACAAAAACCACATGATTATCTCAATAGATGCAGCAAAGGCCTTCAATAAAATTCAACACCCCTGCATGCTAAAAACTCTGAATAAACTAGGTATTGATGGAACATATCTCAAAATAATAAGATCTATTTAGGACAAACCCACAGCCAATAACATACTGAATGGGCAAAAGGTAGAGGTATTCCCTTTGAAAACTGGCACAAGACAAGGATGCCCTCTCTCACCACTCCTATTCAACATAGTATTGGAAGTTCTGGCCAGGGCAATCAGGCAAGATAAAGAAATAAAGGATATTTGAATAGGAAGAGAGGAAGTCAAATTGTCTCTGTTTGCAGATGACATGATTGTATATTTAGAAAACCCTTTGACACAGTCCAAAATCTCCTTAAGCTGATAAGCAACTATAGCAAAGTCTCAGGATACAAAATCAATGTGCAAAAATCACAAGCATTCCTATACACCAATAACAGACCAACAGAGAGCCAAATCACGAGTCAACTCCCATTTACAGTTGCTGCAGAGAGAATAAAATACCCAGGAATACAACTTACAAGGGATGTGAAGGACCTCTTCAAGGAGAACTACAAACCACTGCTCAAGGAAATAAGAGAGGACACAAACAAATGGAAAAACATTCCATGCTCATGGATAGGAAGAATGAATATCATTAAAATGGCCATACTGCTCAAAGTAATATAAAGATTCAATGCTATCCCCATCAGTACTATTGACTTTCTTCACAGAATTAGAAGGAACTACTTTACATTTCATGTGGAACAAAAAAAGAGTCCGAAGAGCCAAGACAATCGTAAGCAAAAGGAACAGAACTGGAGTCATCTCGGTACCTGACTTCAAACTGTACTACTGCAAGGCTATAGTAACCAAAACAGCATGGTACTAGTACCAATCCAGATATATAGACAAATGGAACAGAGCAGAGACCTCAGGAATAATGCCACACAACTACAACCATCTGATCTTTGACAAACCTGACAAAAACAGGCAATGGGGAAAGGATTCCCTATATAATAAATGGTGTTGGGAAAACTGGCTAGCCATATGCAGAAAATTGAAACTACACCCCTTCCTTACACCTTATACAAAAATTAACTCAACATGGATTAAAGACTTAAACATAATACCTAAAACCATAAAAACCCTAGAATAAAACCTAGGCAATACCATTCAGGACATAGGCGTGGGCAAAGACTTCATGACTAAAACATTAAAAGCAATGGCAACAAAAGCCAACATTGACAAATGGGATCTAATTAAACTAAAAAGCTTCTGCACAGCAAAAGAAACTATCATCTGAGTGAACAGACACCCTACAGAATGGGAGGAAATTTCTAAAATCTATTCATCTGACAAGGGTCTAATATCCAAAATCTACAAAGAATTTAAACAAATTCATAAGAAAAAAACAAACAACCCTGTCAAAAAGTGTGCCAAGTATATGATCAGACAAGTCTCAAAAGAAGACATTTATGCGACCAACAATCATATGAAAAAAGCTCAACATGATTGGTCCTTAGAGATATGCAAATCAAAAACACAATGAGATACCATCTCATGCCAGTTAGTATGGTAATCATTAAAAAATCAGGAAACAACAGATGCTGGAGAGGATGTGGAGAAATAGGAACACTTTTACACTGTTGGTGGGAATGTAAATTAGTTCAACCATTGTGGAAGACAGTGTGGTGATTCCTCAAGGATCTAGAACCAGAAACACCATTTGACCCAGCAATCCCATTACTGGGTATATAGCCAAAGGATTATAAATTATTCCACTCTAAAGACACATGCACATGCATATTTATTGTGGCACTATTCGCAATAGCAAAGACTTGGAACTAACCCAACTGCCCATCAATGTTAGACTGGATAAAGAAAATGTGGCATATATGCACCATGAAATAAGTTGCAGCCACAAAAAAGCATGAGTTCATGTCCTTTGCAGGAACATGGGTGTAGCTGGAAACTATCATTCTCAGCAAACTAACACATGAACAGAAAACCAAACACCAGATGTTCTCACTCATAAGTGGGAGTTGAACAATGAGAACACATGGACACAGGGAGGGGAACATCACGCACCAGGGCCTGTGAGGAGGTGGGGGGTGGGGGAGGGATAGCATTAGGAGAAGTACTTAATGTGGCTGAAGGGTTGATGAGTGCAGCCAACCACCATGACACCTGTATATCTATGTAACAAACCTGCACGTTCTGCACATGTATCCCAGAACTTGAATTATAATTAAAGAAAAACTGTATGTAATTTTTTATGAATATGTGCCTGTTTAGTGAAAGCTAATAAAGTACTCAAGCATTCTTTTAACTCTAAAAAAAAAAAAGATGAAGTACAATTTTATGGCATTTGACTTCAAGGACTATAGGCTACACAGGGGCACATATCTTAAAAATTGAAATATTCTAATTACATCAATATTATGCTCAGTCTTTCTTAAAGGGCAAAAATAGCAAATATTCCTGTATTATTTTAGAGCTGAAACTTGCCTGTATAATATTTTCTCATAAGTACGTTTTCTTATATATAACATGTGTAGCATAGTACCCCTTCTTTGCTCTCCCATAGAGAATCTTGTAAAAAAATAGATACGTACATTATTGATGAAATTTAAATAATATTTCTAGGTATCTCAAAGCTTGTTTTAATCTTTGGAATTAATGATGTGGATGTTGTGTTAATAATACAGATATGTCCTATATATTAATATTTTGTCTGCAATTTTATTTCTATGTGTTGGTAAATAATATTTACCTTCTCTTTACTGAAAAGTAGTTTTTCTACATTTTTAAGTTGCTTTTTTTGAGCAGAACTGGGAGGGATGGCTATGAAATAGTAAAAGATACTCCATAGCCAGGTAAATTATTTCAATCAACCTGGAAATAAATGAGTAACATGTTATAGCCTCACATCCTACATTATATATTCTTACATCCTACATTCAATTATTTATAAGAATTTTCTTTGACATTTTTTACCTAAAACAATAAAGTTATCACAATAGATATGTCTGTCCACATTGTATAGATTTTTTTTAAAGCAAGACTGAAAGTTTAAGTGATGTACCCAAATTATGGTGCTTGCAAATAGTGCAGGTACTTTTTTTAATGAAAAGATTTCATAAATTGAATTTCTGAGGCTGTATGGATTAAGTCACTGCAAGATATGAAATCCAGTGTGATCACCTCTAACTTAAACTCTTCAAAACTGTGACAATTATAGTAGAGAAGGGAAATGCTCTTAAGCCAATAAGCCCTTTTAAAATGTACCTAACACAAAGTACTTATATTTATTACTTTGGAGAAGATATGATTATGTCACACAAGACTAAGGAAAACATAAAGCAAAGCAAAATGTCTCCTTCATAATAGTTATGATAAATGTGCATTTAGATGATTTGAGATTTTCCACTTTCTTGCGGAGTTACTTATAAACATTATGATGCACTATAAAAGATTACTTTTCAATTTCTCTGTGACACCTGTGATCATATTGTACTTACATTTCTGCTGCTATTCTGAAAACTCGCATTTTCTGAGATAGTTAGGAGATCACTTACTACATATAAATTATTTCATTTGTACCAACAGATAGATTGGCACATACCTAATATACTCTCAGTTAAACAAAACCTCTCATTTTCTTCAACACGCGCTTTATATGCAATCATCTCTGGCCATGTATTCTAGACATTACTATTGAGTAAGCACAGTGGTGGAACTTACTATAAAAATGACAGCAGTATTTTTCTGTGACCTATGCTCAGATTTTTCTTAGTCCATGGATTCAGTCAGTGAACTGGAACAGTTTGAGAGTTGAAAGTCTTGTTTCTGTTGACA
Organism: Homo sapiens; assembly: GCF_000001405.40. Taxonomy (NCBI): domain Eukaryota; kingdom Metazoa; phylum Chordata; class Mammalia; order Primates; family Hominidae; genus Homo; species Homo sapiens. The sequence continues at coordinate 191,055,692 of NC_000001.11, read as the reverse complement.
AGCTTTTCAGCTTGATGTCTCAGATGCACAGTATTTACCAGTTTACCATTTTAGAGATGAATGCCTCGATGGAGCAAAAATAATGATTCAACTCTTCAGATAAAAGTTCGAAACCCTCTTTAAATAAAACAAATCTTGCATCTCAAGTGATATAAATTGTCTAAAGCAAACTAGAAAATATGCTCAATCATGAGCAGCTATTTCACTTCATAATAGGATTCTTATAGAAATTCTCTGAGTTTGAAACTAGAAGCAGTAAAGGCAGTGTTATATGGAAAAAAATTAAAGGTATTACGTAAGCCCTTAGGGGAGCATTCATCAAGCAATTTTCACATCTGGAAATTCATACTTATTGTTTGTTTTTATTCCTTGATTATTTAAATGCTTTAGCTTTCTCTATGTGTACAGACTTATAAATCAATATGCATTATTAAATAAACAGTAGCTAGCTGTCTGTGCCACACAATTTAAAACTTTATGGAAATCTTAAATATTATTGTTATGGTTTATTTGCCTTCCCTGTTAAGCTGATAAAACAACACATCAGTGATTGGACTTTCTCTTATTCCTTTGATCCTTAAGAATAAAATGTTACTTTAAATCTTTATGTTCTTACCAACTAAATGAATTCTTTTTAAAATTCATTTTGTTATTAGATTTGGAGAAGAAGGGAGTTCTCTAATTGCCTAGAAGGAAGACTATGTTTTTATAAATATGAAATGGTACACAAACTATTGGTAAAAACTGAAACATTCTGTTGAGTTTCATTCAACATGTCAATTAGTAGGAATTGTGTAGGAAAAAATAATTTTCTCTTGGGCTTCTCTTTAAAATAATATTAGTGCCTATATTCCATATGTTAGCACTTAACAGGGCTTTAAGTTTAAAATAGTTTTCTTTATGATACAAGTAAAGAAGTCAAGGCCTAGAATAATTACGCCATTTACTCAAACTCACAGGTTATTAACAAAAATGGAGTAAAACTCAATATTAACACCTTTTGTATGTATTTTAAGGTATTCCAAACTGTACCACTTATGGAATTTCTGAAAATTACATAGCATCGTTCTGTTGAGATTTTTGTGAATAATGGAGGGCTTGAAGTTGTTCTGTTTTACTCAGATTGGGTATCTCAACTGGATCTTTGCATGTTTTATGTAGCGATTTAATTCATTCTGTTAAGATTTAATGAAGATTAGTGAAAATGGACTTTGGGCAGAAAATAAATTTCTGTAAGGAAGGAAAATATAGAGGGAAAAACTGAATGCATTTATTCTAAATATCTATTGATATGGCTAATATTATAACATAATAGGCCAAAACTTGGTAATAGCATTCTATTCCAAATTTTAACTTAAACAAAAATGTTACAATACCTACCAAATGTTGCCACCATATTAAATGAAAGATGATCTTATCTTACTAGCATTTATTTCCATAGCTCCATTGTATGAGGCACTGTCTCCCCAGGCCCATGCTACATACACTCCCACTTTTTCTTATCCCATTCAAATATATGGTTTAAAATAGTTTCCATCAAATAAACAAAAATTAAACAAATAATCTAAAATAAAAATATCTTTAGAACTTGCTCTTTTCAGATACTGTGGGTCTACTTTTCTTTGTTATAAGGTGTTATGGTTAATTTTAAATGTCAACTTGACTACATTAGAGAATACATAGAAAAATGGTAAAGCATTACTTCTGGGTGTTTCCAGAAGAAATTGGTGTGTGAGTCAGTGGACTGGCTGCAGAAAACCTCAGTGTTGTTAGGCACTGTCCAATCGTCTGGGAGCTGGATACAACAGAAAAGGCAGACAATTGATTTTCTTTCTTTCTCCTGGAACTTGAATTCTCTTCTTGTCTCTGGACATCAAATTCTAGTCTATCTGGCCTGTGGACTCTGGGACTTTTTCCAGATACTCCCCAGGTTCTCAAACCTTTGGTCTCAAATTGAATATTAAACCATTGACTTCCCTGGTTCTGAAGCTTTCAGATTGAGGCTGAGCCTCCATAATCTCATGAGCCAATTATCCTATAAATCCTCTCCCCTTCCACCTCTCTCTCTCTCTGTCTGTCTCTCTCTCTCTCTCATTGGTTTTGTCTCTCTAGAGAACTCTGACTAATACATAAGAAAATAAAAAAAAATAAAGTCTAACTTTCAACATTATTGTAAGAATTGAATGGCTTCTAGTGGACACTCAGTCAGCATATGGTCTCTCTTTCACCGCTGCCATTATGCATGTGAAGTCATAACGCTAACTCTGTTATTTTTCTTAACTCTAGACTGCATGCAACACAACCTGTGTTGTTATGAGAACTTACCATTTGCCCTATCTATACTGCCTTGCCATTCCCCACCAAACCCACCCAGCTACATGCTCATTATTTTCAAGCCATCCAACTATGCCCTTTTAAATAGTTTCCCTCATGACAAAATTTTTACTGAGACTAAAACATCCTAGATTATTACTTTGGAATAATTTGAGTCACAATGTACTATAAACTTGTGAGAACGTTTTATTCTGTCACATATTTCTTAATCTCTTGCATGTTAGAGCCATTACTACTCAACCCCCATGTACAAAAGAATTTCCAATTGCGTATGCCAACCACGTCATTCTGTTTATCGTCCTGGATCTGCTATCTGCATTTCCTCAGTTTGTCATTAATTTTGTAGTCCACCGATGTTGAGTTATTGCTTATCATTTCTGAACTATTTTAGGTCATGATTTATTTTTACGTTCTCATTCTAATCTGTCTTAGATTTTGATAATTTTAATATAAACATAGAGAATCCCCTCAGCATCATGTCTTCTCCTTCCTAAATCTTGCTCAACAGTAATTAACACCTCAGTTTTCCTATTAGCATCTGCCCACTTGTCATTTCCCACCTTTAGTATATATGTTCTTTTCATACTCCTTACAAAAACTTCTCTTCTTTAGTGCACTAATTCCCACTTAATGTTGCCCATGCAAAGGCAAAGCTTCTGCAATTTTCTCTTCCTGGCCTCACTCTTTTTCTCTTTGATGGATCATTTTCATCAGTGTGCATGTATGCTGGCCTTTCTCTTATCTAAAACCAGACAACAAATAAACAACCAGACAATGCCTCACTTTGGGATTCTCCATTTCAAAAACAAACAAACAAAGTATTGTCTTTAACCTGTTTCCAATTATTTTATTTTGCTCTGTGGTTCACTTGCTGATCAAGATTTCATACATTTCCACCATATAATATAATTATTCCTAAAAGGTCAACACTTACTTTCACTTTGCTAATTCCAGTGGTCAGTTATCAGTCTCTATTTGTGTTAATCTATATTTCCTCCTCCTTAATACTTTTTATACCATTTGGTTTCCAAGATGTTATACTGGTGTGATGCTTCTTTCTTCTCTTCTATCTATTATGGTGAATTATTCCGCTCATCCCTGGACAGTTAGGTAATCCCTCAATTTTGGGATCTTTTCTCTTTTCTATCTATACTCTTGCCTTTGATAATTACACCTGGTCTATGACATTAAACGTCATCAATATACCAACAATTTACCGTCTTCTTCTCAATTCCTGTTGCCCTCTTCACTTTTTTTCATCTGGCTCTGTATCTTGTGGGCACAACCTTTAAAGATTATATCAAAGAAGGCCCCTTGTGTAATATAGTTGTTTTTGTTTGTTTGTTTTAATGCTGTTTTGACCGAGGTTTGAGGCTTTGGCTACTGACCAGCTAGTTCCTCTTCTTAAGAAGCTGATTAAGTCCACACTCCAGCTTCTTTCCTAATCATGCTGTCAAACTCTGGGCCACTATGCAGCTGCTCTACTTGCCCTGGGTCTAGATACCAGACAACCAGGGCTCTTGTCCAAATGCCTGCGGTAAAATATTCAAATCAGTTAATCTATAGACCACCTGTGAAATCTAGCTTATAATACCCTCCTTGCCATACCTAAGCTTTCCCCTGTAAATCTAGCTTGCTTTTATTTTGTCCCCAAGATCATCCCATGTGACTCCTCCTGGTAGTCTTTAAAAAAAAAAAAAATTGGCAAGTAACCAAGAGTTCCATCTTTCACCTGAGTTTCAAAGTTTTTCATCCTGCCATCAAAAGCATCTTTATATCTTATGAAAACACTTTGACCTCTGACTTCTCTTTACTTTCTTGAGAATAGTGGAACTGGCAGGAGAACAAAGGGGACATTGGTTGAAGTAGTGATTTCCCAGCTCCCTTCTTGAGGGATTAGGTTTGAACGTGGCTGTTTCTCAACCCAAGGGCATGCTCCTATAAGGTAGCCTTCTTGTATGGCTAGAAGTCTCACTGGGTTTTGTGCATCACTCATTTCCCCTGACTTTTATGCACAAGGTAGGTGTTTTCTTCCTGGTTCATCATACCTTGTTGGTTTCTTTTAACCCAGAAAGCAGTTTTGTAGAAATTTCTTTTATGATATTACACTTAATCATTTAATGATGGCTTTGAGAGTTTTATTTGTTTACTACGTGGATCCTGCCAGATAGATGTGAATCTCTGTCATGTATGCTTGGATTATAATCTCCCAACAGGTCTCCCTCCTTCTGCAAGTTCTTTTCAACAGAGCAGATATACTGATCTTATTAAAAGCATGCCCTGTAACAAATTACTAATCTGCTGCCCAAAGCCTTCCAGTGGCTTTCAATTTTGCTTAAAGTAATAGATATATTTTTTAAAAATCCTCACATTAAATGGCCTCTATTATCCTTCTGGTATTATCTCCTACTGTTTCCTCTCCATTACTTCTCCCACTGTAAACAGACTGGCTTTCTTTCCAGAATGCTCACACAGTTGGCATCCCAGGAAATAACCTCAGATTGATTCCTTATTGTATAAGTCTCTTTAACTGTAGAAAGTTGAGAGTTAACTGTATAAATATGTAAGAAATAAAATAAAATCTATCAATTATTTTTTAAACAATCTGTGAATATATAGACTTTAAGTATTTGTCATGTTTGTTATGTTTAAGAAAATATAAACCATTGAAATCATAGTTTAAGCTTAGAATTCTACTTACAATATATAATTCTGTAACTTAATTATATTGTCCATTTTAAGTCAAATTTAATTTTTGATTAAATATATACATATATAAGTTAAGAAGCACCATATTAAAAAGTTTAATTTATATAATTTATAACAATTTGTATATATCTTTGAGTATTTATATGTAATCAATTAAATAAGAAACATATTTGATAAGAAAACTAACTATATTAAATTTAAATGTGGTCAAAAGTACTTTAAGGTGTAAACCAATTCCATAACAGACCAAATACTAATACAAGAACTCTTAAAACTGGTAGTTAATATTTACTAGATTTATAAATACAGACTAGATTTATAAATACATAAATATGGTTTGGAAGTTGAAATTTAGCCTTTGGAAAAATAACATTTTGGATATGCACCAAGAGTAAACTAATAATACAACATAAAAAACTTCTTGAAATTTTTTTATTTGTACATATTTTGGCTTTTACTTGAACTGTACAATTTAGAAGGAAAATTGCCTAACTTTAAACAAATCAGTGAAGCTAAAAGAGTCACAAGCTTCCTGATCTCATCAGAGAGCTGAGGTATTAGGTCAGCCAAATAACCCCAAATTTATGGAAAGGCAGACACTTGCTTGCCAGGGGTAGGCACCAGATGGTAAGAAGAACTTTGCTAACATTTTGAACATTGCTAGAGATGAACTGTGAGCTCATATGAGAAAATAGAACCCATGGGGACCATAGACACAAGGAAAATTTACACTCACTCACAAGCTCTGTGCCAAGAAATTTACTAGGCAGGCAGCTAAAAGATCGAGAGAAGAGTAAGATAGGATAAAGCTTCCACACCGGTGCAGGCATGAGAGAGGCAGAATATACAGCAGGAGAGGCACAGACACACTGGAATCATTCTCCTCATTTCCCTTGTTGAACAAAAGCCTTCAGCCATTGGATAAATGGTAGCAAACACGGTCAGTTTGTGGGCATAGGTGAAGACTCATTATATCAGAAGGAAAGCATTACACACATACACAAACAAGCAAACAAATAAAGTAATAAGTAAATTGTGATCCTATTCTTTTTTCAGGTCATATGCCTTCAAATTTATTTGTCATGTTTGTCATGTTACGGTTCTGATGTTATCTCCTACTGTTCTGTAACTGAATATGCCTTTAAAAGTCCCTATTGCTAGAAGAGTAGCAGGATGGCTCAGGTGATCCTACCCCTGAGACCTAGTGACACAATGTCTGCCTAACACTAAGGCTGAACTATACCAATAGAACACATCCCAAGCCCTCCTTCATCAGCCTAGCCAACATCCAAGAGCAAGTTACACTAGTCTTCTTTTGGGAGAGCAAAATCATGGAAGGAGACCCTTTCTGAGGCACAGGTGAAAAGGTAATACTGAGAGGTTGGGTTGGAGCAAATGCTGATACAAACTCTTCAGTGAACCAGCTCTTACTCTCTGTATGAGACATGTTTGGTGCAATTTAAGCCCCGAGATTCACAGAGGGTAACTATAATGACAACAAAAACAAAGCATGGTGCAATTCATACTAAATCCACCCCACACATAAACAACACAGAAGAGATGTGACAATTTGCAGGCATAAATTCTATTTACCTCAGCCTCTAATTGCCAAGAAAATATGTCCAGATTTCCACCAAGAAATATATGATACACAGTAAAAGACAAAAAAGCAACACACTTTATGGAGATAAAGCAATTAAGAGAACCAGGCTGTAATATGGCATGAAACAGATAATTTAAATAAGTCTAAGAAATATAATAGAATTTCTAGGAAAAAAAAATGTGGAAAACATGAGTGACCTGATAGAGAATTTCAGCAAAGAGATGGATATTCTGAAAGAGTTAAATGGTACTTCTTGAAAAAAAAAAAGTTTAATAACAGAGATGAAGATACTCTTAGATGCACACATCAAATGACTCAACACAGACAAGGTAACTAAATCTACAAGGAGTTTAGAATCTATAAGGAACTCAAACAGATCAGCCAGAAAAAAAAATAATTCCATCAAAAAGTAGGCAAAGGGCATGAAGAGACAACGCTCAAAAGAAGATATACAAATGGCCAACAAATATATGAAAAATGATCACATCATTAATTATCAGGGAAGTGCAAATTAAAACCACAGTGAGATACCACCTTACCCCTGTAAGAATAGCCATAATTAAAAAGTCAAAAAATAATAGATGTTGGCGTGGATGTGGTGAAAAGGCAACACTTTTCCACTCTTGGTGGGAATATAAACCAGTACAACCACTATGGAAAATAGTATGGAGATTCCTTAAAGAGCTAAAAGTAGAACTACCATTTGATCTAGCAATCTCACTACTGGGTACCTACCCAGAGGAAAGGAAGCCATTATATGAAAAAGACATAGGCACATGCATGTTTTAGCAGCATAATTTGGAATTGCAAAAATATGGAACCAGCCTAAATGCCCATCAACCAACAAGTGGATAAAGAAAATATGGTATATACACACAATAGAATATGACTTAGCAATGAAATAATGGCATTTGCAGTAACCTGGAGGTAGTTGGAGATGATTATTCTAATTGAAGTAACTCAGGAATGGAAAACCAAATGTCATACTCTCTCACTCATAAGTGAGAGCTAAGCTATGTGTACACAAAGACCTAAGAATAATATCATGGATTCTGGGGACTTGTGGGGAAGGGTGGGAAGGGAGCAAGGGATAAAAGACTATCCACTGGGTACAGTGTACACTGCTCAGGTGATGGGTGCACCAAAATCTCAGAAATTACCACTAAAGAACTTTTGCATGTAACCAAAAACCACCCGTTCCCCAAAAACTATTGAAATGAAAAATGAAAAAACAAACACAAAGAAAAAACTCACTGAACTGAAAAGAATAAAATACAAATCGACAACTACAGTTATAAAATTCCATATGCTTCACTCAGTCATAAATAGAATAAAAAGACAAAGACTTAAAATGCCTAAATATCACAAGTGACCAACTTAACCTACATGACTTTTATAGAACACTCCATCCAACTACAGTATACTACACTTTCTCTTCAAATAGCCATAGAAAAGTCATCAACATTGACATATGCTGGACACTAAAGCAAACAAATTTTACTCAGTTTATAGACCATAACTGAATTAAAGTAGAAATTAATAACAAAAAGATATCTGAAGTATCCCTAAATATTTGAAAATTACCACTTGATTTATCAATACATCAGGTCTCTCTCTTTAAAGTCTTCTCCTCAATCATCCTTCTGTTTTCCTCGCAAAATATAAAAATGCACAAATGTCCTTTCTAAAGGGCAGTTAAAACCTACACACACACACACACAAATCTACACATAAATGTATATACTTAAACAAAACAAAAAAATAGGTAACTCCTGTTTTCTATTTCACCTCTCTATCTACTTATTTCTCTCTGACCAACCTTTAATTCAATGCAATCTGATACTGTGGAGTGACATTACCACTCCACAGGTAATGTCAAGTCCTAAAATGTAGCAGCATCCTCTGTGTAGTCAAAGTCAATGGACAAAATGTCAGTTCTTACTTTTTATGCCTTGCCCTTTTTGTGGCATTTTGCTTTATGGAAATCTTTTGAAAACTTTATATAAAAATGTTAACTCCTTTAACTTCATTAATTACACTTGGTTTTCTACCTATCTTATCAGTTCTTCAGTTTTATTTATTTGCATAGGATTTTCTTCCTCTCGCAGCCTCTTATTATCTTCCTCGAAGTTAAAATCTTAACTCTTTTCTTTACTCAGACCACCTTTCTGATTTGTTTCTTGCATTCATAGAATTTCAGCTGTCATAGTGTGCAGATTAATCCAAACCTATGTCTTATGCATTCCTGATTAGTGTATTAACTTTATCTATTATCACATATTAAATGTCTGTTATATATTAAGCTTTGCGCTAGGCAGAGGGAATAGAAAGTTTAATTAGAATATAGTTCTTTCTCTCAGTAAGCTTGTGGTTTACAGAGACAAGTTATTTTTAATGCAACAAAAATAATATAGTGGTCATATATGTGTATATATATAATGCACAAAAAAGGCACAAAGATTTGATGAATTCTTTTAAGAAGAAGAGCAGTCAAGAGTGATTTGAAAAAGTTGATGATAATGGACTTGAGTTCTAAATGATGAATATCTTTTGTTTCCTTGTGGTCTAATTGGGTGAAAACTTTCTCTAACATGTATTCTTGCATCCATTCTTAACCCTCCTCAAATTATTATTCACAAGATATCATACTGCTCTTTCAAAAATGCAATTCTGATTATATCACTCCCCAATTTAGAATTCTTCAATAATGTCTATTGCTTTATAAAAACATAACAGGAAGTAAAATGACCACATGGTTTACCCTAGAAATTTTTTTAATATTACATTATTCCTCTCCAACCTTCCTCCATTCAAAACTACTTTAATTGAAGGCATGCTGAAATGGGCAGACTCAAATGCCCTTGTCTGACTTCTTCATCTAACTCAACATGTCCTTCAAACCATAGCTTTAATGTAGGTTCTTCCAGAACTCTTCTATGACTCCCTAGGTAACGGCATCCTTATTTATGCCCTCCCTAGCTTAATGTCTTTTCTCTTGAGAGAGGTAATCTTATTGTAATTAAGCATTTTGGGTTATGATTTAATTTAGATTTATCTTTTCTTCCCCCATTCTAATTTTCACAAAGACGCGGTGATATGGTATGAATGTTGTATATGGATGTAGTGGGTGTTGTCAACATAAGTCACTTAATAAATGTTCAATAAATCAAGAAAATACAAATTATTGGCACTTTAAATTTGCCATTCCATGAGCCCTTTATATAAATTTTAGGTTAAATATTAACAAAACCAGACATTTTAAATAATAGTCTTCAAAATAAAATAATCTAATAATTATATGTAACATTAACATATTAGCATATACACAGGCCCATTCAGCAGTATTCTGTTGAATGACACAAAATAGAGGAGAAGCTTTCAAATATGAGAAGTTGACTATATTTAATTAAATCTTGTATCTGTTTTGTTAAAGAGAAAACACTTCAAGTGCAATCTAAGAAATAAAACAGAATATATCAGTTTATTTGGAATTGATATACACATCAGAAAAGTTAATTTGCTTTTATCGCGCTAGAATGCATAAATACATAAGTCATAAATTATTTTATTGATAGGAAAATAAAGAACTACTGTGGTTTTCACATTAATTATATATTTACAGTTTACCAATATATAATAAAGCATCAGAGAATGAGAAAATAAGGTATCGTTATGCAATAAAAGTCAAGACATATTAATTAACAGTGGCTTTACTGATCATAAAAAATACAAAAAAGTGGAAATATAAATGTGAATTTACTTGTGTGTTTTAATTTACTGAAGTAATAATGATCCTGTGTCAAACGTGTGTACAGAAGACAATGGAGCATTCAGTGGAGGCAGAATAATCTTACAATAGGTTCGGGGTTTGGAATCATATTGCCTGTGTTAAACTACTAGCTCCATCACTTAATAGCTGTGTGACCTTGGTTAGATTACTGAAACCTCTCCTATTCCAGGTTCCTCATCTATAAAATGGAGATAATAAAAGAACCTATTTCATATGGTTCATTACCCCACCAAATGAGCTAACCAATGAGAGGAACTTAAGAAAACTCCTAACACATGGTGAGTACTTAAATGTTAGCTATTATTAACATCACCTGTCTATCTAGTACTATCTGCAATAAAATGCATAAGATCCTCAGTTAACCAAAGTTTATGTAATACAGTTGTCTTGATTTTTCACTCAATTGTTATGAACAGGCAATAAAAGAGAAGAAAATATATTATTTATCAATATGCCTATACTAAATTTGAATCACTGAATGAAAATGTTTTCTAACCAATGGTGAATCCTTTAAATTATGTACTTAAAATATTTGCTTTCAAAAAAGATATTCAACTACAAACTCACAGTCGTTAAAATAGGAAATAGGTTGCTGAATGATTTTTTCCTGCCTTTTGTGCCTAAGTTCTAGAAACATATAATTTCTTCTAATTAGAGCTTTGCTAGTTTGGAAAACTTGCTTTATGCCAAAAGAACAGAATATTTTTAAAGTGAGATATTAAATATCTCAGGATTATTTTATTAAGACCCTTTGAGGGAAAAATTTGAAACAATAACAAGCAAACCAATAAAATAACAAAAATAAAATGAACTTTAGAATTAAAGAGGAAACAAAAAAGCATGTAAGAAGGTTATACCAGGTACTAACTAAAGTAGAAAACCACTAAAGAGTCTTTCATTGATTGGACCATTACATTTATTTCAATTTCTTCATTAAATAACCAGATAGTTCCATTAATGAGACTAGATTTTGTCCCATTTGTGATAAATGACTCATAATAATCAAATTCTCAAGACAGTGATGCACAGCAGAAAATCAATTTATTATTTTGTCATGAATTTTCTGGGAGAGTTAATGGGCACTTTACAATAAAATAGTAAGGTACATAATGTTAAAGCAAAAAGAGTATGCAAGCCGTTATATTTGTGGTAATTTGTTACAGAAGCAACCGGAAATTAACCTACAGGTTTTATTTCAAAGTCTTCCACAGGTGCATATTGCATAGAGTGAGATATTTCTCATAATAGTAATAATAATAACAATATAATAAATTATTGGGAAAGTATACATTAAGCACTTTTGTGTGATTTTTCATCCTTTTAATAGTTCTATAAATTAAATGTTTTTAATCTCCATTTTACTGTTGAGGAAACTTTTGTTCAGAGCGGTTAAATAAATTTCCCAGGAATGTAGCAACAATTGACAGAAGCAAGATTTGAAATCAGGCATTTGATTACAGATCTGATAAACACATCTTTATTGATTGGTTCTTACTATTAGTTTAAAAAAACAACAAAAATTCCCCCCAAATACCTCTCACTTAACCTATTAGAACAAACTTCTATTTATTATAAAAACAAAATATCTAAGGGTCAGAGCCAATATACATCCTATAACTACTATTGTTTTTATTCTAAAACAAAATGATGCCAAGAGACTCCTCAAAAGTCTAATTACATCTTGATGTTCCAGGAAGTTTCTTTAAAGGCAGAAAACTATATTTATATAAATTAATCAATTATATCACATTAATTAATCATTGCATTCCATTCTTAAACTATGATATTCATTTATTCATTCAAGTTCTTTTTTTCATCACCTTACCAATTTATTGTTTTTTGTAGTCAGAACATTAAAAATCTATTTTAGCTAATTTGAGGTATGTGACACATTGTTATTAACTGTGGTCACAAGGCAGTATGATAGATAAGTAAAACATTCCCATAGTCTAACTGGAACTTTGTAGCCTTTGATCAACTGCTTCCCTTTCCTCATTCTTCCCTGGCCTTTCCTAGACTCTGCTAACCACTTTTTTACTCTGTTTGTGAGAGTGACTTTTTTAGATTACACATACGAGTGAGATCCTACAGTATTTGTCTTTCGGTGCCTGGCATAATTCACATAGCAAAATGTCCTGCAATTCAATTCCATTCATATTGTTGAAACTTACAGAGGTTTTTAAGACTGTAGAATATATTTAATTATATATATATATTTATATATATATTTATATATATATACATATATTACACATTTTCTTTATCCATTTATTTGATGATGATTGCTGATGAACACTTATGTTGCTTACATATCTTGGCTATTGTGAATAATGCTGAAATGAACATGAGAGTGCAGATATCTCCTCAACATACTGATTTCAATTCCTTTGCATATATAACCAAAAGTGGGATTACTGAATTATATGGCAATCGTTTTCTTTTTCTTTTCATTTTTTTGAGAAATCTTCATAGTATTTTCCAAAATGGCTATATTAATTTACATTTCTAGTAATGGCATACAAAAGTAATTTTTCTCCACATCCTTGCCAACACTTGCTATCATTTGTCTTTTTTATAATAGTTATGCTAACAGGCATAAGATGATATCTCATTGCAGTATTAATTTGAATTTCCCTGATGATTAGAGATGCTGCAAATTTTTTCATGTATCTGTTGATCATTTATGTCTCTTCTTTTGAGAAATGTTGGTTCAGATTCTTTGCCCATGTTTTAATTGAGTTAATTGTTTTCTTGCTATTGAGTTGCTTGTGTGGCTTATATACTGTGTTATCACAGTATGGTTATCAAACATGGTTTATAAATATTTCCTTCCAATTTGTAGGTTGTCTCTTCATTTTGGTAATTGTTTCGTTGGCTGTGCAGAAGCTTATTAGTTTGATCCAATCCTATTTGGTGCTTTTCTCTCTCTCTCTTTTTTTTTTTTTTTTCTGTGCTTTTAGAGTTTTATCTAAGATATCACTACCCAGAATAATATCATGGTGATTTTCTCTCCGTTTTCTTCTAGCAGCTTTAGAGTTTCACGTTTTAGGTTTAAGTCTTACATCCATTTTCAGTTCATTTATCAGTGTGAGATAAAAGTTGAATTTCATTCTTTTCCATGTGGATGGTCAGTTTTCCCAACTCCATTTATTGCAGAAACTATATTTTCTCTATTTTGTGTACTCAGAAGCTTTGGCAAAAATCATCATACTTGAATTTATTTCCTGGCTTTCTATCCTGTCAAATGTAATCTGAATGTTAAGTTTTCAGATCTCTAGGTACCAAGAATTTCATACGATTTATCAGAAAATTATAGCTCATAAATTCAACCTGACAAAAATATGTCGATAAAGTTTTTAACAACACATCATATTATATTTTTTATTATCAAATAACAGACTAGATTAATATAGTCCTAATGTACATTAAAAACATTTTATGGTTGTTAATTATTAATTTAAGTTAGATGAAATAACTGCAGAAAGAAATTATGTCAATAGCATTTCAGTTATGTCTAATTTTTCCCCTGGTAGAAATAAACTTGGTGGCTGAATTTTAGTTAAAAAATTATAAACATCCTAGAAATTAGAAACAATGAAAATATTCAATTTTACAAGTAAGAAAAAAGATTCAACATCTAAATGCTAAGGATCTATACTTTAATTTCATGTCATACATCAAGTAATGTATTTTCTAAAATTCTAAACACTTATTTAATAAATTTGTATAATATAAATAACAATACAAAATTAAGCAAGATATAAAAATAGCTGCCCTTAAATTTCTTAGAAATAATAGGTGCATTTTCTTAATCCAGTCTATCATTGTTGGACATTTGGGTTGGTTCCAAGTCTTTGCTATTGTGAATAGTGCCGCAGTACACATATGTGTGCATGTGTCTTTATAGCAGTATGATTTGTAGTCCTTTGGGTATATACCCATTAATGGGATGGCTGGGTCAAATGGTATTTCTAGTTCTAGATCCCTGAGGAATCACCACACTGACTTCCACAATGGTTGAACTAGTTTACAGTCCCACCAACAGTGTAAAAGTGTTCCTGTTTCTCCACATCCTCTCCAGCACCTGTTGTTTCCTGACTTTTTAATGATTGCCATTCTAACTGGTGTGAGATGGTATCTCATTGTGGTTTTGATTTGCATTTCTCTGATGGCCAGTGATGATGAGCATTTTTTCATGTGTTTTTTGGCTGCATAAATGTCTTCTTTTGAGAAGTGTCTGTTCATATCCTTTGCCCACTTTTTGATGGGGTTGTTTGCTTTTTTCTTGTAAATTTGTTTGAGTTCATTGTAGGTTCTGGATATTAGCCCTTTGTCAGATGAGTAGGTTGCAAAAATTTTCTCCCATTCTGTAGGTTGCCTGTTCACTCTGATGGTAGTTTCTTTTGCTGTGCAGAAGCTCTTTAGTTTAATTAGATCCCATTTGTCAATTTTGGCTTTTGTTGCCATTGCTTTTGGTGTTTTAGACATGAAGTCCTTGCACATGTCTATATCCTGAATGGTATTGCCTAGGTTTTCTTCTAGGGTTTTTATGGTTTTAGGTCTAACATGTAAGTCTTTAAATCCATCTTGAATTAATTTTTGTATAAGGTGTAAGGAAGGGTTCCAGTTTTAGCGTTCTACATATGGCTAGCCAGTTTTCCCAGCACCATTTATTAAATAGGGAATCCTTTCCCCATTGCTTGTTTTTGTCAGGTTGTCAAAGATCAGATGGTTGTAGATATGCGGCATTATTTCTGAGGACTCTGTTCTGTTCCATTGATCTATATCTCTGTTTTGTTACCAGTACCATGCTGTTTTAGTTACTGTAGCCTTGTAGTATAGTTTGAAGTCAGGTAGCGTGATTCCTCCAGCTTTGTTCTTTTGGCTTAGGATTGACTTGGCGATGAGGGCTCTTTTTTGCTTCCATATGAACTTTAAAGTAGTTTTTTCCAACTCTGTGAAGAAAGTCATTGGTAGCTTGATGGGGATGGCATTGAATCTATAAATTACCTTGGGCAGTATGACCATTTTCATGATATTGATTCTTCCGACCCATGAGCATGGAATGTTCTTCCATTTGTTTGTATCCTCTTTTATTTCATTGAGCAGTGGTTTGTAGTTCTTGAAGAGGTCCTTCACATCCCTTGTAAGTTGGATTCCTAGGTATTTTATTCTCTTTGAAGCAATTGTGAATGGGAGTTCACTCATGATTTGGTTCTCTGTTTGTCTGTTATTGGTCTATAAGAATGCTTGTGATTTTTGCACATTGATTTTGTATCCTGGGACTTTGCTGAAGTTGCTTATCATCTTAAGGAGATTTTGGGCTGAGACAATGGGGTTTTCTAGATATACAATCATGTCTTCTGCAAACAGGGACAATTTGACATGGAATACCATGCAGCCATAAAAATGATGAATTCATGTCCTTTGTAGGGACAAGGATGAAACTGGAAACCATCATTCTCAGCAAACTATCACAAGGACAAAAAACCTAACACCGCATATTCTCACTCATAGGTGGGAATTGAGCAATGAGAGCACATGGACACAGGAAGGGGAACATCACGCTCCAGGGACTGTTGTGGGGTTGGGGGAGGGGAGAGGGATAGCATTTGGAGATGTACCTAATGCTAAATGATGAGTTAATGGGTGCAGCACACCAACATGACACATGTATACATATGTAACAAACCTGCACATTGTGCACATGTACCCTAAAACTTAAAGCATAATTAAAAAAAGAAAAAAGTATAATAATAATAAAATAAAATAAAAAAAGAAATACCTGAAAAAAAAGAAATAATAGGTGCATTTTAAAAATATGTTAACCAGAAAAAACAATAAAAGATAAAATATCAAGAAAACACAGGCATCTATTCTTATCAACAAGAGGACACAGGGGAATCTATTAAAATATAGAATGCCAGAAGCTAATACATTCAAAGAAAATGAGCTCTCTCCAGATAGCCTGAAGGGTATTCATTTATAATATTTGATATTGAAATCACATTTGAGAGGTAGAAATTATTACCTCCTGACATAAATCAAAAGACTTTAAAGACCTTAACTATTTCTGGAACTAATGTCTACTCACCCTAAGACCAAATGCTGCTATCACAATACAAACTCCCTGTTCTTGGATCCATACTGTTGATCTTGAATGTCACAGGCAGAGAATTATATGATTCAGTTCAAAGTGATCAACAACCTCCACTGACAAAGTAAGTGAATACTGCCAGTTTTTTTCAGGAATACCATATTGACATATGTAGTCACATTGTGGAGCAAGAGGCCGGAAGCCTGCTACATCTCAGTATATCAGTGTTTCATTAATAGATCAGAAATTTGATGACACATGTGTACAGCATGATATATGGGAGAATACAATGTACAACTAAAATTATTGTAGAAATAATTTATTGAATTGACTAGAGTCTATCTCAAGAACTCGTTAATCAATATAAAACTAAAAAGACAGAAAAAGAAGAATTTTCTTTCTTTCTTTCTTTCTTTTTTTTGAGATGGAATCTCGCTCTGTCACCAGGCTGGAGTGCAGTGGTGCAACCTCAGCTCACTGCAACCTCTGCCTCTTGGGTTCAAGCGATTCTCCTGCCTCAGCCTCCTGAGTAGCTGGGGCTACAGGTGACTGCTACCACATCCAGCTATTTTTTCTATTTTTAGTAGAGACAGGGTTTCACCATGTTGGCCAGGCTGGTCTCAAACTCCTGACCTCAGGTGATCTGCCTGCCTCAGCCTCACAAACTGCTGAGATTACAGGCATGAAACACCATGCCCGGCCAGATAATTTTATTTTAAGATATGAGAGGCTTATACTGTTGGTGGAACTGTAAACTAGTTCAACCATTGTGGAAGTCAGTGTGGTGATTCCTCAGGGATCTAGAACTAGAAATACCATTTGACCCAGCCATCCCATTACTGGGTATATACCCAAAGGACTATAAATCATGCTGCTATAAAAACACATGCACACATATGTTTATTGCAGCACTATTCACAATAGCAAAGACTTGGAACCAACCCAAATGTCCAACAATGATAGACTGGATTAAGAATATGTGGCACATATACACCATGGAATACTATGCAGCCATAAAAAATGATGAGTTCATGTCCTTTGTAGGGACATGGATGAAACTGGAAATCATCATTCTCAGTAAACTGTCGCAAGGACAAAAAACCAAACACCGCATGTTCTCACTCATAGGTGGGAATTGAACAATGAGAACACGTGGACACAGGAAGGGAAACATCACACACTGGGGCCTGTTGTGGGGTGGGGGGAGGGGAGGGATAGCATTAGGAGATATACCTAATGCTAAATGACGAGTTATTGGTTGCAGCACACCAACATGGCACATGTATACATATGTATCTAACCTGCACATTGTGCACATGTACCCTAAAACTTAAAGTACAATAAAAAAAAAAGATATGAGAGTCAAATATTGCCTTAACTTGTTTCTGTGTTACTACACTAAATATTTTACGTTCACAAGGGATTGTTTTTAAAAGCTTTGTTATATGGAAAATATCAAGTTATTTCAGGAATTTTTAACAAATGAGTTTTCAAGATAATAAAGGATGCATATCTATATTTAATTAAAATATCACCTTTTCCTTATGAAAACTTATGGCACTTATCTCTATTACTTCCTCTCTATGATAGCTTGATTGGGACCAATTTCTTGACCTTCAGGGAACAGAGTCCTAAATACATTCCCATTATATCTTATGCTATCTGGTTAATCAAAGATTTATTTTAGGCATTCTTAAACATTATGCAATATGCTTTAAAAACTTTATGATGAAATGAAAAGTATTACAGAATCTATGTGAACTCATTCTCATTTAAATAGACAATTATGGAAGAGATCACATTGCTCACAACAAAGAATATATAAAAAGCAAATCCCAATATTAGCAAGCATTTACTGAATAATTTCCACGTCTCCCTTGAGAAACAAGCAACCAAAAACGGTACACATTAAGTTGTCTTAGAAAATGTTATTGGATTTAGGAAGTATTCAATTTATAATATTGTGATGTTTTGATCACTATATTTACAGTACACTGTTTTTTGACTACCTTTGATTATAAAAAGTCCAGATGAGATAAATATTCCGAAACTTTTTGGACAACTCTATATACTTGCAATAGTTTTATTTTTATAACAAAATATAGGCTTCCCTTTAACATTTTTAGGGATTACTGAGCTCTTGAGTAATTATATTTTTTATTTTACTAAATTATTTCAACATTTCTCTTTTAGATTAGACATTTTGTCAAATCCAGAGTCTGTAGAAAAGGCTAACAAGATTTTTATATAAAAGAAGTTTTAGTGAACATTATATTATATTGCTTGAGGTAAAATATAGTGCTTGTATTTGTTCATTAAATATTAAATGAAAACATTTAAAAAACATTTTATAGTGTATGTTCTTCTTAATGTTTTCAACACTACACACATGCAATACACAAGTCATTTAGCCTGTGTGAAAGATAGGCTTGAGAAATAGATAATCTCTAACTCGATAGTAGTAGTACATATTCTATGACTCTTAAAAGAGGATGGATGTTAAATGAAAAGGTGCTTATACAGTTGAAAGGTATGTCTGGTTTTGAAATTCTTGCAAGTCCTGAAAATGTAAGTAAAGCAAATGAAGCGATATTAAACTAACTTTGATGTTGTTACACTATTACACACACATAAAAATAACATGGACACAACTTTGTTTTAATAAATATTTTAATTTTCATCTGAATTGTTAAAGAGGATCTAAGAATTTCTCATGTTTTTAACAAATAAACTAACAAATCTAAAGCTCTGTGAAATTAGAATGCAAAAAACTGATTTATATGATACTTTATTTTATTCAGCAAAGGGTACATGTAATTGTGAAATGAATCTTTTGCTGAATAGTTACAAGTTAAGCATCAAATATAGTGCAAAGAGACATGGAGAGTTTAGTAAACAATAACTTTCTTTTTCCAATTGACGATCTACTTAGGGAGCTAATAAAACATGGTTGTTTAAGCATAGATTTTGGATTTAAACCACCTGGTTTCAAGTCTTAGCTCCACCAAATTTACTAGCATTAAACTTAAAGTTAGTAAATCTCTATATACATGTATTTCTTCATTATAGGTAGTGACAATAATAGTACTACCTAATGAGGTTGTTGCAAGAACTAAATAACACAATGTTGCTTCTGTTTCTCAGTCAGTGCTCATTAGAGCTTTATTTGGTAGCAGTTATGGTAGGCGATTTTTGCGGGGATAAAAGCAGTAAGCATTTTGTAATTGTTATAGCTCACAACTTCTTCCCACGAGGGTAACAATTCTACCTTTTTATATTTCTGACCCTGTCTTAAAATGACTATTTGCAGAGCTATTAGGGAGCCTCATAATCAGATTTTTTAACAGGTAACTTCCATTTTCACATTGTAACCTTTCAAGTATAGTTGTGTGGAAGTATGATTTCTTTACCTAGAACTCATCAGCTCACATTTTACTAAAAGCCAAGCAGGAAGGAAGAAGCTAATTTTATCGTTGATATTATCCCTCCACACTGCTTTATAAAAGTTTCTTACCTTTTAGATATATATTTTTGGAATCCCTTGGAAACTCTCCACCCAAAGTTATTAGACGGGCCATTTTTACCCCCAGTCAGCATTCTGAGATGTACAATTCTGTAGTAGATTATTACCCAAGAGGAAAGTTACATAAGTCAATGAGAGAGTGATAAATTTGGACTCTATAACTGTTTTGAGAAATACAGGTTACAGCCACAAAGAATGCAAAGCAATGTCAAGGATTTAGATTTCTGGATAATAGTTCAAAGACAACTTTGTCAGAAAGTAATTAATGTCTATTAATTCTAAGATACATCTGCAGGGTCACAATTATATAATAATAAATGAAAAAGGTAGAAAACTAAGATTAAATTCCATGATCTGTCATGGAGTTTAATACGTAATACTTTTAATATTTTTCATCTTTCTTTATATTTACTTGGTTAGACCAAAATTTGCAGTAATAGTGGAATTACTAACTTGATTTTAATACTGCTAGTGTTCACAGCTACTGTAGTAGCAAGGCTGCTGATATTTAAAGACACTATGGAGATGCAAAAGGAGAGTAGGCTATGTTAAAATGTTATAAAATCCCTCCGTTCAGCAGTTCAGCACTTTTTCTTGAAAAAACACTCCTCAGACTCTAAGACTGCTTAATTTCCATAGTTCTGAATAAGTTGATATTGGCCATTTTGTCAGTATTTTTGTTGCATTTATGGAGAATCAGATTTATGGAGGCCCTCCCTCTGCCATTTCAGAAGTCTTTCTCCTTATAGTTACAGTCTTTGGTGCAACAACAAATAACTAAACGCGCTCTTTACATTGTATTCCTTTTCTATTTAAAATTCGACATGTATTCTCTTGGTGATCTATCAGATTTTCCAGAGTCTTAAAAAAATCACAGAATAAATTTAAGACATTGGTTATATTTTATAGTTGATCATGTAAAACATTAAATGCTTTTTGTGAGATAGATGTGTAAATACTGGCATACATTTTTAAAAGACAATTTATAATAAAAATATATTTCAGGCTTAGAAATGGATAATTCCAGGTGCAAAATAATACAAAATCCTATGTAATACTGAGTGCATATAAGTTGAGTGGGTATAGGACAAAAATATTTACTTTCTTCTGCTTTAGGAGTGCTTGTATAAACAAGTTATGAAAACATTATGTCTATTCACTCCATTGAATTGAGTCTCTCCTTATCTTTCTTTCTCTCTGTAATCTTTCAAACTTTTTTTTTTTTTTGCTCTGTCACCCAGGCTACCCAGACTAGAGTACAGGCATCATCACTCACTGCTGCCATGACCTCCCAGGCTCTATAATGTTTGGCCTGTCTCAGCCTACTGAGTAACTAGGACTACAGACAGGTACAGTCATGCCTGGCTAATTTTTACATTTTTTTGTAGAGATGGAGTTTCGCCATGTTGCTCAGGCTGGTCTTGAACGCCTGTGCTTAAGTGATGTGCCTGCCTTGGCCTCCAAAAGTGCTGAGATTACAAGGCCTGAGCCACCATGCCAAGCCCTGTATAGCTATTTAATAGTTTCAAAATATCTCATGCCCCATTATTATATTTGTCTACCTTGTTTATTTCACTCAAGTGTTTTCAAATCCTGAATTCATTAAAAAAGGTTTTTCACTTGCTATATGGATTATAAAGTTCTTGAGGGCAGTCAGTTTGGTATTTTTTTAATTTAATTTAATTTAATTTAATTTAATTTAATTTAATTTAATTTAATTTATTATGTATTTTTGGAGTGCAGTGGTATGATCATAGCTCATTGTAGCCTGGAACTCCTGGACTCAGGTGATTCTGCCTCTGTCTTCTGAGTAGCTGGGACTAAAGGCATGCACCACCACACCAGTCTTTTTTTTTTTTTTAACTTTAATTCCAGGGATGCATGTGCTGAACATGCAGGTTTGTTCTATAGGTATATATCTACCATGGTGGTTTGATGCACCTATCAGCCCGTCTTCTAAGTTTTAAGTCCTGATGCATTAGCTATTTGTCCTAATGCTCTCCCTCTCCTTGCCCCTGTCCCCTGACAGGCCCAGGTGTGTGCTGTTCCCTTCCCTCTGTCTATGTGTTCTCACTGATCAACTCCCACTTATGAGTGAGAACATTCAGTGTTTGGTTTTCTGTGTTAGTTTGCTGAGGATGATGACTTCCAGTTTCATCCATGTCTCTGCAAAGGACATGATGTCATTCCTTTTTATGGCTGCATAGAATTCTATGGTGTATATGTACCACATTTTCTTTTTCTTTTATTATTATAGTTTAAGTTCTAGGGTACATGTGCACAACGTGCGGGAACCAAAAAACAGCCTGCATTGCCAAGACAATCCTAAGCCAAAAGAACAAAGCTGGAGGCATCACACTACCTGACTTCAAACTATACTACAAGGCTACAGTAACCAAAACAGCATGGTACTGGTACCAAAACAGAGATATAGACCAATGGAACAGAACAGAGCCCTCAGAAATAATACCACACATCTACAACCATCTGATCTTTGACAAACCTGACAAAAACAAGAAATGGGGAAAGGATTGCCTATTTAATAAATGGTGCTGGGAAAACTGGATAGCCATATGTAGAAATCTGAAACTGGATCCCTTCCTTACACATTATACAAAAATTAATTCAAGATAGATTGAAGACTTAAATGTTAGACTTAAAACCACATTTTCTTTAGCCTGTCTATCATTGATGGTCATTTGGGTTGGTTCCATGTCTTTGTTATTGTAAATAGTGCTGCAATAAACATACGTGTGCATGAGTCTTTATAGTAGAATGATTTATATTCCTTTGGGTATATACCCAGTTCCTGGGTCAAATAGTATTATTGGTTCTAGATCCTTCAGGAATTGCTGCACTGTCTTCCACAGTGGCTGAACTAATTTACATTCCCACCAGCAGTGTAAAAACATTCCAATTTCTCCACAGCCTCACCAGCATTTACTGTTTCTTGACTTTTTAATAATTGCTATTCTGACTGGCATGAGATGGTATCTCATTGTGGTTTTGATTTGCATTTCTCTGATGATCAGTGATGATGAGCCTTTTTTTTTGTTTTTGTATGTTTGTTGGCCACATAAATGTCTTGAGAAGTGTCTGTCCTTACCCTTTGCCCACTTTTTGATGAGGTTGTTTTTTTCTTTTGTATTTAAGCTCCTCATAGATTCCGGATATTAGACCTTTGTCAGATGGGTAGATTACAAAAGTTTCCTCTAATGCAGTAGGTTGCCTTGTCACTCTGATGATAGTTTCTTTTGCTGTTAAGAAGCTCTTTACTTTAATTAGATCCCATTGTCAATTTTGGCTTTTGTTGCAATTGCTTTGGCATTTTTGTCATGAAATCTTTGTCCATGCCTATGTCCTGAATGATATTACCTAGGTTTTCTTCTAGGGTTTTGATGGTTTTGGGTTTTACATTTAAGTGTTTAATCTACCTTAAGTTAATTTTTGTATAAGGTGTAAGGAAGGAGTCCAGTTTCAGATTTCTGCATATGTCTAGCCAGTTCTCACAGCACCATTTGTTAAATAGGGAATCCTTTCACCAATGCTTGTTTCTGTCAGGTTTGTTAAAGATCAGATGGTTGTAAATGTGTGGTGTAATTTCTGACGTCTCTGTTATGTCCCATTGGTCTATATATCGGTTTTGATACCAGTAACATGCTGTTTTGTTTACCATGGCCCTGTAGTATAGTTTGAAGTCAGGTAGTGTGATGCCTCCAGCTTTGTTCTTTTTGCTTAAGATTGTCTTGGCTATAGGGCCTTTGTTTGGTTCCATATGAAGTTTAAAGTAGTTTTTTTCAAATTCTGTGAAGAATGTCAAAGGTAGTCGATGGGAACAGCATTGAATCTATAAATTACTTTTGCCCCTTCGCCATTTTTACAACATTGATTCTTACTATCCATGAGCATGAGATATTTTTCCATTTGTGTCCCATCTTATTTCCTAGAGCAGTGGTTTGTAGTTCTCATTTAATAGGTCCTTCATGTCCCTTGTTAGCTGTATTCCTAGGTATTTTATTTTCTTGTAGTAATTGTGAATGGGAGTTCATTCAGATTTGGCTCTCTGCTTGTCTGTTGTTGGTGTATAGGAATGCTTGTGATTTTTGTGCATTGAGTTTGTATCCTGAGACTTTGCTGAATTTGCTTATCAACTTAAGGAGTTTTGGGGATGAGACGATGGGATTTTTAAATATAGAATCATGTCGTCTGCAAACAGAGACAGTTTGTCTTCTTCTTTTCCTATTTGAATATCCTCTATTTTTTTCTTTTGCCTGATTGCCCTGGCCAGAATTTCCAATACTATGTTTAATAGGATTGGTGAGAGACGACATTTTTGTCTTGTGCTGGTTTTCAAAGGGAACACTACCAGCTTTTGCCCATTCAGTATTATATTGACTGTGGGTTTGTCATAAATAACTCTTATTATTTTGAGATACGTTTCATCAATATCTAGTTTATTTAGACTTTTTTTTAACATGAAAGAATGTTGAATTTTATTGAAGGCCTTTTCTGCATCTATGGAGATAATCATGTGGTTTTTGTCATTGGTTCTGTTTATGTGATGGATTACGCTTATTGATTTCTGTATGTTGAACCAGGCTTGCATCCCAGGGATGAAGCCTACTTGATCGTGATGAATAAGCTTTTTGATTTGCTGCAGGATTCAATCTGCCAGTATGTCATTGAGGATTTTTGCATTGATGTTCATCAGGGATATTTGCCTGAAGTTTTCTCTTCTTTTATTATTTATTTTATTTATTTTTTGTTGTTGTTGTGTCTCTGCCAGGTTTTGGTGTCAGGAGGATGCTGGACTCATAAAATGAATTAGGGAGGAGTCCCTCATTTGCAATTGTTTAGAATAGTTTGAGAAAGAATGGTAGCAGCTCCTCTTTGTACCTCTGGTAGAATTCAGGTGTCAATCTTTCTGGTCCTGGGCTTTTTTTGGTTGGCAGGCTATTAATTACTGCCTCAATTTCAGAACTTGTTATTGGTCTTCTTAGGGATTCGACTTCTTCTTGGTTTAGTCTTGGGAGGGTGTATGTATCCAGGAATTTATCCATTTCTTCTAGATTTTCTAGTTTATTTGCATAGAGGTGTTTATAGTATTCTCTGATGGTAGTTTGTATTTCTGTGGGGTCAGTGCTGATATAGCCTTCATTATTTTTTATTGTGTCTATTTGATTCTTCTCTCTTTTCTTCTTTTTGTCTAGCTAGCAGTCTATCTATTTTGTTAATTAAAAAAAGCTCCTGGACTCATTGATTTTTGAAGGGTTTTTCATATATCTGTCTCCTTAAATTCTGCTCTGATTTAGTTATTTCTTTTTTTCTGCTGGCTTTTGGATTTGTTTGCTCTTGATTCTCTAGTTCTTTTATTTGTGATATTAGGGTGTTGATTTGAGCTCTTTCTAGTTTCTGCTGTGGGCATTTAGTGCTATAAATTTCCCTCTTAACACGGCTTTATCTGTGTCCCAGAGATTCTAATACGTTGTCTCTTTGTTCTTATTGGTTTCAAATAACTTCTTGATGTCTGCTTAATTTCGTTATTTACCCAGGCGTCATTCAGGGGCAGGTTGTTCAATTTCCATGTAGTTGTGTCATTTTGAGTGAGTTTCTTAAATCTGAGTTCTAATTTGATTGCACTGTAGTCTGAGAGACTTTTTCTAATGATTCAGTTTTGTTTTGTTTTGTTTTTTTGCATTTTCTGAGGTGTGTTTTACTTCAAATTATGTGGTCAATTTTAGAATAAGTGACATGTGGCACTGAGAAGAATGTGTAATCTGTTGACTTGGGCTGGAGAGTTCTGTAGATGTCTATTAAATCCACCTGATCCAGAGCTGAGTTCAAGTCCTGAATATCCTTGTTAATTTTCTGTGTCATTGATCTGTCTAATATTGACAGTGGGGTGGTAAGGTTTTCCACTATCATTGTGTAGGAGTCTAAGTGTCTTTGTAGATCTCTAAGAACTTGTTTTATTAATCTGGGTGCTCCTGTATTGGGAGCATATATATTTAGGGTATTTAGCTCTTCTTGTTCAACTGATCCCTTTCCAGTTATGCAATGCCCTTCTTTGTCTTTTTTTTTTTTTTTTTTTTTTTTTCCTGACAGAGTCTCCCTCTGTCACCCAGACTGGAGTGCAGTGGCATGATCATAGCTCACTGCAACCTCCACCTTCCAGGTTCAAGCAATTCTCACACCTCAGCCTCCCAAGTAGCTGGAACTACAGGCACAAGCCACCATACCTGGCTACATTTTTTGTATTTTTAGTACAGACGAAGTTTCACCATGTTGACCAGGCGGTTCTCAAACTTCTGACTTCAGGTGATCTGCCCACCTCAGCCTCCCAAAGTGCTGAGATTGCAGGTGTGAGCCACCGTGCCTGGCCATTTTTTTTCTTATTTGATCTTTGTTGGTTTAAAGTCTGTTTTGTCAGAGTCTAGGATTGCAATCCTTTTTTTTTTGCTTTCCATTTGCTTCGTAAATTTTCTTTTATCCCTTTATTTTGAGGCTACGGGTGTCTTTGCACATGAGATAGGTGTCCTGAATATAGCACACCGATAAGTCTTGACTCTTTATCCCATTTTCTGGTTTGTGTCTTTTAATTGGGACAGCTAGCCCATTTATAGTTAAGGTTAATATTGTTATGTGTAAATATGATCCTGTCATCATGATGCTAGCTGGTGATTTTGCCTACTAGTTGGTGCAGTTTCTTCATAGTGTCATTGGTCTTTATATTTTGGTCTGTTTTTCCAGTGTCTGGTACTGGTTTTTCCTTTCCATGTTTAGTGCTTCCTTCAGGAGGTCTTGCAAGGCAGGACTGTTGGTAACAGGATCCCTCAGCATTTGCTTGTCTGAAAAGGATTTTATTTCTCCCCCTCTTATGAAGCTTAGTTTGGCTGGATATGAAATACTGGGTTGAAAATTCTTATCTTTAAGAATGTTGAATATCAGTCCCCATTCTCTTCTGCATTTTAGGGTTTCTGGTCCACTGTTAGTCTGATGAGCTTCCCTTTGTAGGTGACTTGGCCTTTCACTCTCTGGCTGCCCTTAACATTTTTTCCTTCATTTCAACCTTGTAGACTCTGATGATTATGTGTCTTGGGGTTGATTTTCTTGAGTAATATCTTAGTGGTATTCTTTGAATTTCCTGAATTTGAATGTTGGCCTGTCTTGTTAGGTTTGGGAAGTTCACCTGGATAATATCCTGAAGTGTGTTTTCCAACTTGGCACCATTCTCCCCATCACTTTCAGGTACTCTGATAAATCATAGGTTTGAACTTTTTACATAGTCCCATATTTCTCAGAGGTTTTGTTTGTTCTATTTCATTCTTTTTTCTTTAATCTGCCTGCCTTATTTCAGCAAGATAGTCTTCAAGCTCTGATTTTCTTTCTTCTGCTTGATCGATTCAGCTATTGATACTTGTGTATGCTTCATAAAATTATTGTGCTACATTTTTCAGCTCTATCAGGTCATTTGTATTCCTCTCTAAGCTGGTTATTCTAGTTAGCAGCTCCTGTAACCTTTTATTAAGGTCCTTAGCTTCTTTGCCTTGGGTTAGAACATGCTCAGCAGAGCTTGTTATTACCCACCTTCTGAAGCCTACTTCTTTAAATTTGTCCATCTCATCCTTCGTCCAATTCTGTGCCTTTGCTGGAGAGGTGTTGCAATCATATGGAGAAGAGACACTCTGCCCTTTTGGGTTTTCAGCATTTTTTTCATTGATTCTTTCTTATCTTCATGAATTTGTCTAGTTTTGACTTTTGAGGATTTTGACCCTTGGATGAGGTTTTTTTTGTGAGGACTTTTTTGTTGATGCTGTTGTTATTGCTTTCTGTTTGTTTGTTTTTCTTTCAATCGTCTGTTACCTCTTCTGTAGGGCTGCTGTTGTTTACTGGGGGTTTATTTCAGGCCCTGTTCATCTGGTAAGTTCCCACGCCTGGCAATGTCACTCGAGGAGTTTGGAGAACAGCAAAGATGGGTGCCTGCTTCTTCCTCTGGGATCTCTGACCTCGAGGGGCACTGACCTGATACCAGTAAGATCACTCCTGTATAGGGTGTTTGACAATCCCTGTTGGAGTGTCTCACCTAGTTAGGTTGCATGGGGAGTGGAACCCATTTAACAAGACGCTTTGGCTGTTCCTTGGTGGATGGGATGTGTCACACTGGGGGAAAATTCACTCCTCTGGTCTGCCCAGATTCCTAAGAACTAGCAGGAGAAAAGACTAAGTCTGTTGGTCTATGCAGACTTCCGCCACCCCTATCCCTAGGAGCTCAGTCCCAGGGAGATCAGAGTTCTGTCCCTGGAGTTATTGGAGTTCCTGCAGGGAAGCCCTGCCCAGTGAAGAGGGATGGGTAAGGGTCAGGCCTGAAGAGGCACTCTGGCCACCATCTGCCACAGCTGGTGTGTTGGGCTCTGGGGAATACCTCTTGGGACCAAGCTGTCCAGCCTCCCTGGCTCCAGCAGGGGAAAAGCAAGGTTTGGAGCTATAGAGATGGCTGCTGCCCTTCCCCTGCCTGGGAGCTTAGTGTGTTAGGCAGCTAGCAGTCCCAGTGTTGGCTGCCAACCCTCCCCCAAGGAACTGGCTGGCTTAGTAGGCAGCTGCAGCTGTCCTGATGGCCGCCCCTCCCCACCAGGAACTAGGTAGGCTTAAGCAGATTCTAGCTAAGTGGCTGTGGAGAATCTGAGTGGCTCCGTGGTTGGGACCCTAGGCCTTGGTGGCATGGGCTCATGAGTGGGATCTTCTGATGCACGGGTTGCACAGTTCCATGGAAACAGCACCGTATCCCAGACTGGGTAACACGGGGATCCCCTGCTCCCCAGGACTCTCAGGTGGGCTGCTGCACCATACTGCTCTCTTGGCCCCACTCCACCGGCTTTTTTTAAAACTTTTTTCTATTTTTTTTTTTGGAAGAGACTGGGTCCTACTGTGTTTTCCAGAATGGTCTCAAACTCCTGGACTCAAGCAATCTTTCCACCTCAGCGTCTCAAAGCACTTGAGGCACTGAGCCAGACCTACTTTAGATTTTACCCACTGCCATATATATTACACTTATTGCTGAAAAAGTATTAACAGTTGCCACATAACAATGAGAGGTGACAACATGCTGGCAGCCCTCGCTCACTCTCAGCACCTCCTCAGCCTCAGAGTCTGCTCTGGCCATGCTTGAGGAGCCCTTCAGCCCGCTGCTGCACTGTGGGAGCCCCTCCCTGGGCTGGCTGAGGCTGGAGTTGGCTCCCTCTGCTTGCGGGCAGGCGTGGAGGGAGAGGTGTGGGCGGGAACCAGGGCTGCACACGGCACTCGCAGGCCAGCCCGAGTTCTGGGTGGGCGTGGGCTCGGCGGGCCCCACACTCAGAGCGGCCAGCTGGCACTGCCGGCCTCAGGCAGTGAGGAGCTTAGCACCCGGGCCAGCAGCTGCAGAGGGGGCGCGGGGTCACTCAGCACTGCCGACCTGCCCATGCCACGCTCAAATTCTTGCCAGGCCTCAGCCGCCTCCCCGCAGGGCAGAGCTCAGGACCTGCAGCCTACCATGCCTAAGCCCCCCTGCAGTGGGCTCCTGCGCTGTCCAAGCCTCCCTGACAGGTGCCGCCCCCGCTCTGCGACACCCAGTCCCATCGACCACCCAAGGGCTGAGGAGTGCAGGCGCGTGGCACGGGACTGACGGGCAGCTCCGCCTGTGGCCCTGGTGCGGGATCCACTAGGCGAAGCCAGCTGGGCTCCTGAGTCGGGTGGGGACTTGGAGAACTTTTATGTTTAGCTGAAGGTTTGTAAATACACCAATCAGCACTCTGTGTCTAGCTCAAGGTTTGTAAATGCACCAATCAGTGCTCTGTGTCTAGCTAATCTGGTGAGGACTTGGAGAACTTTTATGTCTAGCTAAAGATTTGTAAATATACCAATTGGCACTCTGTGTCTAGCTCAAGGTTTGTAAACACACCAATCAGCACCCTGTGTCTAGCTCAAGGTTTGTAAATGCACCAATCAGTGCTCTGTGTCTAGCTAATCTAGTGTGGACTTGGAGAACCGTTATATCTAGCCAAAGGATTATAAATACACCAATCAGCACTCTGTGTCTAGCTCAAGGTTTGTAAATGCACCAATCAGCACTCTGTATCTAGCTAATCTGGTGAGGACTTGGAGAACTTTTATGTCTAGCTAGAGGATTTTAAATGCACCAATCAGCACTCTGTGTCTAGCTCAGGGATTATAAACGCACCAATCAGCACCCTGTCAAAACGGACCAATCAGCTCTCTGTAAAATGGACCAATCAGCTCTCTGTAAAATGGGCCAATCAGCAGGATGTGGGTGGGGGTCAGATAAGAGAATAAAAGCAGACTACCCAAGCCAGCAGCGGCAATCTGCGCAGGTCCCCTTCCACGTTTTGGAAGCTTTGTTCTTTCGTTCTTTGCAATAAATCTTGCTGCTGCTCACTCTTTGGGTCTGCGCTACCTTTATGAGCTGTAACACTCACTGCAAAGGTCTGCAGCTTCACTCCTGAGGCTGGCAAGACCATGAACCCACCGGGAGGAATGAACAACTCCAGATGGGAGGGACAAACAACTCCAGACATGCTGCCTTAAGAGCTGTAACACTCACCGGAATGTCTGCAGCTTCACTCCTGAAGCCAGCAAGACCACGAACCCACCAGAAGGAAGAACTTCCGAACATGTCCAAACATCAGAAGGAACAAACTCCAGACACACCATGTTTAAGAACTGTAACACTCACCTCGAGGGTCCATGGCTTCATGCTTGAAGTCAGTGAGACCAAGAACCCACCAATTTCGGACACAATAATGGTTCACGAAATTTTGTGAATGAATGAATAACTCCTAATTCAAACATATTTTGATATTTAATATTTAGTACTATTCAACATTTCAACCTTTTGAATTTAGAAGGTACAGTTTAACAGATATTCCATGTTAATAAAAAGTGAATGCAAAATTTTTTTTATAGCTTATAATATAAAATTGCTCTGACAATGCAAAAGAACAATTCTTCATGTTATTAAGAAATATTGTGGCTCAAAAAGTGAAATACAACGTGAAAATGTACAATAAAGAAGAGCAATAGGATAAAAATATATTTGAACTTTGGCTGATTTTAATTTTTTAGTTTTGTTTCTAACTGACTTAAAGCTAGAAATTGAAGAACTTTAAGGTAATTCATACTCACCTAAAAAATCTAATAAAATTCATATTATTGAATATCTTGATAACATAAATCTAATGAGTATCATTTTTTCTTATAAATAACTAGGCATTGATGATGATACACCCATATGCTTGGTAAATTGCAATAATTATTTCGTCAGTGATCCAAATGTATTCAGTTTCATATGCAGTGATTTTTGAGACTGTTCTTTACAAGACAACAAATTTAGTTTCTTTCCCGAGAAATCTCATTGAAATACATGTATTTTGTTTAATACTTAAATTTTGAGGCTTTTGTTTCTAAATATATCTTTCTAATGTATCTTATAAAACCAAAGAATTGTTAAGTTTTAATTTATAAAACAACTGGCAGTAGTTACCTTTTCTGACATTCTGTTTACTTTGGGAAGTTATTGTTTGTAGAATGACATTTTCTGCAGCAGACAATCTAGTATGCAAAAATCTGTAAATAACGTCACCCAGTACAATAAAATGTAAGGAGTGCCAATTCTCACAATCAGCTTTGCAACTTACAATGTTAAACAAACTAAAATGTTCAAGTGAAGCAATCATCTCTGCATGTAGTCGTGCATGGCTTTCAATATTAGAGGTCATTTTAACAACTAATTCTCCTTTCTCATTTTCTATAATAACCACCTTATCTTGTTCTCTCTTTTCTGTTTAATTATTTCAAACAAAGCATTTATACTCCCTGGATTCCCAGCTGTTTAAGATAATTTGTGTTCAATAAAGTTTATTGCTGTACAAGAAATAATGAGAGAAAGGTATCCCAGTGCATTCCTTTTAGACTATAACACTTTTTCTAAGTGGAAAATTAAGAATTTCAAAGCTCCCGGTGTGTCATTTCTGCTTGAGTGATACAGTTGAGTACCTTCATGGAAACACTTTATACCATTTAATTTAAGAAGACAATTGTGAAGTTAAATGTTTTTTGAAAGTTATATTAGCTAAAGTTTTTTGAATTTTATTTGTCTGAAATATAATTGATACTTCACATGAACCTACAGAGTCTAGCAAGGAAACTGTGTGTCATATAGACGTTAATATCATTTACCTATATCACTTCGTAATATTAACTATCAGACAATGCGCAATTTAAAAATAAAATTGCAACTTTTAAAGTAATACAGATTTAAATACACCTATAAAATATTCTGAAATCCCTTCTTAATTCTACCCTAAATGATATATCAAATCTGTTAACCTCTTTTAAATTCCACTGCCACTACTTCAGTTCTTCTCTATTATCATTTATTCCTGGATGAGAGAATATCCCTTTTGACTTTTTCTAATACATTCTGCACCCAGAAGTATGAATCATTCTTTAAAATTGTAACTTGATTATCTTATGTAAACATTGTAATGCCTTCCGATTGCACTTAAAATCACATTTATAATTCTGGAACTAATGAATCATTCTCCTGCCTTCCTCCCTGACATCATCTGCCATATTTCCTCTGGATTATTGTGGGCTTAATAGCATTGCTTCTCTTAACATTCCTTAAATACTGAAGATTCACTCAAGTCTAAGTTTGTGCTCACAGAATTCTTCACCTGGAACTAGCTTCATCACCTTGACTTCTGTTCTCCTTTGGGGTGAATGCCCTAATAGTGCCTGCCCTGTTATTCTCTCATAGTACTGCCTACTTTTAGAGCATTAATTACAATATGTAATCATGTATCTAAGAATCAATTTATAGTTTAGTATGTTTTCGTACCAATACATCATCAAAATAACTTATCCCTATTGTGTTCACTATTGTGCCTCAGTACCTAATGCAGTATCTGCCAGACATGCTCATTGAATGATTAAAAGTCTGAGTAAAGAAATTAATGGCAATTTATGTTATCTTTTTCTGCATTGTGTTTTGTGGACAGTGTTGTCTTTTTGTCTTTCACTAAGACTATAAATTACTTAAGAGAATCAATCATTCATTTTCTCTCTCTCTCTTTCTCTTTCTCTAGAGTTTCAATACCTCTTTCTCTAATAGGATTAGAAATAAAGAATAACCCACATTTCACTAAACCATTAACAAATATCACATTTCTATGACATCCAAATTATATGAAAACTTTAAGCTATACTAAAACTTTTATTGAGTTCCAGTCTCCAAACTAATCTCCACAGCTTTATACATTTCCTTTGAGATTTTTGTTTATGTTGGAGGTAGTTTTCTTCCATCTCAGCCTGTGAAAATCTGACGTATTCTTTGACACCAATCCAAAATACAACCTCCTTTATAAAATTATTGTCTTATTACCACAAATAAAAGTTATTTATCGATCCTTTATTTTTCCATAATACTTTTATCTATATAAATACATTTTACATCTCCTATTACCCAATAAAATGTATCTTCTTACTTTTGTAACAAAAAGAATCTGAACCCAACAGAAATTTTAGAGAAATTGAAGGCATTGACACAATAGAACCACAGCAAAACTCTCTAAATATCTCCTTCAAACATATCTCTTTTTAAGTATATTCTGTGAATCTATGGATTTAGTAAAAACATTTCTCACCTCTAATCAATTTGCTTGTTTATCATTTTTTTTTATTTCAGGTCTTCCTTCAAAATTCCATTGTCTAGCACGATTATGTCATTTGTTGAGTATCTTGGGAAGTATGAGCAATTTCTTTCTCTGACCACTATTATCATCCCTATATGTAAATATACATAAATAAAACTCCAATCTCTATTACTATATTGTTAGTTTACTTCGAGCAAGATCCAACTTTATCATGTTTCCTCAAGCCCTTTATTCAACATTAATCCAAAGCACTAGGAATAATAATTGCCCAATAATATGTTAATGAATAGCCAAAATTTAGTTAATCCATACAGTCTACACTTAAATAAACTTCAATGTTTTAAAAACTTACACATTTTCCTGATAAAAGTAATTTTTTCAAGTGAGAAAATCTGGACTAATATCATGACATTTGTAGAGAATGTGTCAGAGCATTTACTTCAGAAAGCTATGTATTTAAAAAATGTAATTTCTTCAAGGGAATACTTAATTCAAAAAGCTTATTAAATTCATTTCACATAATTTTCTATGTAAAGTAATGGATATACTCAAATATTCATAAAATTATCAGTTTTGGAAAGTACTCATGGTAGTTATTTTTGCTTGAATTGTATTGCAAATTAATGTTTTTGTTGTTATTCATCTGGTATATAATAAAATTTAGAAAGCTGACCTTAAAGATGAAGTAACACATAAGTTATAAATACAACAATAGGATTTCCTTTTGGTGAGGTTAAAGACCAGATAATTTTACCTGTTTTTCAGTAAATTACTATGAATACACTAGTACACAGATACTACTGTGATTCAGCATACACTTTTTTTTATTACAAGAGTTACCTAATATTAATAATTCTTTATGGTGCCAGATTTTCTTTTTGCCCATCAATCCTACCTAATAAAACCACATTTATATCCGTACAGTCAAGCTTTAGTTATAGTTACATCAGGGCAATCACTAAAAACACTTCTTTAAATTTTAAGTCCCTATAGAAAGATAGTAAAATGGGACACATAGCTTTGCTGATTCTGCCAACCCTTCAAAAAATGTATCTAATATCCCTTGCTAATGTTTATTTACTGTCTGTTCTGGTTCTTCATTTTTTAATAGCTTTATTGTGGTATACTTGTTACACATAGAAGAAAGAACTGCAATAACTTACAATATGATAAGTCTGAACGTATGCAAACACCATCATATCATCATGTGTACCGTCATCATGATCATCATGTTTTTATTTGTTTGTTTTATTTATTTATTTATTTTTGTGGTAAGAACAAGACATGAGATCTACCCTCTTAATTTTTGAAGTGGACCATTCTAGCTTGTCAACTCTTGGCACTATGCCATACAGCAAATCTCTACAACAATTTCATCTAATATATAGAACCATTTTACTCACGTCTTTAAATGTACTTTTCTGATGATATTTTTATTATTAATTATTCTTTTTTGAAATGAACATATTCTTGCATCATGTATTTCTATGCAATTTCACCCAACATTCAGAGAAGAAAAATCTGACACCAATTTCTCCACAATACTCTCATCAGTGCTGAAATAAAACAATGGTTATTATTTTTCTGAACACCTTGGAATTTGTTTCAGTGTCACATTCTACTTAATATTTCATTTGATCACCATGTAATCTTTCCCATTAGACAGATATTTTATTTTATCTTTATATACCTTTTAGTTCCCAGTATATTGTACAAAAAAACTGTATAAATGCTTGTTAAAGGAAGGTATCGACATAGAAGCACTTTTACATAACTAAGCATAAAAAAGTGTAAGAATTAATGTCTTCTCAGTCATTTTTTAATTATATTGGCTTATCTCTGTTGAATTAAATAAGCTGGAGCATATGTGAATTAAACCAAGTATTTATCTAGCTCCTACAAGATTCTTCAGGTCCTTTTAAGGAGATTTCATTTTGAAATATCATAGTACCAAAAAATTTGGAGTTAGGCATTTCAATGTTGGATGCAACAGTTTATTGATATTATGGCCCTGATTGGACAACTGTGTGATTCTTTAGCATTCCCTTTCTTTTCATGGCATAGCACAATTGAAGGAGTAAAACATTCTACACCCTCAAATAACAGTGCACAGAGGAAAAAAGAAAACAAAACTTCTATTTATTCCTTCCAAATAAGGAGGAATATTTTTCCTCAAAACCATTTAACAAAATTTCCCAAAGTGTTGTTACCGAGGGTTGGTTTACATGTCCATCTCTAGTTCGTTAACTGGCAAAGGAAAACAGGATCTTTTAAAATAGACTTAAAACAATCATTAATCAGCTCCTATGGCATACTGCTATCCAAAGGAAATTTGGATTTTCTAAAGTAAAACAGAAAGGATATCTAGTATATGTAAAACTTACTGTGCTGCCACAATGTAGGACCCATCTTCACAGTTGAAGTCTGCCTTTTAATTTAAGTTGTAAATTTTCATTTGATTGCATGCTCAAGCTAGCAAAAAAGAAGAAAAAATAACAATATTGCATGAGTTTCTTTCCAATGCTTGCTTTCTCTTTTTCATTTGAGTTGAAACACACACACACACAAACAACTTTATGATGCTGTTTATCTCTACTGAATGCATTATATTTATTTCTTCTCAGATGATGCTGGTAAACTTGGCATGTACTTGTTTAAGCTCCTTTTTAATATATGAAAATTGCTTTGTGATGTATTTTAAAAGCTGGTTTTGCCCCCAAAACATTAGTTTAAAATTGGCAGGCATATCTTTGTATATATCTTTGTATTCTTGAAGCCCTGGACAATACATAATTTACAGGATATATTTCTAATTGAATAGCTGAGTAGGGAAAGGATAGATGAAGAGATAAAAGCATAAATGGTCTTGTCACACTGCATTATTTTCAGGCTCAATTATTGTTTCTTCTTGGTGACATATTTCAATATAATCTTTGTTTTATTTTTAATTGCTAACTAGCTCCACCCTCCATTGATTTCCTACAATCCCCAACCAGTATGTCTTCAAAGTTCCCTACAATCATTTTAATTGGGTCTCTATACAGAGAATTCTTGGTTTCAAGTCTTAGAGTGAGATAAAATAGCTTATCTACCCTATTCAAAAGTGAGTTTTAGATTGTAAACTATAAATCCTTGGACTACGATTGTTTTGTACGTTTAAAAATGAGCTGGGTGTGGTGGCTTATGCCTGTAATCCCAGCATTTTGGGAGGCTGAGGTGGACGGGTCATTTGAGGTGGGGAGTTTGAGACAAACCTGGCCAACATGGCAAAACCCCGTCTCTACTGAAAATACAAAAATTACCCAGGCATGGTGACACACACCTGTAATCCCAGGTACTCGGGAGGCTGAGGCAGGAGAAGTGCTTAAACCTGGGAGGCGGAGGTTGCAGTGAGACAAGATGGCACCACTGCACTCCAGCCTAGGTGACAGCAGAAGACTCCATGTCAAAAATAAATAAATAAAATAAAAATGGTTATTTTGGTGGTTTTGTAATATGCAATCTTAGCTAAACTGGAATTATATTTCCCAGAATTTCTTCGTCTTTATTGTTCCAAATTCGTATTGATAATAAGTTTGCATTGTATTTGTTAAATATACATGAGTATATTTACGTGAGTATATTTAACAAATATATATTTATAGTAGTCACTTTCACAGTCTGATGGTCTTTGCATGCAATGCATAATTTTGCATTTCATACACATTGTCACTAGACTACAGGTCACCTGCTTGGTGTTGTGTAGCAGCCAGTCCCCTCATTCATTCCACTCCTACCTGATTTCCTCTTTCAGCTTCTCCAGATGTTTGACTAGGTGAAACTATACCTCTATATTAAAAGATTCAATTTTCTTCTGCATGTAACCTGCATCATCAAAGTTGTCGTGAGACACAGACCTGGCATTCAGTTGTGCGTGTGTCACTATTTTTCTTATGGGTTCCAATTTTTCCTTGATGACTTCCAGTTCTTGCCCATTTTGCTTTCTCAAATTCAGCCTTAATAACTTTGTGCAGATAATGCTAGAGGCAAAAGCAACATACACCACTTAGTCAGATGCCACAATTGTGCAAGGTTAATTCCTGCAAGAAATTTCTTAATATATGGTACATATAGTAATTCTACTGCTCAGATCAAACCCCAGTTGACACAATTAAACAAGAAGTATTATATATTCATACATTTGAGCAATTAATTTTTTTCTGGTTTCATTAATCCTAAGAGTCACCCTTTTTGCCTTAAAACGAAAAAATCAGGAAATAAATCTTCCAGAAAACTCAGCAGAGCTGCTACAGAGACTCAGAGCTGCCATGTCAAAATCCAACACTAAGCAGAGTGACAAGTAGTTCTAAGTAAAATGTTTCAGCACAGAAGTGTGGCAGCTTTTCTTGGATAATAAGAAAATGCAGCTTTTTTTTTCTTCATGTACTTACTTTATAAGCTTAATATTTTAAATAATAATGACAGCATCACTTCTCTGTCTTCAGCCCTCTACTGTAGGGACCTTGGAATAAGAGTCTATATTTGCATCCATATCATCAATCCTGAATTCTTGATAGGTTCTCAAAAAATTAGTTGAATAAGGCTGGGCGCGGTGGCTCACGCCTGTAATCTCAGCACTTTGGGAGGCTGAGGTGGGTGGAACAAGAGGTCAGGAGTTTGAGACCAGCCTGACCAACACAGTGAAACCCCATCTCTAATAAAAACACAAAAATACAAAAAAATTAGCCGGGCATGGTGGTGGGCGCCTATAGTCCCAGCTACTCTGGAGGCTGAGGCAGGAGAATGGTGTGAACCTGGGAGGCGGAGGTTGCAATGAGCCAAGTCGCACTACTGCACTCCAGCCTGCGTGACAGAGCGAGACTCCGTCTCAAAAAAGAAAAAATTAGTTGAATGAATACCTTAGCAGAATGCATTGAAGGAAAATACACTTCACAAATGTCACTATTACATGGTTCTCATGAGTAGCAGCAGTTTAGAAGCACAATGATTGACGGTAACATGATTCAAGGAAACTGCAAATCAAGTTTAAAAAAAAAAGAAAGAGGCATGAATAATTTAAAATACACAAGAGAATCCTCATACAAGGATAAGAAAAGAGAGAAGGCAAGGAAGAAAGACAGGAAGAGAGAGAGAGAAAGACAGGTGGGTGAAGAGAGAAAGAAGAGGAGAGAACAATGACTTACTTGAAATACTTTTTAAAAGAATTCTACATGGATAAAGCCTTTACTAATTCCTAATAAAGACAGATTTAGTTATCACTTACGGATATTGTATATTATAGTTTGTCAGAAAAATTGATTAATAGACTATAATTGAAATGATTTTAACTCTAATTGGAAAGAAATTTGGCAATAACTAACAAAACCATTTGTTAACCCTTTGAATCAGCAATCCCACTACAAGGAAGTAAACCTGCATATACATTTCCACAAACATCTCCTACATAAAAATATGCATGAAGTCATTCATCTCAGCATTATCAGTGAGAGCAAAATATTAGACACCTAAATGGGCATAGCTGGACTACTACTTGAATAAATACTGTTTTATTTACACGTTGAACGCTATAATATAGTACAAAAAAAGAATGAAAAGATGAGATTAAATTCTGGCATGACAGTGTAAGGACCTGCATGGACATGACCCCAGTGGAACTGGTGAAAACTACTAAAATAAATAAACTGCTATTTAAAGTCTTTCAGATGATTCTGCATACAGGAAATGAAGAAACATTTATTTGAATAACACCTAGCAAAACTTTAAAAGAACAGAGAGTCTGTAGTGTTTACATCTTACTTTTTCTTATCTTAGTGTGATGAAAACTTTAATCCTTCCTTTCTGCCCAGCTCCAGTTTGAGGTCTGTGCCATTTATCAGGAGGGACCGGACATTAGCATTTCTCATCCTGCAGCAGCTATTTTTTGCAGAGTCTAAGTTCCATGTAATTGGGGATGAGAGTTGGGACATCTCTTTTTCCTCCCAGTCACCACTTATGAGATGGAGGCTTTATGTTAGGTCACAGGGGAAATTGTAGTTGAAAATGTCTACATTAAAAAAGAAGGAATAATTTGAATTAATTAGCTGAAACCTTAGGAAATTTAAAAACTACCAAACAAAAGCAAGCAGAAGAAAGAAAACAGTAAGATTACAATAAATATAGGTAATATTTATTGATATAATGAAAATCAAAATGAGATGCCACTTCAG
The DNA here is from genome assembly GCF_000001405.40 of Homo sapiens. Classification (NCBI taxonomy): domain Eukaryota; kingdom Metazoa; phylum Chordata; class Mammalia; order Primates; family Hominidae; genus Homo; species Homo sapiens. The sequence goes on along the minus strand of NC_000001.11, from coordinate 191,015,724 downwards.
ATTTATTGGTATGGTCATAGTAATAAAAAAGTTTGAAAATAATGTTTTTAATGTGGCTGTGGAGAAACTGAAGCCCTCATGCATGGACAATAGGAATGTAAAATTTTGAAGCTGCTTTGTAAATTATTCTCATACATTTCAAAGAGTTAAACACAGAGTTACCATTGACCCAGCCTTTCCACTTATAAATGTATGCCCAAGTAAAATAAAAAAAGTGATTGATTCTTATACCCTGCAATCTTACCATAATTGTTTATTAGGTCCTAAAATTATGTATTGATTCTTTAGGATTTTCTACTTAGACAATCATGCCATCTGTAACAAACAGAGTTTTTTTTCTTCCCTCTCAATCAGTATAGATTGCTTTTATTTTATTTTATTATTTATTAATTAATTATTATTATTATTATTGAGACGGAGTTTTGCTCTTGTTGCCTAGGCTGGGAGTGCAGTGATGCGATCATAACTCATTGCAACCTCCGCCTCCCGGGTTCACGCGATTCTCCTGCTTCAGCCTCCACAGTAGCTGGCATTACAAGCACCCGCCACCACGCCTGGCTAAGTTTTTTGTATTTTTAGTAAATACAGGGTTTTACCATGTTGGCCAGGTTGGTATGAAACTCCTGACCTCAGGAGATCCACCTGCCTCGGCCTCCAAAGTACTAGGATTACAAGCGTGAAACACCGCACCCTGACTTATTTTATTTTTTGAGACAAAGACTCACTCTCTCACCAAGGCGATCATGGCTCACTGTAGCCTCAACCTGCCAGGCTCAAGCGATCCTCCCACCTCAGCCTCTCCAGTAGCTGGGACTATGGGGAGGCATCACCACGCCCAGCTAATATTTTATTTTGTGTAGAGGCGGGGTCCCACTCTGCTACCCAAGCTGGTCTCGAACTCCTGGATGCAAGGGATTCTCCCACATTGGCCTCCCAACGTGCTGAAATTACAGAGTTTTGCCACCATGCCCGGCCCAGTGCACCTTCTATTATTTCTTTTTTTTTTTTGTCTTATTGCAATTGATAGGATATCCAGTATAACCTTGATATAGAGCGGTAAGAGCACGCATCCTTGCTTTTTTTCTGATATTTAACGAGAAAGCTTTTATTTTTTTTCACAGTTAAGTCAGATGTTATCTGTAGGATTTTGGAGATATCCATTATCAAGTCTAGGATGTTTCCCCCATCCTTAGTTTTCTGGGAGTTTTTATTAAAAGTGATGCTGAATTGTCAGAAATTTTTTCTGCATCTGTTGATATGATCAGGAGATTTTTCTTCTTTAGCCCATGACTATCATAAATTACATTAATTAATTTTCAAATGTTGAATCAGCCTGCATACCTGGAATAAATTCCACTTGGTCTTAGTGTATGTGCCTTTTATGCTGTTGGATTTGGTTTAATAATATTTTGTGAAAGAGTTTTGCATCAATTCTTATAAGAGACACTGGCTTTTAGTTGTCTTTTCGTATAATGTCATTGTCTGGTTTTGATTTTGGGATAATGATGGCCTCATAGAATGAGTTTGAAAATATTCTCTCACTTCTATCTTCTGGAATAAATTGTAGAAATTTGGTATATTTTTTTCTTAAATAATTTGTAGAATTCATCATTGAACTCATCTTTTTTTCTGTTTTGCAATATTATTAATTGTTGACTCGATGTTTAATAGGCCTTAATATTTTCCATTTCTTCTTATGTGAGTTTATGCAGATTGTTTCTTTCAAGGAATGGTCCCTTTCATAGAGTTGTAAAATTCGTGGGCATAGCGTTGTTCATAGTATTCCTTTGTTACTCTGTTAATGTCCATAGTGTCTATAGTGATAGCCCCTCTAAAATTTATGTTATTAGTAATTCATAGGTTCTCCTTTTATTAGTCTTATTATAGGCTTATCAATTTTATTGATCCTTTCAAAAAACTAGTTTTTTGTTTCATTGACTTTGTCTATTTATTTTCTGTTTTTAGTCTCTATTTTCTGTTTTAATGTATTCAAATTATGTGCTAATTTTTATTGTTTCTCTTTTGCTCTTTTTGAATCTAGTTTCTAGTTTCCTAACCTGAAAGTTTAGATTTTTAAATTTTAGATAGGATTAAAGAAATGGCAAAAACAGCAATTACTTTTACACCAATCTAATATGTCTTCTTTTGTTAGATATATGGATTCAATGGCATAGATTTCCCTTTGAACACTTCATTTTCTGTATCCCCCAAATTTTTATAAGTTGTATTTTTATTTTCATTTATTTCAAAATATTTTCAATTTCTCTTGAGCTTTCTTCTTTGATATATGATATAAAAGTGTGTTGTTTACGTATGTTTATTGCGGCACTATTCACAATAGCAAAGACTTGGAACCAACCCAAATGTCCAACGATGATAACTGGATTAAGAAAATGTGGCACATATACACCATGGAATACTATGCAGCCATAAAAAAATGATGAGTTCATGTCGTTTGTAGGGACATGAATCAAGCTGGAAACCATCATTCTCAGCAAACTATCGCAAGGACAAAAAAACCAAACACTGCATGTTTGCACTCATAGGTGGGGATTGAACAATGAGAACACATGGACACAGGAAGGGGAACATCACACACTGGGGACTGTTGTGGGGGTGGGGGATGGGGGAGGAATAGCATTAGGAGATATACCTAATGTAAATGACGAGTTGATGGGTGCAGCACACCAACATGGCACATGTATACATATGTAACAAACCTGCACGTTGTGCACATGTACCCTAAAACTTAAAGTATAATTAAAAAATAAAAATAAAAGGGTGTTGTTTAATCTCCAAATATTTTGAGACTTTCTAGCTATTTTTGTTTCTAGTATAATTCCTTCATGATCTAAAAGCACACATTGTGTAATTTCTGTTCTTTTAAATGTGTTAAAGTGTTTTTCATGGACCAAAATGTGGTCCGTCTTGGTGAATGTTCCATATGAGCTTGAGAAGAATGTTTATTCTGTTGCTGTTGGGTGAAGTATTCTAGAGAAGCCATTTAGATCCAGTTGATTGAGAATACTCCTGAATTCAACTATGTCCTTAATGATTTTCTGCATGATGGATCTGTCCATTTCTGGCACACGGTGTTGAGGTTTCCATCTATAATGGTGCGTTCATCTATTTCTCCTTGCCATTTTATCTTTTTTTCTCAAATATTTTGATGCTCAGTACATTAGATCTCTAATCAGTACATTAGAGATTGCACATTGCTGTAGAATTGTCCCCATTTATCACTATGCAATGTACCTCTTTATCAGTAATAATTTTCCATGCTCTGTAGTGTGCTTTGTATAAAACTACTACAGCTAATCCAACTTTGTTTTGATTAGTGTTAATGTATTTCTTCTTCTTGCCTTTATGTTTTATAAAATACTCTCTATATGTGCCTTTAAATTCTGTTTCTTACAGACAACATATAGTTGAGTCTATTTTTTCATTCCTCTCTGACAGTCTCTGCCTTTTAATTGGTACATTTAAATAACTGACATTTAAAGTGATTATTGATATACTTGGGTAAATACCTACCATTTTTTGTTATTGTATTCTATTTGTTGACTTCTTTTTGTTTCTATTTTTGTCTCTCATTCCTTTTCTTCCTTCTGTGGTTTTAACTGGACACTTTATATGGTTCCATTTTCTTTTCTTTCTTAGCATATTATTTATATATTTACACAAAAAGTGTATATAGATATATACATACACAGTATATACACACACACACACACACATACACACACACTTTTTCTGATGGCTGCCATCACGTTTGCCAATTTGCAATATGCATTTACAGCTAATACAAGTCTACTTTTAAATAACACTATGTTAATTCATGAGTGCAAATAATTCATAACAAAGTATTTCTAATTCTACTCTCTTGTTTCTTTTGTCACTGATGTCAATTATTTCACATATCCATAAACTATAATCTTTACATAATTTGTTATTATGTGAACACTTATTTTTTAGGACAATTAAAAATAATTTTTTAAATATTTAAAAATCTTAATTAATGGCCGGGCATGGTGGCTCAGGCCGGTAATCCTAGCACTTAGGGAGACAGAGGCAGGTGGATTAACTGAGGCCAGGAGTTCGAGACCAGCCTGGCCAACATGGTGGAACCTGTCTCTACTAAAAATACAAAAATTAGCCGGGTGTGGTAGCAGGCGCCTGTAATCCCAGCTACTTGGAAGGCTGAGGCAGGAGAATTGCTTGAACCCGGTAGGCGGAGGTTGCAGTGAGCCCAAATCGCACCACTGCACTCCAGCCTGGCGACAGAGCGAGACTCCGTCTCAAAAAGAAAAAAAAAGAAAAGAAAAGAAAAGAAAAAAAATCTTCATTAATTCTTCTCTAATGCTCTTCCTTTCTTTATGTAGATCCAACTTTCTGACCTACATCCTTTTTCGTCTCTTTGAAGAACTACTTTTAACATATTTTGAAAAGTAGATGTACTGGCGAAAAAGTCCTTCTATTTTGTTTACCTTAGTAAGTCTTTATTTCTCTTTCCCCTTGAAGAGTAATTTCTCAGGATACAGAATTCTAGTAGTTGTAGTTGTTGTTGTTTTCTTTCTCTCTCTTTCGTAAGTGGAATTTAGTGTTGATTTTACGATGTGTCTCTTTGGTATATCACTCTAAAACCAGCTTTGTTTAACAAGAAGAGACACAAAAGCTTGCCCTCTGGCTTTCTGCTGCCGTGTGAGGATACAAGGTGAAAGTGGCTGTCTGCAAACCAGGAAGAGTGCCCTCACAAGACACAGTCTCCCAGAATGGGTGCAGCACACCAACATGGCACATGTATACATATGTAACAAACCTGCACGTTGTGCACATGTACCCTAAAACTTAAAGTATAATAATAATAAAATAAAATAAAAAATTCTTGTAAGCTTTGTCACTCCAAACTCCCATTTCAGACTCGTCAACTCAGACCACTGTGCTCTGTTTGGTTTCTCCCTTTTTGCATGTTATTTGGGAAGGGCATCCAGGCAGGATCCTGAGATGATTATAGGTCTTTCGTCGTTTCTTTCCCTCCTCTCAGGGATCACTATAGTATCATACCTGCAGTCAAATATCTACAAACATTGTTTGTTTGTTTTTATTTTGTCCAATTTTCGAATTGTTTACATTGTCAGAGAAAGTTTACTACCAGTTACTTTATTATGGCCAAAATGCAATTACAATCTTTCTTTCTAGTTTTTCCATTGTCTTCCAGAATCTACATGTTCTTTTTTTCCCTACTGGCTGCTACTTCACTGCTTCCTTGGTTGATTCCTACTTTTCTTCCCAAAGTTTTAATGTTGGAGTGCTGAGAAAAATTGTACACCCATACATGCAAATGTACATTAAAAGAGTGGATAATTTGAAAATCAAAATTACCTAAATGTATTTTAAAAATAATAAATGTAGAAAACTAATAATCATTTAAATTCTTCTCAAATTAATGTCTCTATTGAATTCCATCTCAATTAAAATCAGAGCACATATTATTTTAGGGTTAAAACTGACAAGATAACTTTAAAATGTGATGAAAATACAAAGGGCCAACAATCACAAAGCAATCTTGAAGGAAAAAAAACAAAGTTAAAAAAAGTATACTGCCAGTTATCAAGATTTCTGTCATGGCTACAATAATGTGAAATAACATAATATGGGGCTCGAGGAAGAATAGATTAAAAAAAAATCAGTGGAAAAATTAATACCCCAAACCAGAAACACATATTCAGCACTTAGTTTATGATAAAGGTGACATTGACATGCTAAAATCAGGGTGCTTATTTCAGTAAATAATGTGGGCTCAACTGGATATTCACAGGAATAAAAAGAATTGTGTCATCAACTTCATTCACAGAGAAGAATAAATGGCAAATGAATAGTAAATATTAATAAAAATATTTTTCAAATAAAGCTTCCAAAGTTGGAACAAGTAAATTATTTCTTAAAAGGGCCACAAAGCTCTAACTATAAAGGAGAAAACGGAAAGTTGCACTTCATTTAAAGTATGAAATGTTAATCAAAATATACTCTTTTGTCTGTGTATTTGGGGGCATGCCATAGCATAGATAAAAATATTTCCAATATGTATATCAATAGCTTACATCAAATATAAAAAGAGAAATCCCAGTAGTCAATAAAATCGAAAATTTTCCAAAGGGCAAAATAAAGAAATAAGCACTTCACAAAAGAGGAACCTCAAATATTCAGTAAGTAATGAAAACATGCTCAACTTTATTAGCCACAGGGAAATGCAAATTGCTGACTTGTGGGTATTCATTTTGTACTGAACAGACAGGGGACTGATGTCTGTGTATATAATATATACACCCTGAAATAGTATGCAGCCATAAAGACAAATTAAATCATGTCATTTGCAGCAACATGGATGGAACTGGAGACCATTATCCTAAGTGAATAATTCACAAACAGTCAAATAAGACATGTTCTTGGTAGTAGGATGTCAACAATGTATACATAAGTTTATACAGCGGGAAATAACAGACACTGGAGACTCCAAAAGGGTAGGGGGTGCCACAGGGGTGAGGGTTGAACAATTACTTATTGTGTGTAATGTTCACTATTAGGTGATGGTTGCAGTAAAAGCTCAGACTTCACCACTATGCAATATATCTATGTAACAATACTGTACTTGTTCCCCCAAATTTATTTTAAAAACTCTCCTGTTATTTTGATAATGTCTTTAGAGTAGGCAATGATTTTTGCTGTCATAAATTTGACATTTGCTGTGTTTCTTGTTTTTGTTCTTGTGATTTAAACCTAGGTTATTTAATTTTGTGATGGAGGTGGGAGTTGAAGGCAAAGGCTAAAGAGAAACACAAAGATGCCATTGGTAACATCATATAATAAAATACATATCTGATAATCTGTTTATTTTAACCTTTTAAAAAATATTTTTTTCTCTTCTTAGACTGTCTGTGGACTATCTCAAACCTCGTTAAGGTTCTGTAAGGTAAATAGGCTCTTTCTTTAGCTGGTTTTCTAGTAATTCTCTTCTGTGTATTCTCTTTTTAACTTGTACTATTTATAAACAGGTTTGTAATATTTGTCCTCTTTATTCCAAAAACATATTAAATCTCTGTTTCTTATCTTTATAATTATAAATTGATTCATTTCCCAACATTGTAATGAGATTTAAAAACAAGAAAAAGTGGGACAACAAAATTTGTTTTCAATTTACCAACTTAAATCAGACTCTCAAATATTATAATATACGATGCTAGCCAACTGTTGATGTAATGCACATCTGTACACTTTTTCTTGCCTATCTTCCATTTCTTCCTCCTGAGAAGACATTTTTCTCAGAGGAAATGATTGCCCTCCTTTGCTTTATCCTTTTATATGTTTCAGAGGTATTGTCAGAGTGTATAAAACGGACGTAAATTAATCTACACTTCTTTCCTGTGAATATAATTGTATAAGAATCAATAAAGGCAACCCAAACCAAAAAATGTTGAAGAACTTCCACTCCAGTGATGACATATGAGATAATATTTCATTTTTGTGTTGTTAGTACCTTGTTTCCAGGCCTAGTTTTCCTGCTTCCTGTCCATCCTAGTACCTATTAGTTCTACTTAGTCAATGAGAGTCATTTACTGTTACTTTCCTTCAGAGATTACTGATAGAATAGATGTAAATATATCTTGTGAATTGGAGATTCATTTATAGGTTAAATAACAACATTGAAGAAAGCTTTTTTCTCTTTGTAATTGCCTTTATGTTAACTGACTTTGCCCTATACCCAAACATAGGTTGAATTTTCAGATTTTTCTAATACATTTCTTAAAATGTAAGCTAATTAAAAAGCTTTTTTCTTTACTACTCTTTTTTTTATACTGTTATTATGTGGCTTGCAGCAAAGTGGCTGAGATACATAGTTTAAGTAAAAGGTACATTCGGAAGACAAAACATGACTTTTCTGATTTGCACTTAACAGGAATAAATTTGCTATTGCTAAGATTTAAAACTATAATGAAATATAATAAAAGTTCCATATGAATTGAACCCTCAGAATTTGTCATAGTTGAATAGTTATAGCCTGGAAGATAAATGACTAAAGCATTTTTTAAAAGGACAAAGATAAAGGAAGAACTTAAAAGTATTAACAAAACGATAAACCATTTTAAAGATTTATTTGGCCAATATTTGTAAATGGACTGAAGAAAAGATCTAAATATATCAAGTAAATGCTGCAATTATTGATTATATGTATATTTAGCATCTAAGAGTATTTATTTTCTAGGTAAAGAAATCTATCATTGAGAGTTAAATTTGATACTATTTTTTTCTCACAATATTGAATGTAAAACAATATTAGCTGGTATCAAAGGAAAGAATAACTGCATTATACATGTAATTCTGTGTGTTCTAAATACAATATGCTCATTTAATTAAAAAAAATCAATGAACTAAATTTTTCTCTGCTACCAGTAAGTTTTCAATGGTCGCCTCTGGTTCCATCTTCCAGACAAAAAACCAACAAAGAAACCTCATACTTAATTTGCAGTTTAGACCAAATGGACTTAATAGATATTTGCAGAATATTTCATCTAAAGGCTGCAGGATACATGTTCTTTTCCTCAACACGCATATCATTCTCAAGGATAGATCATATGTTAGATCACAAAACAAGTCTTAAAACATTCAAAACGACTGAAATAATATGAAGCATCTTCTGTGACCACAATGGAATGAAACTAATAACAACAGGAATTAATAACAACAGGAATTTGGGGCACTAAACAAATTGAAGAATATGCTCCTGAATAACTAGTGGGTCAATGAAGAAATTAAGAAGGGAATTGAAAAATTTATTGAAACAAATGATAATGGAAACACAACATACAAAACCTATAGGATACAGCAAAAACAGTACTAAGAGGGAAGTTTATAGCTATAAGTGCCACATCAAAAAAGGAGAAAAATTTCAAATAAGCAATACAACATCTTAACTAAAGAGCAATAGCAAACAAAATCCAAAGTTAGTAGAAGAAAATAAATAATAACGATCAGAGCAGATAAATGAAATTGAAATAAAACATATATAAAATATTTATGAAACAAAAAGTTGGTTTTTTGAAAAGTGAAACAAAATTGATAAACCTTAGCCAGACTAAGAAACAGAGAAGACAAAAATAAGTGAAATAAAAAATGAAAAAGGAGACATTACAACTGACACTGCAGAAATTCAAAGGATCATTAGTGACTACTATGAGCAACTATATGCCAACAAATTGGAAAATCAAGAAGAAATGAATAAATTCCCAGACACATAAAACCTACCTAGATTGAATACGGAAGAAATCCAAAACCTCAGCAGACCAATAACAAGTATCAGTAAAAAGTCTCCCAGTAAAGAAAAGACCTGATAGCTTCACTGCTGAATTCCACCAAACATTAAAGAACTAAGAGCAACACTACTAAATCTATTCAGATAAATATAAGAGGAGGAAATACTTCCAAACTCATTCTACAAGGCCAATATTACTCTGATACCAAAAACAGACAAAGACACATCAAAAAAAGAAAACTATAGGCCAGCATCTCTCATGAATATTAATGCAAAAATCCTCAACAAAAATACTAGCAAACTGAATTTCTACAGTACATTAGAAAGATCATTCTTCATGACCAAATGAGATTTAGCCCTGGGATGCAAGAATGGTTCAACATACATAAATCTACCAATGTGATACATCATATTAAGAGAATGAAAGGAAAAAACCATATGATCAATCCAATTGATGCTGAAAAGTGTTTTTAAAAAGTCAACATCCCTTTATTAAAAAAACCCTAAAAAAGGGGGGGTATAGAAGGATCATACCTCAACATACTAAAAAGCATATTAAAAAGCATATATGATAGACTCTCAGCTAATGTCCTACTGAATGTGGAAAAACCGAAAGCCTTTTCTCTAAGATCAGGAACATGACAAGGATGCCCACTTTCACCACCGTTATTCAACATCATACTGGAAGTCCTAGCTAGAGCAATCAAACAAGAGAAGGATATAAAGGGAATCAAAATTGTAAAGGAAGAAGTAAAATTATCCTTGTTTGCAGATGATATGATATTATGCTTGGAAAAACCTAAAGACTCAATGAAAAACTGTTAGAACTAATAACTTCAGTAAAGTTGCAGGATTCAAACCAACCCACAAAAATCAGTAGCATTTCCACATGCCAACAGTGAACAATGTGAAAAATAAAAAAGCAATCCCATTTGAAATAGCCACACATAGAATGAAATACCTAGCAATTAACCAAATATGTGAATGATCTCTATAATAAAAACTGCAAAACAGTATTAAAAGAAATTGAAAAAAACACCAAAAAATGAAACAATATTTCATGTTTATGGATTGGAAGAATCAATTTTGTTAAAATGTCCATACTATCCAAAGCAATCTACAAATTCAATGTAATCCCTATCAAAATACAAATGACATTATTCACAAAAGTTGAATAAAAAACAATTGGAAAATGTATTTGGAGCTAGAAAAGTCCCAGAGTTATCCTAAGCAAAATAACAGAGGTGGAGAAATCACATTACTTGATGTTAAGTTATACTAGAGAGCTATAGTAACCAAAGCAGCATGGTACTGGCATAAAAAAGGACACATAGACCAATGGAACAGAGTAGAGAAGCCAGAAACAAATATGCCCACCAACAGTGAACTCATTTTGGACAAAGGTGTGAAGAACATACACTGGGAAATAGTCTCTTCAATCAATGGTACTGGAAAAACTGGATATCCATATCCAGAAGAATGAAACTAGACCCCTATCTGTAGCCATATAGAAAATTCAACTCATAGTTGATTGAAGACTTAAATCTAAGACCTCAAACTGTGAAACAACCACAAGAAAATATTGAGAAAATTTCCAGGACATTGGTCTGGGGAAAAATTTCTTGAGCAATGTCCACAACCACAGGCAATCAATTGTGCAATGGACAAATGGGATCATATCAAAGTAAAAAGCTTCTGCATGGCAAAAGATACAATCAACAACGTGAAGAAACAACCCACAGAATGGGAGAAAATATGTGCAAACTATTTATTTTAGAAAAGATTAATAACCAAAATGTTTAAGGATCTCAAACAACTCTGTAGAAAAAAATCTAATAATCCAATCAAAAATGGGGAAAAATTGAATAGACATTTCTCAAAAGAAGATATAAAAATAGCAAACAGGCATTTGAAAAGGTGCTCAACATCATTGATTATCAGATAAATGCAAATCAAAACTACAATGAAATATCATCTCACCCTAGTTAAAATGGCTTACATCCAAAAGACAGGCAATAACAAATGCTGTCAAGGATGTGGAGAATAGGGAACCCTCGTACACTGTTGGTGGGAATGTAAATTGGTACAATCCCTATGGAGAAGAGTTTCAAGGTTCCTCAAAAAGCTAAAAAAGAGCTACCACATGATCCAGCAATCACAATGCTGAGTATATATCCAAAATAAAGGGACTCAGTATATGGAAGAGATATCTGCATTCCTATGTTTGTTGTGCACCGTTTACAAAAGCTAAGATTTGGAAGCAACCTAAGTGTTCATCAACAGATGAACAGGTAAAGAAAATGTGACACATATACACAATGGAGTACCACTCAGCCTTAAAAAAGAACGAGATCCATTCGCTACAACATGAATGGAATTGGAGATCATTGTGTTAAGTGAAAAAAGCCAAACACAGAAAGACAGACCTCACATTTTCTCACTTATTTGTGGGATCAAAAATAAGTACTATGTGGGCTTTAAAATTCAATTGAGCTCATGGACCAGTAAAAGGATGGTTACCAGAGGCTTAGAAAGGTAGCAGTGGAGTGGGGGTCAGTGGGCAGATGATTAGTGGGTACAAAAAACCCCAGAAAGTATAAATAATACCTAGTATTTGACAGCACAACAGGATGACTGTAATCAATAATAAGTTAATTGTACATTTTCAAATAACTAAAAGATTGTAATTGGATTGTTTTTAACACAAAGATAAAATGCTTGAGGGGATGGATGTCCATTCTCCATGTGATTATTTTTTGTTGCATCACTGTATCAAAACGTCTCATGTACCCCATAAATACATACACTTACTATGTGCTGACAAAAACTAAAAAGTATAAAAAAAGAAAAAAATTATTGTCTCCACTTACGGTAAAATACATTGAAAAGATTATCATAGATGCATGGATCTAAGCTTTACTAGCATTTTGGTCTTAAGAAATTTTTCTCTATCATGGAGGCAAAATTACTTATAAAAGTTGAAAATATTATTTGCATCTACAACAAAATGAAAGAGTGACATTTAGCTAAAACAAAAAAGTAATGTTTTTAATATGTAAATATTCACATTAGATAAAAATTATAGTTGCTAATAAATAATATTAAAATATCTTTTAAGGCATATTCATATATATGGAAGGGAGAGAACTCTAATATGGCCCCTGTGAGTTCATACCCTAGAGTATATACCTTTTATGATCCCCTCATCACCTTGAGGGTGAATGTGTGATGGGCTATCATTTTTATAAATAGGAATTTCTCATATTTAATTAAAGTATCAAATCAGTTAACTTACTTGAGAGTGGCCCCTAGGTACTAAGATTGATCTCTAGCCACAAGACAAGAAAAAAAATTAAGTGTCCACAATTTCAGAGACCTTGGAACAGACTCAATGAACCTCAATGAACCTCATTGAGCCTCAGTGAAGACAGCAGTCAACACCTTGATACAGATCTTATGAGAACCGGAACTGAGAACTCATTCACATGTGTTGAACTGCTGACCCAAAGAAACTCTGAGATAATAAATTTGGGTCCTTTCAAGTTACTAAGTTTGTAATGATATTTTTGGTTTTGCAGAAATAGAAAACTAGTAGGACATAGCACAACATTTGTGGCAAAATGAAAGATGACATAAAGCATTATCTGTACTATAATGTTTTACATTCCTCTACTTTCCTTCAAATCGACAAAAAATATATATGGTTTGTGATATTTAAGAGACGTGGAAATTTTTGGATATTTTTCTAAACTAGAAATTCTAGCTTGCTCTTTGAGACAGCTCTGTATTTTAAATAATGTCACAAATCACAAATACTAATTTAATACAAAACATATTTATTCTACTTTAATAACATACTTTAAAATATTCAGAAATTTTAGATATGATGGACGTATTAAGTTCAACAAGTGGTATGTTGTCTTATGTACACAGAAATATGATAAAATTGTTATAAAAATGTATTTTTAGTATGTATCATATTGATTTTTAATCAACTGGAAAATCATATGCAAAAAGTAAGATAACCATAATGCAATTTCTTATGTTTCATAGCTGAGAAATTTCAACTGCCATTTTATTTTGACGAGTATGGGACAAGGTTGATGAGTGAATGTACAGCTGGATAATAGTGCAAGGAAAAGGGAAGGGTTCTAGCTTGATACCAAACAAAGTTATACGATATGAAGCTGTGAACTTTGTTTGGCAAATGGTAAATACTGATTATAAGTAAATTTTCTCATCATATATGCCAGTTTTAAAATAACTATTTTTTGTTATCTTTTTACTCAGGATTATATGTTTTCCTCAGACTTCCAGGCATCAATAAACTTTATATATTTGTGAAAGTATTTAAATACAGAGAACCACCAAGACAATGAGGTGTTGTAGAGACGATATCTAGAAGAGGCAGAAAGCGTAGATAGGCAGGCTACTTTGGGGCCCTCTTTTCCTCTATTGATTTTTTTTTTTTCTGAATGTTTTAGAGACTGCCCAGAAACTGAGAAGTTAATAGGATTTTGATAAACTAATGAGGCTGTTGGGGATAAGAATAGGAGTTCAGGGCTTACAAAAGAGAATGATCTCTGTTAAACAAATCTGATTTTAGAGTGGTGTATCAAAGAGACACATCTTAAAACCAACACAAACCTTGACAAGACACAGGTAATTTGGGAAACTGTGGGCCGCTTCCATGACTATGTTTAACTGTGTTGTGCAATATTGCAGCCAAAAATTGCATGCAGCTATATTACTTTCAATTAAAATAAATAGGTTTCCATTTTTTAAAACACCTAAAGTCCTAAAACACCAAAAGCAATGGCAACAAAAGCCAAATTAGACAAATGGGATCTAATTAAACTAAAGAGCTTCTGCACAGCAAAAGAAGCTACCATGAAAGTGAACAGGCAACCTACAGAATGGTAGAAAATTTTTACAATCTACCTGTCTGACAAAGGGCTAATATCCAGAATCTACAAAGAACTTAAACAAATTTACAAGATAAAAAAATCAACCCCATCAAAAAGTGGGCAAAGGATATGAACAGACACTTCTCAAAAGAAGACATTTATGCAGCCAACAGACACATGAAAAAATGTTCATCATCACTGGCCATCAGAGAAATGCAAATCAAAACCACAATGAGATACCATCTCACACCAGTTAGAATGGCAATCATTAAAAAGTCAGGAAACAACAGGTGCTGGAGAGGATATGGAGAAATAGGGACACTTTTACACTGTTGGTGGGACTGTAAAGTAGTTCAACCATTGTGGAAGACAGTCTGGCAATTCCTCAAGGATCTAGAACTAGAAATACCATTTGACCCAGCCATTCCATTACTGGGTATATACCCAAAGGATTATAAATCCTGCTGCTATAAAGACACATGCACACGCATGTTTATTGTGGCACTATTCACAATAGCAAAGACTTGGAACCAACCCAAATGTCCATCAATGATAGACTGGATTAAGAAAATGTGGCACATACACACCATGGAGTACTATGCAGCCCTAAAAAATGATGAGTTAATGTCCTTTGTAGGGACATGGATGAAGCTGGAAACCATCATTCTCAGCAAACTATCGCCAAGGACAGAAAAGCAGATACTGCATGTTCTCACTCAGAAGTGGAAATTGAACAATGAGAACACTTGGACACAGGGTGGGGAACATCACACACCAGGACTTGTTGTGGGGTGGGGGGAGGGGGGAGGGATAGCATTAGGAGATATACCTAATATAAATGATGGGTTAACGGGTGCAGCACACCAACATGGCACATGTATACATATGTAACGAACCTGCACATTGTGCACATGTACCCTAGAAGTTGAAGTATAATAATAAAAAAAATGTAATGTCCTCAGGAATTCACAGAAAATCCTGATTATTTTCCCCCAAAGGAGGCTGATGTGGCTTCTCTTAAATTACCTTCATCATAACTGCTAGAATAAATTTGTTGTTGCCAAAATATTATTGCAAGTTCTTACCTAATGCCCCTTTTCTGTTCCAGGATGCCATCCATGGCACCACATGACATTTAGATACCACATCTCCATAGGAGCCTTTGTCTGTGACAGTTCCATCTTCTTTTTGCAGGAGCTTTAGAGTTGAGCTGAAAAGGGATTAGATAAAGAGTCTAGCTCTTAATCCTTTAAATCTTTGTTGATGACACTAAATTTATAAATTTTCTCAGGATACGGCAGTGTATTTATTTATTTTTATCCTGATCAAGTATCTGAGGATATTTAAGGGGTTTCCACTTGGGCCTCCCTATAAGTTGGTATATCCTTACTTTAAGTAAAATCCTTCAAGAATTTGTTCCTGCCCTTACTTTATGTGATCAATAGCCAACCTTTTTCTCACATTTTTTCTAATTAAAGAATAGATCAATAAAGAGTTGGTGCTTTAATATTGCTTGGAACATAGTAATCACAGTAATATCTATTGAATCAGAAAAAATCATACTATAAAATATAAAGATATTAAATCTTTTAAAAATTTGTTGTCTATGTTCTGTTTCTATATCATAATAGATTGCATTGAGGCATATATCTTTCCTAAAGGATAAGCTAGCAATCCACATAAAATATTGTATTTACATCAGTATGTAACAAACTATTCATGCATTTGATAATAATATTAAAGTATTCATAAAAGGCCATATTCACTGTTCTATCACAGTTGAGGAAATAAGTTAAGCAAACTTAAATTGGTTTCTTTACCTCAGAAATCTTTATAATATTTAATATGACAATATAAATATAAGTGTTTAAGTGGAGCATATTTTAGGCAGAAGATTTTAAAATTACTTGGTGATAGTACTTTGTTGTCGTAGTTTTAATTTATAAACACCATTTTACAACCACTAAATTAGAAAAAAAACTTGGAGTTTGGTGCCCATTTTTAGCATTTTATTAGGTCTCAAAATAAATATTTGTTCTTTTGAATAGTACTGAGCATTGCTTTAAAATTGTGCTGTTCTAAGTTTGTATACAAAATGAAGTCCAATCTAGTTTTGTTATGCTTAATTTGGTCTATAAATATTGTCCTCTACTTGATAATTGTTTTCATCACTTTATTCATTAGGGTAATTATTTAATTAGAAGTCATTGAAATCAACAACTATGATTCTCTTACAAGGTTAAGAATGATTCTCTCCACATTTTTGGTTCAAAACTTTTAGAGTGATTTATAAGAACTTTTATTATATCTAATAATAGATTATGGATATTTAGGAAGTTTACTAAGAAACAAGTCTACTTGAAGAACTCAAGGAATGTAAAACATACTTTTTTTAAGCAACATCACTATCAGATAAGTATTAATGTTAGTAACATAGGAGAATGTCTTTGACAATCTAATATGTGGTTGGAAGATTGGTTAGGTTAGAAAGTGAACTCTACTTGGTACTCTCTGCAGGAATAAATAATTACATAAATAAATAAATAATAAATAAAAATCATATTTGAATTTGGCATCTGATTTTAAGATATTTGAGCATTTCTCTGAAGACCAATCATGGGCTTCAGTTTAAGTTTGAAGACACATCAGAAAAAATATAATAGCTTAGACATATGAAAATATGATTCTTTGAATATAAAGTAGAAAAATGTTAGTACTCCATATAATACACAGCACCCTTTTTTTTTCTCAGAGTAAATTTAGATTTTAGAAAGTTTGCTAGTTTTAAAGACCTCTCATTCACTGGTCTATTCTAATCATTTATTGAATTAATGTTCCAGAATATCTGCTGGGTGGAGACTCCTTAGAAATGTAGAAAGACATAATGTCTGTATTCATAGAGTTAGTTACAATAAAAAATGTCCTACAACACAGATATATTTAAATAAAATATAACATATTCATAGCATGCAATGATATGAGAACTGACAATGAAAATTATATTCTTGAATTAAAATAGTGCATATAGCAAAACAGTAGTACAATCTCTTAAAATTTATGAAATAGGCACAAAATAAACATGAGTATATATTTTTAAACACACACAATATGAATGTTAGCCTTATACTTTAGAAATACTGAAAATATCTCTACTTTTATTTTCAAGTTTTTAATTTTGATTTTGACTCATATTCTACCTTAAAAAGGAAAAAACCTCAGTCATTTAATTTGATTAAGAGCACAAGCTGAGGGTACTACTCAATTATGATTATCTGTGTGATCTGTGCACATTAGTATTTCTGTCCTATGGTTTCTCATTTGTAACATAGATAAAATTCCAGTTGTGAGATACAAATCAAATTATACATGCTAAGCTTTAAAAAAGTGATTGGTTCATATTAAGTTTTCACATATAATTGTTTCTGTTGTCATTATTATTATTTCTAAATATTAATATTATAAGGACTTCCTCCATTTTATGAAGGTTGGCTTTCACTCTATTCAAATAATGAAATGTACACTCAAGTTTTGTTTTAATGTTTGCACTTCTTTAGAGAAACCTAACCAACCTGGTTATTGCTGACATGACAGCTAAGATTGCATAATCTTTCAAAATCCAAAAATTATTTTAAAGTTATGCACCTTATAACAACACTTAAGTCAACACTGGACCATATATACAATAATGGGCTTACAGGATTATAATAAAACTGAAAAATTCTTGTAGCCTAATGATGTCATAGCCTTTGTAATGCGATGATACTGGAGTATAAAAAACCTACTGTACTTCTAGTCATTTAAAAGTGTGTAATAATGTTCTAGGCCTTCTCCTTCCCTGACCATTTACTTACTGACTCACTGAGAGCAACTTAAGTCCTGCAAGCTTCATTCAGGGTTAAGTGACCTATACAGATGCACCATTTAAAAAATATATTTTATACTGTATTTTTATTTTATTTTTTCTGTGTTTAGAGAGATTGGGATACACAAATACTTACCACTGTGTTACAATTGCCCAGAGTATTTAGTTTTAATTCAGTATTAAAGCTGTACATACTTTACAGATTTGTAGCCAAAGAGCTTTACCACACAAAGTGTTTAGTAGGCTACAATATCTAGGTTGTTTTGCAAACTCTGTGATGTTCACACAACAACAAAATTGCCTAAGAACACATTTCTCAGAATGTATCCCCATTGTTAAGCAAAACATGGTAGGGTATCTATTGCATATTTTATGGACTTTAGAATATTTGGAAAGTTTGAGAGCCCACATCCTAAGATTCAATCCCTCTAGAAAAATCAAGCAACCATTCTAAGATATTACCTCTGCCCCAAAGCACTGCCACCAATGGAGCTGCAGGTCACAGATCTTTCAAGAAGACCAATGATGTTCTGTACCCTTGAAGTCTGTTATCATCATTTGTTTCTCTCTGGAAGCTCTTGCATACCTTTTATTCCTCTCTGTCTTATTTTTTCTTGGAATTTTTTAAATTGAAGAACTGGTTTGCTGTGTTATAGAGTTGCTGAGTCTGGACGTTTCAGACTACATCGCCATGTCTTCTCTTAAGATGGTATTTTATAATTACATTTACTATAAATTGGACTTTGATTTAGAGCACTCTTGTCCGATATGTTTACCAGTAGCTAAATGGGACTATTTTAATCTAATCTTGAATTATTTAACATTAAATAATATTAATTTTTCAATTCCTCAGTTGTATTAGCTGTCTTTAAGTACTCAATAGCCACATGTGGCTAATGGCTTTTATAGTGGAAAGTGCAGATATAAAGTATTTCTATAATCACAGAGAGTTCTATTGGACGGTTTTAATCTAGAAACTTGATCTGCTTCATGTTGATTTCCTTTATTTCACAAAATTACTGCCTAAGTAGTAATTCAAACTTCCATTAGACCAACAGGTACATAATATATGTATGTTTAGCTTTTGTGATATTATTAGCCATTGGTTATCATTGCCTAGGTCAATCAGGTCTTTAAGGGTTGATGAAAAATAGAGATATAGTAACATTTTTATTTTATTATTATATGGATTTATTTTATAATGAAAACCTTCTATTTATCTTTAAATATCAGTTACTCTGAGATCAGATAATCAGAGAGAAAAAGGTATAAATTCTGTATTATTTCCCTTGGTATGTTCAAAATAATATTTTTAGTTCTTGGCATTTATCAGTTTAACCAATGCAAAGCTATTTGTATTATTATGAAAACAAGAATGTAAACATATACGATGTATTTTAATGAAATGTAGCTACTATTTGTTTTAATTATTGCAATTTATTGTCTTTGGCTACTGGGAGCATCTTCAAATTGACTCCTGAGTCTTTTCACAGGATGATAATTTCCTCATATGATAGAATATTGTGGAAGTATCTTACCATCCAAATTGCTTATCCCACATTAAAATTTGAAATTATTTCTATAAACCTTATCTTCTTTTAATGGAAATTGTTTCAAAAGATAATATCCCTAATAACATTTTCTGCTGGCCTTATAAAAATCCCTGAGGATTATAAATATATATTTGATTTCAATATCAGGGGCTTAGGAACACAGAGAAAACCAAAACAGATACTGAATTATATTGATATCATAACAATAGTTACATCTGAAAAAACGGGAATTGCAAAAGTCATGGAGGATTATACTATAACTTTATCTATAGTGTTTAATTTTTTTACAGAGATAAAATATTTAAATAATTATGTAAATATATCTATAATTAAATATTTTGATACTTCTTATATTTAATAAAGCCATAATAAATTATTATATCAGGGGTTTGGGGATTATTTATAATCAAATTACAGCTTTATACATATAAACTTTTACAATTATATTGCATTATACAACTAATATAACATATGCCAGATTATACAATTTGGAAAATAAAAAATAGATGAATAAACAGAACTTGCTACAGAGAGACATGGTTAAGTTAAATGTGTCTAATGTCTGACAAGATTTGGCCTGGTTGTCAACTTCTCCACATTCTTACTATAAGAGCCAGAATCAACTTCACCATCATTCACATGACAACTGAAGCCATCTCATAATGTTATGATTATCTGACATAATTAATCTAAAACATACCACAGGGTCTTTCATCCAAAAAGTGCAAAACAATTTATTAGTATTGATATTGGTATCGGTCTATTTTTAGTACATACACTATGAAAATTGCCTCTGATTTAAATTGAAAACGACCAAGTGTAAAGGAATATGTACATGAAAAAATAAATATACTTTTGATAAAATGGTGGCATCTTTATAACTTTTTAATGTATGCAGATGTTTTATTTTAGTTTTAATTAAGAATACTTATGGCTGGGGAAAAGGCACAAAAATAGGAGGTATGATAATTTCCGATGACCACCTTAAAATACCTCACAATCTGGCATGTCAAGCAGGTCTTGCCTTCTGCAGTATTATATTATGTAAAAAAAAATATGTGAAGTTAATGGGGGGGGGTGTCTTCCTGTGTCGGGTGAAATCAATGTCAACATTATCCCTGGAACATGAAAGCACTGCTATGTAGTTGTAATTGTGCTGCTGGAATGAAGCAGACTCTTCTTTTTTTTTTTTTTCATTTGCATGTCATAGGAATGGACAGAACTCTAATATAGAAGAAAATATAATGAATAGGAATAGTTTTACAAGCTCAAAATATACAATTGGTATTTAAGTAATTTTTTTTTAAATCTTCTTTGGTAACTGATAAATTTAAGTGGAATGGAAACTAGAAAGGGATGCTGATATTCAGCACTCCACCTTTAAGTGGCTAAAGACAAGTCATAAAGAACAATTTATTAAAAATAGAACATATCTCAAATACCAGTTTCATGGTAGGCAATCACTAAGGTGATTGGTGTTAAAGTGAGTGGGTGAGAGAAAAGGAGTGAGGTTTAGTAATTGGTTAATGGCCTCAGTACTTAGGTATAGGGCCTGATTCATTAAGTCTTATGGAGAGAAAATGTTTTGATGGATATTGTAACAATCATCCAATCTCAAAGTATGAGACATTTAATCTCTTATATCATTTTTAGATCCTAAAATAATGCATTAAATTGTGCTCGGAGCGCTTCAATAAAGTGATGTAATGTGTAATTTGACACCAGAAGCATCTCACCAAAAGGTATTATGGTCCATTATCACCAAAGGGTATTATTCTCTTTAAATTCTGACATATTGTTTGAAAGTAGTGGTTTCTAACCTTTTAAGCTACAGTTTAAAACTCAGAAATAGGAAGTTTTTCAATTGAACTCCTGGACATAGAAAGTGGAAGAATGGTTGCCAGAGGTTGGGAAGGGTAGTGGGGGTGGGATGGGGATGGTTAATGGGTACTAAAAAAGTAGAAAGAATAAGAACAATCTTATAATAGCACAATAAAGTGACTATAATCAATAATAACTTAATTGTACCTTTTAAAATAATGAAAAGTATATAAGTGGATTGTTTGTAACACAAAAGATAAATGCTTGAGGGAATGGATACCTCATTCTCCATGCTGTGATTATCACACTTTGCATGCCTGTATTATAACATTTTATAAGGCTAGGAGTGGTGGCTCATGCCTGTAACCCCAGTACTTTGGGAGGCCAAGGCGGGTGGATCATGAGGTCAGGAGATCAAGCCCATCCTGGCTAGCACGGTGAAACTCCATCTCTACTAAAAATACAAAAAAATTAGCTGGCGTGGTGGCACGGGCCTGTAGTCTCAGCTACTCGGGAGGCTGAGGCAAAAGAATCACTTGAACCTGGGAGGTGGAAGTTGCAGTGAGCCAAGATCACGCCACTGCAGTCCAGCCTGGGCGACAGAGGGAGACTCCATCTCAAAAAAAAAAAAAAAATCATATACCCCATAAATGTATACACGTACTATGTATCTTCACAAATTAAAAATTAAAATTAAAAAAATAAATGTATATGAAGTTCTAAATAAATCCTGTTTCCTCAATGAGCTAATTTTTGAAATTAATTACAATTTAAGAAGGATCATTTTCTACACCGTTCTATCATGCTCAGTGCCAGAAATGGGGCCTGTCCTTCCACAATGCCACTGTCCATCTTGGGAAGAACAACTTCAGTGTCTGGAAGAGTTTACTTACTAGAGTATTGGACAAGGAGAAGGCAGGTGGATATAGGATAACAAACTTGAACATAGGTGATAATAAGAAGAGTTTGGGTGAAGTGGAATGGTGGCTTACTTTGTTGACGTTTCTGCTTCTATTTGATGTGTTGCCTCTGTGTCTGGAAACTGTGTTACAGTCATTCAGCTCTTTTATGGGCTGCATTGTGCTGCCCTGTGCTCCCACCCAGGTTTATCTGATGAAGTCCTAATCCCCAGTACCCTAATTGAATATAGGGTCTCTAACGAGGTAATTTAAGTTAAATAAGGTTATATGGTTTGGTTTTAATCCAGTATGACTAGTGTTCTTATAAGAATAGATTAGAGCACAAGCACACAAAGAGAGAACCCATGTGGAGGACACGGGAGCAAAAGGACTATCCAAAAGCCAAGGAGAGAGGTCTTAGAAGAGACTAACCCTGTTAAGACCTTGCTCATCAGAATTGTGAGAAAATACATATTTGTTGTCTACACCATCCAGTCTGTGGTACTTTGTTATGGCAGTTCTAGCAAACTAATACAAACTCTGATTCCTTTCTCTCATGGTGATCTCCCCAAATCAGGAGACTTTTTTCTTTTATCAAAATCAGGGTCTCAAATGTTTATTTTTTTTCTTAGCATCAATCCAGTCCTATCTACTGTTTTCAGGAAAGGGTCTTTCTCTCCCATTATCCTCCTGATCTTCCTTTCTTTATTTTTTATACACTCCTATTCTGCTTCTTTAAAACCTTCTGCTTTAATTCTCAGCATAATATAAAACAAAAAGCATGAATTTTAGCAAATCTAATTATCGTTTAGACAATGTGGACACCCTAATGTGACTAGAAAAAGAATGAAAAGTATTGAGGGAGACAAAAATAATATTTCGAGATCTTAAACTCATTACAAAATAGCTATTTAAAATTATTTCTGTAACAGACCTGGCACGGTGGCTCATGCCTGTAATCCCAGCACTTTGGGAGGCCTAGGGTGTCGGATCACTTGAGGCCAGGAGTACAAGACCAGCCTGGTCAACTTGATGAAACTCCTCTCTACTGAAAATACAAAAATCAGTTGGGACTGGTGGCACATGCCTGTAATCCCACTTTCTTGGGAGGCTGAGGTAGGAGAACTGCTTGAACCTGGGAGGAAGAGGCTGCAGTGAGCTGAGATTACGCCACTGCACTCCAGCCTGGATGACAGAGCAAGACTCCATCTCAAAAATAAAATGAAATAATAAAATAAAATTACTTCTGTAATTAATTTACTCTAAAACTACCTCTTGCTTTCACATGCCTTTACACAATTTTCATACAGACATTACATACAAACAGTGGTTTTGGTAGCTATTACTTGATAATAGGTTTTAGAAAATGACTGGAAGATGTTGAAGATAGGTACAAATTTATGAAGAAAAACTGAGTATAATACTTCACAAAACAGAGAGATGAGCGACAGGCTGATCCTATGAACAAGATATATATTGCATCTCATTATAGCACATTTGTAATATTAATAGTAATTATTTTCTCTTGTCTATAAGAGACAGTTGTGAATGATAGTGTTTCCTATATCCTTCACATTATGGCTTGTTGAGTCACATTCTATCTGACATTTCTTTTGCCCTAGAAACATATTTTGGTGGCATTGCACTTTCTCTGTATTTTCTTCAATAAAAAATCACATAAACCGAATGTTTCATCAATGTAAATGTTATGTTTTTACTGCATTAGACAATACCTAAATAGGGAAATGAGAACTGGGACTGTATGTAAAACAAGGATTCTAAAAATTATACACCTGAAACACTGTAATAAGTAGGAACTAAATGTTCACTCTCAGCATAGAATCTAATAATACTTACTTCAGTGTCGGTCATGATGCTAAGGACCCTTGGTTTTTCTTAGACTTCAGTAATTTCCATGACTCACTCACAACATAAAATCCTGAGAAAAATGCCTAACTGTTTCCATTTACAAACACTTTATTCCATACATTTCATTAGGATAAAGAAAAAACAAGAGCAATAACAAAGCAAATAGTAAATGGAATGTTTCCTAATATTTAAAATGTTAAATAATGAGAATTCTGTAACTCATTTATAGCCAATGGGAATGATTTTATCTTTCATAAAGATCTAATATACACTGCAACTACAGCTTGGGAAATTTGGCTCATTTAGCTCTATCTGAAATATAGTTATTTTTAACTTTTCTATTATATTGCCTTTATGGATTTCCCCCTAATTCTTGTTGATATAATTGTATTATTTCAAATGTATATAATACTAATAAAGCTCCAAAAGTAAAAGCAATAACACTTTGGGAGGCCGAGGCGGGCAGATCACGAGGTCAGGAGATCGAGACCATCCTGGCTAACATGGTGAAACCCCGTCTCTACTAAAAATACAAAAAAATTAGCCGGGCGCTGTTGTGGGCGCCTAGAGTCCCACTACTCGGCAGGCTGAGGCAGGAGAATGGCGTGAACCCGGGAGGCAGAGCTTGCAGTGAGCCGAGATCGTTCCACTGCACTCTAGCCTGAGAGACAGAGTGAAACTCTGTCTCAAAACAAAACAAAACAACAACAAAAAAAGCAATAACAAAAAGTGGATAGAAAGATCAATGAAACAAAGTAGGTGGGCCAGTAACAGATCTAGACAGATATATTCAGTATAAGTTTGACAAAGTAAATAGAATGACAAGGCATTCTAAAAAGAAAATGAAAGATTCCTCAACAAATAATATTGAACATACTGGAGAAATGTATGATAAAGCACTAAAATAAATGCTTATCACAAATTATACATAAAAATGCATTTGAAATAAAACATACTTACACATATATAAGCTAAACAGTAAAGTTTCCGGAAAGAGACACAGGATAATATATTTGTAGAACTGAGACAGCAAAAAATTCCTAAGACACAATAAAGCACTAATCATAAAAAAAAGATAAATGGACTTTTTCAAATTATTAATATAAGTTTATGTATGTTTGTGTGTATATTTACACTCAGTGATGCATCAGCATCTAGAGTATATAAAGGACTCCTACAAATAGATTTTAAAAAATAGAGAAGTACAATAAAAATGAGCAAGAGACTTGAACAGATATTTTTCAACAAAAGATTTAGGAATAGCCAATAATCATGTAGAAAGGTGCTGAGCATCGCTAGTCAGCGGGAAATGCAAATTAAAACCAAAGTGAGACACACCACACATTTACTGGAATAGCTAAAATTTAAGAAGACTGACAATGCTGTTTGTGAGGATGTGGAACAATGGGAACCATCACTTATTGCAGGTGGATAAATAAAATTGTCCGGCCGCTTTGATAAATAAACATCTCAGCAGTTTCTCATATACACTTAAACATGTAGCCAACTAGCGAAGAAGGAGATAAAGCAGCTGAGGGAATGCCTCCCGGATAAGAAGAAAAGGAAAGCGATCTTGTCTAAATTACTTTCAACATGATACCTGTAGCACATGGCTTTATTTATGTGAATTTTTGCTAGGTGTATGCTCCTTATCCATACTTTGTTATTTTTTTTTTTTTTTTTTTTGAGACGGAGTCTCGCTCTGTAGCCCAGGCTGGAGTGCAGTGGCGGATTTCGGCTCACTGAAGCTCCGCCTCCCGGATTCACGCCATTCTCCTGCTTCAGCCTCCCGAGTAGCTGGGACCACAGGCACCCGCCACCACACCCTGCTAATTTTTTGTAGTTTTAGTAGAGACAGGGTTTCACTGTGTTAGACTGTATGGTCTCGATCTCCCATATATTGTGCTTAATAGAGTATTCTTGTTGAAAGACGACATGTGAATATGCCCAGAATCTATGGAGATTTGAAGGCATGACATCCTGAAAACGTCATGTAAGCCAAGGTGTAAAATAGAGATGTTTCAAAAAGTAAAATCTCTCCTACTTGAGTGAGGTAAATCTGCAAATCTCACTTGGAGTCCTCATCTACTTTTTTGTCCCTGTTTTAAGCATTTTTTTTGGTTTTATAAAGATATAATTGACAAATAAAAGTTGTATGTATTTATAGTCCATAATATGATTTGGTATGTGTAAATTGTGGAATGATTAAATAAAGCTAATTCACATAGCCATCACCTCACCTACTTTTTTTTTTTTTATGGAGAGAACATTTTAGAACTTTGCTAACCCTGTCAGGAATTTTCAAGTACACAGTACAGTATCCATAACTAGAGTCACTATTACTTGTCTGTTTTCTGGGGTGGAGATTACATGTCCACTGTAGTAAGAAATGTCTCAGCTGCCATTGATGTATTAAGCCCTTTCCTACAAATTTGTCTGCATCTTTGAAATGATTAGCAAAGCTAGATAATAGACAACATTTCTGATTTACTGAAATTTGATTTGACTATCTAATCATTTGATACTTTATATTGGATCAGTAACTAAAAGTAGCAATTTCACTCCAAGTTTAAACAAAATGTTAAATATTAAACTAAATAAATAAAAACATGTTAACAATAACAGCAAAACCAAAACCAAAAATTGTACAACAATGTTTATAGCAGCTCTAATCAAGAGTATGAAACTGAAAACAATTATCAATAGGATTACAATAAAAAAGCTTTGTTATATTCATATAGTTGAATACTATTCAGAAAAAATGATAAACTAAAAATAAGTACAACAACATGGATGAATTTTAAAATATGTACATTAAGCAAGAGAGGCCAGAAACAAGAACATATATATAAAAGCATATGCATGTTTTGTGATTTCATTTACATACAGTTTTAGAAATGATTATATTAATAAAAATCAGATCAGTGGTTACTTGGAGAAGAGGGAAGGTTTTGGCACCATGGTGGTGTTCTACATCTTTCTTCAATGGAAGATTGTTCTGTGATTGCATACATTTATCAAAAAATATTGTCCTGTCACTCAATAGCTGTGCATTTTATTGTATATAAGGAATACCTCAATACAGTTAAGTAAATTTTAAGAAATACCAACATGTGTACTCAGAGAAGCATCATTCCCTTCTTTGCCATCTCACCCCTTGTAACAGGTGGCTTTAAAGAAAAATTTCTAGTTTTTCTTTCCTGTATTCTTATTCTAAAGCAACATCAGCAGCAACAACAACAACAAATAGATTATTGAGTACTCATGGTGAGGGTTGGTAGTAGTAATTTACAAGACAAGAAAAACTACATTGAGTATGCTTAAAGAAAAACTATCACTGTACAAAGTACAGCATTTTACTCTCTCCTGGCTAGATTCAAGACCTACATTTTCAAAATGCCTCATTTCCAATTGCCTTACTTTAAGCTTCTGTCAGTACACCTGAAGAAAAATAAACAAAATTAAGATACACCTTTACGAAAGGATTTTTTAAATCTAATTGTACATAATGTTGGCACAAAATTTCTATTGTAATATGTACCTAACAAAAGCTGTAGAGTTCCTTAACCCATGACTTCTTAAATATATCAAGTATTTATTGAAAATAGCAAAGCAAAATTTTGGAATAAAATGCATACATAAAAATCTATCCATGCTTACATATACTGTCTGAAAATAATCTTGAGTTGTGTTGTGGCTGTTAACTGGGGACGGTAAGGCCCTCTCCTTGGGTCGCTGAAGGAATGGCTTCTGATCTGGTTCTCGGTGCCTCCACCTGTCCTTGTGTAGTTTGTTCTGCGGATACTTCTGTTTACTTTACTGTGTCCTTCCTCCCATCTGCCATATTTTGTGCCATATGTGTTTCTTTATATACCTTATTTTAGTTTGTATTTTGCATTTACAATTGCTCATATTTTACTTTAAATGTGATTTTATTTACAAATTGCATGTACTGTACTATGAATTTTGTACAATATTTTCCCATTTAGCATCATGACAATAAGTTGTCTTTTATCTTCATATTTGATACTATAATTCTCTCTCTTTTCAGCTTGTGTTCTTTAGATCCTCATCACTGTTTAGTGCTTATTATGCATATAAAAGTAAATTATAAGCTTTTCAGGGAGGATGAATTAATCACCTTAAAAAGGATTTCTCTATATTGCAATGCCATTCCTCTTATATTTGAATGATCTATCATTCAAAGTCCTTGACTCTGCTATTTTCCAGTGAATTCATGACTAATATTATGTCAGGCATAAAAGTTTTTATTGTATTTTTAGTTATGCATTTACACTGCTGTGTCTCCATTTTGAATACGCATGGAGGACAACGATTATGCTTCATTAATCTCTCTCTTTCTCTCACTCTCTCTTTTTATCCAGAGTCCCTAAAGAATTGTTTATGCAGTAGAGGGCATCTGTCTTTTTGAAAATCACCCCTCCCCAGCGCATAGCCTATGCTATCCCTTGCCACTTGTTCCTAATTTAGGCCTGACCAGTCAGAACATTCCATGTCCATAGTCACAATGACTGGCTCAGTGTTGATTGCCTGATCCAACCCGGGCCAATAAGATTAGTTGTCCTCCATATCATCTTTTCTGAAAGGCATGAAAACCAATATTTCTGCTGTTTTATGAAGCTTTCAATTAATTAATTTCTTTTGTTTCATTTAATGTGATTGTTGTTCTGCAACTTGAAAATGATAGAGTCCCATGTAAGCCACATTTATGTATTAACAAGTCTTCTCCACTTTCTATTCTAATGTTCTAATACAAAAGACAGATATTTTATTCATTGTGAAGCAATATGAACATCT
The DNA here is from genome assembly GCF_000001405.40 of Homo sapiens. Taxonomy (NCBI): domain Eukaryota; kingdom Metazoa; phylum Chordata; class Mammalia; order Primates; family Hominidae; genus Homo; species Homo sapiens. The sequence goes on along the minus strand of NC_000001.11, from coordinate 190,986,688 downwards.
CTCTTACTACCCACAATTCCTTTGAAAAGTCTTTATGTATCATCCAACATGTTAACAGCAAGTTTCTACTGAAAAGTAAGATAAAATAATTTGGTAACTGACTTTGTTTCAAAAAGATTCAATGTTGATTTTATTCTTAATAATTAAAAAAATATATCTAAATGAAATCAGCCACATGTGGAAATCTACATACTAGAATCCAAATGTAAAGAGAATGAAAATATTGTGTTGATTCTCTATTATGTTTCAGCAGAAATTGTTTTAGAAAAATAGAGAAAGCATTAAATGCAAACTTGTATATGTATAAATGTCACCAATTAACATACCTCATGGTAAAACATCATTATTTACTGATGTGCAGGGGAAATACATTTAGGTTGTTTTTTCCTGCTTTTCTCCCTTTTCTTTAGTGGTAATTGTGCAGAGAACTTCTGTTGCATAGCATATAACTAACCATGAAGAGAATAACAGCTTTGTTTTATTAACCTGCTATTTATTTTAATAAGAAAATTTTAATAAGAGTGAGTGCATATTTTCTCTACATTGCCTATAGTTTTACTTTTAACCTGAGAAACTTATATCACTTAGAAATTTTTAAAGGTTTTGATTACTGAAAGAAATCAGTGAGATTGAGTGTACCTAATTTATGTTTGCAAACTTCATCATGTTTGAGCCTTCATTTCTGTTAAAATATATTTAAAAAATTTTAAAGTGAGTTATTTGGAGCCTTGATAGCCAGATATATTCTTCCTCCATGTTATAAAGAAATATAGCCCTCAAACATAATAAAATGTTGTTACGTATCTAGAGCTAAACTTTGGTAATACTCATGATGACTTTCTACACATATATATTCTAGTTTTTCCAATAGGCATAAATGCCTTAAAATTTGTGAAAGATTTGGTACTGTAATTGATTGAGTAAAAAGTGAAATATGTAATGTGTACTCTGTCAGAAAAATAGGTCAAGGCAGGGAAAAGTCAGAGATTTGTGATTTTTAGGGCTGTACATATAAGGCAAAGAGAGATTAATCCTTTCAGAGATGTAATTATTACTTTTGGAAGGTCTAAATCAAAGGTATTAGAGAAGTCAATAACAGATGACACATACCAAAGACTACAGCATTTTCAGGCTGATGAACCAAGAGACTTTCTGGCTTATTTTTCAATTTTATGGTTGTTATCTTGTAAAGAGTATAGTACCTGTTGTCACAAAGTAATTAACCTTAAAGTACAGGTGGTCTCATTCAAGAGAGAAAACACTGACCTTTGCCATCCGAAAGCCCTGTATGCTATTCCAAATACAGGAAGTGTTCATTCTTTTATGTGATTTTACTCCAAGAAAACAATCTTAAAAACTTTTCTACTAAAAGACCCATTCAGATTCTATTTGGGAAACAAAACAAAACAGGAAAAAAAAAAGTAGAGCTAATGAAACGTATTCTATATAAATGTGATTAGATGAAAAAATAATTGCCTTTGATAGAATAAACAATATTATTATTCTAAAATAATCTGTGGAAAAGAAATATTTGAATGCTGATGGTAGTTCTAGTAAAAATTTAGTAGAAATTAATCATGGAGTAGCTATGAGACAATTGGCAACCTTTTTTCCTCCTTTTTAGAGTTACAGAGATTGAGGCAATAAAATATCTATATATTATATAAGGCAAGATGTCTAAAATAGTGAAACAAATTTTATCTCCTGTAGAGCCAGACTCTAAAATTATTTGTGGAGTCAAATTCTGACTAACACTGTGGACTATCTTTCCCAGACAGAAATGTGTGCATGCCCAAATTTCCCAGAGAAGAAATCCACTTACTTATTTTCGTTTTACTGATTTTGGTCTAAGTAACTGTAGTTTCAATAGTCAAGAAAGATTGTGTTTCAGGCTCTATTTTTTAATAAAGTTAAACCAGTAAGTAATTCATACTATCTGCTACCATCTCTCAGTTTAATTATTCCAATTGCACTTTCTAATCAGATTGCACTTTGCATATCTATTATTTCTCATGCCACTGTAGAGGTTTGAAATGTAAGTCATTTTATTTTTCTTCACATTTTGCTTATCCAAAATCATTCAACTATATTTTATAAACAAGCCAATTAAAAGTTATTTCTTTTATAGACTGGTTGCTAGATTCTTTAATTATCAAGAAAACATTACAACTACTGATTTAATTGATTAAGTCAATAAAATATGGAATAAACTGTTTTCGCTGAAACTTCCTCTGCCTACTCTAGGTTATTTTAATTTCTTGATCAAATCTGCATTTAAGCCTGGCCTGAGTACCCTCAGAGCTGGAAACCCTAAGGCAGCCATCTCTACCTTCATCTTATCCATCTACGAGAATTGTATTCATCTTAAATTTTTAAGATTCCAAGACCAGTAACTGGTGAGCAGCAAGACTGGTGCTTGTTAATACGAATGGACATGTAGTCCACTGGTAGAAAATGGGCACATTAACAAGTTAGGTAAAACTACACCAGGAATTAAATATAAAGACACATATCTTGTCATCTTTATCCACATTTTTTTTTCTGCTTTATCTCTGAAATTGTTCCCAGGTGGGTTTTCTAGCCAGCCATTAGTGATTTGTCAAAGGCTACCAATTGCAAATTATTTTCCATTCAGATTCTGGTTTAATGTTTTTAATGCATAAATTGGGTAAAGGAAGGGGAGAAATGTTGGGGCAGGAGAGGGCAGATTTCAAGTGCAGGCCAAGTTCAACAGTGAATATGATGGAAATGTGAGATTGCATGGTGGCAATGACCACACAGGAGTAAGGCAACACTATGTTGTTCATTTCATAAAAAGCGAACCTATCTGAAAATTTACTGTTATTGGCATTTTACTTTTTTCTTGGATTTCCTAATTCATTCCCTTGGGAAATAATCATTGACATCCACCTCTGCCTCTTTTCCAAGTTCTTATCTCATTTACGTTACATTAGAGAAATTATCACTTTCCCACGATTTAATATGTGCTTAAATTTTTTAAATGTTACTCATTTTCATATAATCATTTATTGAACAGTATCTGCATAGAAGACCACAAAATCAGTTCATTCTCGATTTCTGTAATTCAGTAGCATTTTTAGGCTAATTTCTTCTGGACATAAGAAGTTGATAGTTGGCTGATTTTTGAGATTTGCTTCAACTCCTTGCTGAATTTTGTACTCAGTTTAAAATCAGTACAAAATTTATGTGCTCATAAGTTCAAATGTAAACTTCAAATGTACTCAGTTTCGGATCAACTCAGTTTATAAAACAGTTTACTTTCAAATTATTTAGTCTTAAGAACTTATGTTAGAGGGATCATACTTTCCAATTTCAAAATTTATTACAAAGCTACAGGAGTAAGGACAGTGTGATCCTGGCATAAGTATAGGCATGTTGATGCCATATATATATATACACACATATATGTATACATAATATATACGTGTATATATATACGTATATGTATAGTTCTATTATTCTTCTATTAGAACAATATTGTTCTATTAACATATAATAAGGAAACAGTATATATACACGTATATATGTATATATATGTGTATATACGTATATACGTATGTGTATATACGTATATACACATATATGTGCATATACGTATATGCATATATGTGCATATACGTATATGCATATATGTGCATATACGTATATGCACATATGTGTATATACGTATATGCATATATGTGTATATATACACATGTATACGTATATACATATATGTGTATATATACACATGTATACGTATATACATATATGTGTATTATATACATATATACACATACATACATATGTGTATATATATATATACTGTTTCCTTACTATATAAGTTAATAGAACAATATTGAGAATCTAGAAATAAACCCTCTCTTTTACAGTAAATTAATTTTCAATGATGCCAATACTACTCAATGAACAATATGTTTTTCAATAAATGGTGATAGGGTAACTGTGACAAAGAATAAAGCTGGGCTCCTGATGCATAATATATGCAAAAATTAATAGAAAATAGATTAAAGATCTTAATATAAGTGATAAAACTGTAAAACTACCAGAAAAAAACATAAATCTGTGTGACCTTTGGTTTGGCAATGGTTTCTTAGGTATTACATCAAATGCATCAGAACAAAAGGAAAAATAGAGATATATTGTACTTAAATTTAAAATGTTTGTGCTTCAAGGGGCACCATTTAAAAAGTAAAGCATTAGCTGGGCGTGGTGGTGCACAGCTGTAATCCCAAATACTTGGGAGGCTGAACCCAGGAGGCAGAGGTTGTAGGAAGCTGAGATAGTGCCTTTGCACTCCAGCCTGGGCAATAGAGTGAGACTCCGTCTCAAAAATAAGTAAATAAATATAATAAAAATAAATAAATAAATAAAAATTATAAACTAAAACATGATTTACAGAGTGGAAGAAAATATTTTTAAACCGTATTATCTGATCAGAACTTATATCCAGAATATAAAATGAACACTACAACCCAATTTATTATCTTTATTTATGTTTGTTTTTATACCTTTGAGCTAACAAAAGTCAATGGTTTTGAAGTGTACTTGCATATAAACATTAAATGGTAGATTTAGTCAAAATAACTTGCTGCTACTCATCACTGTTTTATATGTAGCCTGAGTCACATATGGGGACGTTGTGATGGTTAATATTAAGTGTCAACTTGATTGGACTGAAGGGTGCAGAGTATTGTTTCTGGGCATATCTGGGAGTTTCATTGTGTTGCCAGAAGAGATTAACATTTCAGTCAGTGGCCTGGGAGAGGAAGACACATTCTCAGGAAGACCCACCCACACCATGGGTGCACATCATCTAAGCTGCTGCTAGTGTGACTCAAAAAAAGCAGACAGAAGAAGGTAGAATGAGCAGATCTGCTGAGTCTTACTGCCTTCATTTTTCTCCTGTGCTGGATGCATCCTGCTGTTGAACATCAAACTCCAAGTTCTTCAGCTTTTGGACTCTTGGGCTTACACCAGTGGTTTGCCAGGGGCTCTCGGGCCTTTGGCCACAGACTGCACTGTTGGCTTCCCTACTTTTGACATTTGGGGACTCGGACTGGCTTCTTTGCTCCTCAGCTTGTGGATGGCCTATAGTGGGACTTTATCTTGTGATCATGTGAGTCAATTCTCCTAATAAACTCCACTTCATATATAAATACATCCTATTAGTTATGCCTCTCTAGAGAACCCTGACTAATACAGACATAACCTAGATACACTCTAGATTATTATGGATTAGAGACTTAGATAACTCTTAAATTACTATTGATTATAATATAGACATATGTTACAGATAGACTCAATCACTCTATTTAAGACATAACCATATGCTATCATTAATAGTAGATGAAAGAAACAAAATTAATTTGATTTAGGACTCTTTAGATTGTAATTGGTTATAATTCTTAAGTAGATTACTACATTGATACAATATGTTTTGGAAAGGAAAGTTTAATGATTAGCAAATAAAGAAAACTTCAGACAAGACATAACTCCATTAACAATTATTTAACAAAACTGATAAAGAAGTTATAAACATTAATACATCTATTTATTAGTAATAATTGCATAGGTTGGTTTGAGTGCGCTAATATTTACAACTATTTGATTAAAACCTTGTAAATTTCTTTGTTCCTTCTTGACTCCCACTGCTTCACTTGGTTAACCTTAAAAAATTAATAATGATAGGATAAAGGCTTAAAGTGAATTCGTATGAAATTAATATACACAATGTATTTTGGTTTTAACAAGATATTTAATAGAATCCCAAAACATTGTTGACAAACAGATAAATTTATGATAAATAGCCATTATTTTTTAAGAGAGATGTGTTGGTAGCCTCTATTTTAGGTACAAATATTGTTATTATTTTAGTCAAATTTTATTAAAGGTTATAAAGTGTTTTTAGAAAGCCATATAAATTTCATTCTATTTAAGATTACTAAATATAATAAATTATAAAGAGTAGGTATGAAAATTAAACTTGGTAATGAGAGATGAAGCCAGCTGGACTTCCTGGGTCCAGTGGGGACTTGGAGAACTTTTCTGTCTAGCTAGAGGATTGTAAATGCACCAATCAGCACTCTGTAAAAACACACCAATCAGCGCTCCGTGTCTAGCTAAAGGATTGTAAATGCACCAATCAGCACTCTGTAAAAATGCACCAATCAGTGCGCTATGTTTAGCTAAAGGTTTGTAAACGCACCAATCAGCACTCTGTAAAATGGACCAATCAATACTCTAAAATGCACCAAGCATCATGATGCAGCAGGGCCAAATAAGGGAATAAAAGCTGGCAACCCTAGCCAGCAGCGGCAACCTGCTCGGGTGCCCTTCCATGCTGCGTAAGCTTTATTCTTTCTCTCTTCCCAGTAAATCTTGCTGTTTCTCGCTCTTTGGGTCCGCACTGCCTTTATAAGCTGTAACACTCACTGTGAGGGTCTTCAGCTTCATTCCTGAAGTCAGCGAGACCACGAACCCACCAGGAGGAACAAACAGCTCTGGATGCGCCACTTTTAAGAGCTGTAACACTCACCGCGAAGGTCTGCAGCTTCACTCCTGAAGTCAGCAAGACCATGAACCCACTGGAAGGAAGAAACGCTGGACACATCTGAACATCTGAAGGAACAAACTCCAGACACACCATCTTTAAGAACTGTAACACTCACCGCGAGCATTCGCGGCTTCATTCTTGAAGTCAGCGAGACCAAGAACCCACCGGAAGGAATAAATTCCAGACACAGTAATATTCACTGTGATGTTCAAGTTGAAACAAACAGGATATTCTTTAATGACTATTGGAATATATAAATGTGCATGTCTTCCACATCCGAACTTTCTTCTCTAAGTAGCAGACCTCACTTCTATAGAGTCCATACTTATATTCATGTTTATACTATTTGTGCCCATCCTTCTTGTCATAATAGCTATTTTGATAAAAGTAAAAGAAGTATTCAGTTTTCTATTTTTAACAAATAAATTCCTAAGAAGTTAATGAAGGCATGAAAAATAGCCTAGTAAATTTGTTTATTTAACTAAATGTTCAATATAGACCAATACCTTATCACTGCATTTGAATCTAGTATTTTCCTAGATTAACCAGAAAAGAAAATATCCAAATCAAGATTGTGGAATGGCCCCATCGTAGTCATATCTTACTGAGAACATTTTTTTCTATGTTTTAAGATGGTGTCTTAAGAGTAAAATAAATATAATAGAGCCTAAATTATATTAAATATCTTTAAAAAATCATTGCATGGAGAATAAATGGAATGTGTGGAAGTCTAAACTTATTCTCCAGCTCTACTGGGTAATTGAGCCTAGGGATCTTCATCCGTTATTTTCATTTAGTTGATACAATTCTGGACTTCAGATCAATATTGTAATTGGATAAGACAAATTCGGGGAAAGAGTTGGTTTATTTTGCACAAAGAAGGGTGAGAAATGCTGAAGATTGAAGACAATCATTAATTTCATGTGAAAATGACCACCCAAAATTCCTCATATGCTTGTCTGTATACTTCTTCTGTCTAGAAGTGAAGTCTATTATTTTTGCCTTTAAATCTAGACTGGATTGTGATGTGCTTGTACTGCTGAATGTAGAAAATGTGACATTGTGCTAGTTTGTTCTTAAGCACTTAATAGGCCTTCCCAAAAAGTAGAATAGAATATGAAGAGCAACACGTCTTTAAAGAGGAGAAAAAAGAGCAGAGCTCCAGTGAAGGCCAAATCAAAAGAATGGCTGAAAGAACATCTGATAAATAAAGACAAAGAGATAGGACCAGAAATCAAAAAAGCAAATTTTAAAACAAAACAAAATGTGCAATGGTATGGGGGAAGAAAGAATTAATGTAAAAATCGATTTATAAAATGGCTATTAAATGTGGCAGTTAATTTATTCATTCAATATATAGGTATTGACCACTCTATATAGAACTCACTGTTCTAGATTTGGAGTAAAAAGGGACTAAAACAGACTTGTTGATTTCAAATCATTTGGTAAGTAATAAGAAAGGATATTTATCACCTCAACAAAAAACCTGTTACCTGAGTGACAAGAGAGAAGGTGACACATCAGTAGGTGAAAAAATGAAATTACTTAGGAAGATTGTAAATGCAGATCTTTCATTCATGATGATGGATGGTTGACTACCAGGAGATTGCACTAAAAAATAGTTAGAAGGTGATTGAAATTTTAAATAAAATTTATTTTCTATTATTTTGTTTGAAGAAATTTGAACATGAGAATACAATACGGGGGATGAGGGAGAAGAAGGTTAAAGATAAATGTGAAAGATGGTTAATTGATGGAGTAAGATCCCAAAGATTGTGTTACATGCTATTTGGAGGGATGAAGCATCACTGCTTGAAACGTCAAATAATATAAAATTTATTAAATGTGATTTGATTAATTGAGTCATTATTTCTGGCTAGAGTAATAAGGACAAATTTACAGAGTAGGTAATATATGTTGCTTTAAAATTGGTTAAGATTTGAATAAATTAACAAAAAATGACAACTTGGCTATTCAAATCAAAATAAAAATGTTAATCTATTGAATAAATGCTGGTGCCTCAGTTGGTTAACTATCTCAAAGAAAACCAAGTTAGGCTCTTATATTATTCATCACACACACACACACAACAGATTGACTAAAGCTTTATACTCACAATGTAAAAATAAATCTATAAAGGAGAATAAATGTACAAATGAGGGGAGTGAAGAACTTGCAGAGAAAAATATAACAAAAATTAATACAGAGAAAATGTATTAAAACTGGGTGGTAAAAATAATAGTAAACAATGAATGTGTGTGCGTTTTGTGTGTTTGTAGGTGTTCACTCACGCAAACACACACATATTTAATAAGGGAGATTGGGAAATCGTATTTGTAAGGCATATGACCAAAAATTCGGTAATAATAAGTAATATTCTTTAGAGTATATGGTGTTTTTGTGAGTATATAGAAAACTGTGAAGGAGTCAGACCAGATTATTTATTATAATCAATTTAAAAAGAAAATGTGAGATTATTAACTTTTGTAAAATATATATTTACATTAGTTTCCTAATTTGAGTGACTGTAATTTACTCTTGTAAGCTTGAATATTGATAGAAGTTTTAAAATAAGACAAAATACATAGCAGTTCCATTGAATGGAACTGTATGAGGAAACATATGGTATTAGAAAGATGAGAATGAACGTTGAGGAAACAGTGACTGTCAGTTTCCCTGGAGAAAAAGGCCAATTTAGACAGAGAGTGAATGGTAAGACTAGAAGCCCAGACCAAATGAAAGATAGCATTCAATTTCATGCAAATGAATTTTTTTTTCTTTGTAGGCTTTTGGTAACCCATAGAAGTATTTGATCAGAGATATGAAATAATCAATGCAATTGTTTAAGAAGATCATCTGACAGTGGTGTACAGATATATTGGAGTAAAATAACACACACCAGTGAGATGAGGTGGGAAGCAAGAACAATTGTCCCCATGAGAGGTGACAAAAACCATTATTTTTTTCTGTAATATTTAGTGTATTGTATCAACTGAAATTATTTACCTTGCTAAATTGTGAATGGCTTTTTAATTTCTTCCCAAATTTACTTTTAGTAACAGAACAATGAATGGCACATTGATCCGTGTTTTATTCAAGTCTAACTCAACTAGATCCTGAATTTTCATACTATATTTGGCAGGGATGACTGTCATCACAATTTTGTGAAATAATGTTTAAAAATGAAAATCCAAAACCTAGCTACAATTGTCTTTGAAGTTTGTCAGTACTGTTCTATGATAATTCTGTGAAGGAAGATAAACTCGGCTTATGAAAAAATAAGAAAGGAACTGAGCTATTTAATCTTCTTATACTGATCATTGCAAGCTGTGATAATTCTTTACATTGTGTGCACCTAGTACTTTCACATGACTAGGTTTAGACATACTTGAGTATTTCAGTAAAAATGAAGTTTATATTGTAATAGGTGTCTGTTTTGTGACCAAGATTGTACTTTTATTTTACCTTTCAATACATATTGTGTATCTTCCATATTTAGACTATCAGTTGGTTATTTTAGCACAATGTACACTTGGAATGTTCATGTATCTATTTTTCATACCTTGTGTCTACGTTATATTCACAGACAAATGCATTAACAGTGGAAGCTGCTGAAAAGATTTTCCATTCATGGATTTTAATGAGAAAGGATGAAAAATCAAAGTAGTTTTAAGGATTAAGCAAAGGATTGGGTATGTATTGTATTAGAAAATCTTACTGATTTGCATATAAAATATAGGATTAACTTGGTATAAATATATATATAATAAATACATAAAATAAAGAATAACAGAAAATGTTTCCACTCTTACAAATGCAAAAATAGAGAGAGAACATCTGGTAGAGAGAGTAATTATATTAGTATTGATCACATTATAATATTTATAATAAAGAAAAGTGTACATTCTAACAATTTATTTTTTTCTAAAAACCTGCATTTGTTAGTGGCAGGAATTATGCAACAAGAAAATTAGTATATTTTAGATAGTGAGTTTTATTGCTATACTTCTGGGCTGTGAAGGAGGCTTTTGTGATTTACCACGGACCTTACGGAAGAACAGGAAGCTTCAATTTGAGATTTGAGCCTCTTCACTTCTCCTTTTTTTTTTTTCTTTTTTTTTTTTTGAGACAGAGTTTCACTCTGTTGCCCATGCTGCAGTGCAATGGCACGATCTCAGCTCACAGCAACTTTCACATCCCGGGTCCAAGCTATTCTTCTGCCTTAATCTCCCAAGTAGCTGGGATTACAGGTGCGTGCCACCACACCCAGATAATTTTTTTGTATTTTCATTAGAGATGGGGTTTCACAATGTTGGTCAGGCTGGTCTTGAACTCCTGACCTCAAGCGATCCTCCTGCCTTGGCCTCCCAAAGTCCCAGGATTCGTGCCCAGATGTCTACTCACTTTAAATAACACTATATATATACTCATACAGAAATTCTTACATGTCAGATCAATAAAATACTTGAATATCATGGTGCTTTTTCTGCACTCTTTGGACAAATGACTTGGAAAAGTTAATATTTCTCATTATGGGAATAAATATAGGCTGTACATTTAATAGCCTTTAAGATGAATGGAAAGGTTTTGCCCTTATACATCATTTTTATATAGAAACCTAAAATTGATTTACAATGTTATTTTCATTGTCCTAAATATACTAAATTGAATACTTACCATGCATGTATACCTAAAATGTTAGACATGAGAATTAATGGACTTAAGATGAGATTGGTGCAAGAATAAATTGATATTTAATCATGCATATGTAATGAAAAACACAATTATATTCCAGTCAGTTATTTTCACTAATACTCTCATAATCTCAACTCCAGGTTCCATTTGTGAAGTTCAAGGGGTTAGCTTCAAAGCACTTGTTACCGTATAAAACCCTGTCCCCCAAGGAAGGGGTGGAATGTATATCCAATAATACATTATTTAAGTACTCTGCTAGTTACTTTAAATGCAAATTCTCATTCATTTTTCATAACAATAGTGAAAAACAGAGGATTTACTTTATATTTTATATATGAGGAACCAAGATTTAAAGAATTAATTCCCCAAGGATGGATAATTAGAAAGCATTAAAATCTTATTTTAAATCTGGGCATTCTCATATTAAAATATAGTCTCTGAATTCCACCTGAAAGCAATGGAACTTAAACATTTTTAGCTATATAACCTTATGTGAAAAACACAAAAGCTATTAATGGTCATAGAAAAGAAGGTAAAGTGATTCTGTAAAATGCATGTGTAATCATATTTGATCTTCCTAATTATAGCAGATAAATACAATTTATTAGTGTTTAATGTGTTCTAAACAAATTTATTAAAATATAAACTATTTTCATATTTTGAATGGTAACTTGTATTATAGAAACCTTTTGAATATAGTAGCAAGCATTACCTTTAAATTCATAGCTGAGCTCACAATAAAGAGGTTGAAATTTATAGGTACAATAAGGAGCAAGGAAATTGAAGAAGAACAATTGAGTTTAACACGTACAGAGACAAGTGTCTAGACTTTGGCCTTCATGAGGTCAGAGCTGTTGCTGAGATACTCACAATAGTCTGAAATCCTTGATAGGATATACAGTTATGAAACAAGCAACTATAAAATAAATCTAATCCATGAAAAGGAAAGAACACATAAAATTTTGATTGCCCTGCCTAGACAATAAATGTGGGGGGAAAAATAAATGAAAGAAAAAGAATAAAGAATCAATGCAATTTATAACTATGATTACTTTGAAGGCATATCGAAATTGGAATTGGAATTCAAATTTAAAATGAAACTAACATTTTAGGAAAAGGACTGGTCCTAAGTTATACTATCAGCTGACAAAAGGAAGCACACTAACTCCAAGAAGGTAGAAATGTGGTGTGGGCCAGTCTATTGATGGAGCCATCCATAAGAAGGTCCACTTGAAGATGAACTTACAATTAAAACTTATAAAAATGGGATGAAAATTCACTCAAGCAAAAGTCAGCTGAAGATTATAAATACATTAATATAAATGTAGTAATAATATAAAATTTATCATATATATAAGAAAATATCTGAAGATTATAAGAAATTACTATACATATGAGAAAAGAAAAAATAACTTTTTATATTATATAATAACAAATTAAATTATCAATGAGTAGTAAAGAGGCATTTCTAGATGAAGAATACTTTATAATCATAAAATATTCAATTGACTACCATGAAATAATAATTATAAATTTGTATGTACAACTTCAAAAGCATAAATCAAAATTGAAAAATACATAGAAATCTATAGTCTTGGTGGGAAGTTTTGAACTCCACTCTCAGTAATAAAAGAAAATTCACAGGATTTTCAAAAACTCATAATTTACAACAGTGTATAAAAACTTGATTTGGTCTCTAGCTCCCAAAAATCATTTGGTATTATAAAATAAAAACTGGATTATTTTTAGAGGCACCCACAATATTTATGAAAATTGACAATATGTGACCTATAAAGCAAATCTAACAAATTTTCAAATATTTAGATCATTCCAGTAAAACTCATTACCATTCATGGTGTGGACAAATTTTATCTCTTTTGAAAAGGAGGAGGTGGAAGAAGGGGCAGCAAGAAAAATAAATAAAATAGTTTTAGATTTTTGGACATTAGAGACTGCACAGCACAATACTGTGATTATCTCTGAGGAAAGGAAAAACTAAGTAAATGATAAGACACCAAAAACTATTTGGCTTTTCCCAAAAGAAAAAAAAAATGGGTTATAGAACAAAATACAGAAACATACAACACATAGAAATCCCAGGGACATGGATGAAGCTGGAAACCACCATTCTCAGCAAACTATCACACGAACAGAAAACTGAACACGGCATGTTTTCACTCATAAGTGGGAGTTGAAGAATGATAACACATGGACATAGGGAGGGAAATATCACACACTGGGGCCTGTCCAGGGTGGGAAGCTAGGGGAGGGAAAACATTAGGAGAAATACCTAATGTAGGTGATGGGTGCAGCAAACCTCCATGGCACGTGTATACCTATGTAACAAACCTGCACGTTCTGCACATGTACCCCAGAATTTAAAGTATAATAATAATAATAAAAAATTCTACAGTAAAAAACAAGAAACCCCAGGCACTCTATGACAATGTCATTTGGAGAAGGTAATACATATTACCTTTCAGGTAAGCTGGTATGGCTGGAAGTAGAAGGGCAGAGTTTGAGATGCCCTTCTGTTTGTGGAAAACAGAAATTTTCCACAAGTACCATTATGTCTTTGCTGAATACCAAAACTTACATGTATACCATGAAATTTTGTGTGGTGGAGCAAACAATGGCCAGGGAGATGTGAGCTGAACAGTTTTCAGTGTTCCAAAGGAAGAGAATATATATGAGTTCTGACTAGTCAAATTTGAAAATCCTCATTAATCATTCAGGGCATTCAACAGAGTCATCATAACCACAGCTTGGCTGTGATGCTAAATCAGCCCAAGCAATTAAGCTGCTTTTCACTGTTGTGATAAAGTTCAAAACAAGCTTCTTTAAAAGAGTAAAATTCATTTTAGTTACCTGCCTTCTTTTTTTTTATTATACTTTAAGTTTTAGGGTACATGTGCACAATGTGCAGGTTTGTTACATTTGTATACATGTGCCATATTGGTGTGCTGCACCCAGTAACTCGTCATTTAACATGAAGTATATCTCCTAATGCTATCCCTCCCACCTCCCCCCACCCCATAACAGGCCCCAGTGTGTGATGTTCCCCTTCCTCTGTCCATGTGTTCTCATTGTTCAATTCCCACCTATGAGTGAGAACATGTGGTGTTTTGTTTTTTGTCCTTGCGATAGTTTGCTGAGAATGATGGTTTCCAGCTTCATCCATGTCCCTACAAAGGACATGAACTCATCATTTTTTATGGCTGCATAGTATTCCATGGTGTATATGTGCCACATTTTCTTAATCCAGTCTATCATTGATGGACATTTGGGTTGGTTCCAAGTCTTTGCTATTGCGAATAGTGCCACAATAAACATATGTGTGCATGTGTCTTTATAGCAGCAGGATTTATAATCCTTTGGGTATATACCCAGTAATGGAATGGCTGGGTCAAATGGTATTTCTAGTTCTAGATCCTTGAGGAATCGCCACACTGACTTCCCCAATGGTCAAACTAGTTTACATTCCCACCAACAGTGTAAAAGTGTTCCTATTTCTCCACATCCTCTCCAGCACCTGTTGTTTCCTGAATTTTTAATGATCACCATTCTAACTGGTGTGAGATGGTATCTCATTGTGGTTTTGATTTGCATTTCTCTGATGGCCAGTAATGATGAGCATTTTTTCATGTGTCTTTTGGCTGCATAAATGTCTTCTTTTGAGAAGTGTCTGTTCATATCCTTTGCCCACTTTTTGATGGGGCTGTTTGTTTTTTTCTTGTAAATTTGTTTGTGTTCATTGTAGATTCTGGATATTAGCCCTTTGTCAGATGAGTAGATTGCAAAAATTTTACCTGCCTTCTTAAACAATGCCAAACCTCTTTAAAGGAAATAAAACAAAAACCAGACAAAATGCATTCAATCATTTACCTCTGGATAGATGTTAATTTTGTCTTCACTTTTTTACACTATACAGACACTCCTCAAATTATGGGGTGGGGGGGGTGCATGTCCCAGTAAAATCATCATTAATTTGAAGTATAGTGAGTCAAAAATGTATTTAAATACCTGGCGAATCCCATTTTAAAGTGGAAAAATTATAAGTCAAAGGACTGTAAGGAACTGTCTATATACATTATGTCAATAATTACCTTTATACAAATGCATTCAAGTACTTAATTTTGTTTTGTCAGATAGATGTTAGAATATTAATATTTCTAACACCTAATAAAATTAATAGATATGTCAAAACTGGAAACTGTAACCCAATGCATATGTTGTATTAGAAAGACGCTTGTACTCATGTGTTTCTCACAGAACTGTTCACAATAGGAAAGTCAGGGAATCAACCTACGTGTCCATCAACAGATCACTGGATTAAAGAAATGTGATACATATATATCATGGAATATTACGCAGTCATAATAAAGAATAATTATGTACACTATGGAATACTACACAGCCACAATGAAGAATTACATCCTGTCTTCTGCAGCAACATGGACAGAGCTGGTGGCTGTTATGCTAAGTGAAATAACTTAGAAAATCAAATATTCTTCCTTATATCAGATGTTCTTCCTTATAAGTAAATGGGACCTAAACAATGGACATACATAGACATAAAGTTACAAATATTAGATACCAGGGATTTCAAAAGTAGGGAGGGTGGAATAGTTGAAAATTCATCTATTGGGTACAATGTTCACTATTTGGGTGATAGGTACACCAGAAGATGAAACTTTAACATTATGTGATGTATTCATGCTACAAGCCTGCACATGTACTCCCTGAATCTATAATTCTTAAAAAATTGGGAAAACATGCCCCCATCCCCCTTGCATGTTTTAATGCCCTGATTAAATACAAGTGTGTATACATATGAATACACACACACACATACAAATACATATATAAAAATCATAAAAAATAATTATTTGCCTCTTATTAAAACAACAAATGTGCATTGAGAAAACCTTGAAAAGGATAGAGATCAATAAATATAAATAAATGCAGAAACATCTCTTGTTCAGGAAGAGTACACTCACTGTTAAAGGACAATTATTTCTAATGTTATTTCTAATGTTATTTCTAATGATCTATAGATTGAGCAGAATCCCAGTCAAATTCCCAGTAATCAACAAACTACTTATAAACTTAGATTAGATGACATAAGACTGAAGAATTCAATAAGAAGTTACACGTGATCTGAATACTTTCTTTCACAGTTAAGTATAATATCCACTATATATCACCTATAGGTTCTATTGTAGATGCCTTTTATCAGTTTGAAAAAATTCACTTCTATTCCTAGAGTTCCAGAAGTTTTCATAAGTTTACTGGATTTTGTCTAACAATTTTTTTGAATCTATTGAAATGATGATGTCTTTTTGTCTTTTGATCTGTTATGTGGTGAGTTACATTGGCTCATTTTTAATATAACTGAATTTAATGAAAAGAAAACAGAAACAATATCAAATAACTCATGTTTTCACTTATAAGTGGGAGCAAAACAATGTATACACATAGACATACAGAAGGGAATAAGAGATATTGGAGACTGCAAAAATGGGGTAGGATGGAAGGGAGATGAGTGCTGAAAAACTACCTATCAGGTGCAATGTTCACTATTTGGGTGCTGGGTACTCTGCAAGTCCAGACTTTACCACGACACAATAAATCCATGTAACAAAATTATACTTTTACCCCCTAAATCAATAAAAGTATATTTAAACAAAGAAATCAAACAAACAATATAGTAGATGTAATGGAAATAGCAGTAAAATACATTAAAGCAGTTATTACAATCATGTTAAAGTACATAAAGCAAAACAAGAGAATGGTAAGGAGAAGACTGCAACATATAAAAATTGATGTAAATTAGAGATAATACAATCTTTGAAATAGAATGTCTCTGGTTGTAATTAACAACAGATTAAACACAATTTTTTTCAATGAAAAGTAAATAGTGTAGTTGAAAATTAGCAATAAAAACTGCCTAGAATTAAAAATAGAGCAAATAAACAAACAAAACATCCCCAGTGTTTTAATGACCAATGTCTAAGTTTCATGTAAATGTAGTTTCAGGAGGGAAGAAATAGAAAAATAGGAAATGATAGTTGAAAACCTTCCAACATGAATGAAACCCATAAACAAAGAAATCCAAGAGGTTCAATGTATTTCAAGTAGAATAAGCACAAAAAAATTGCATACGAAGACACTTTATAAATTCCACCAAATCAGTGATAATTTGGATGTTAAGAAAAACATCTTAAAACAGCCACAAAAAGAGTTACTGATGTAAAGAGGATCAAAGATTACTAATATGACATCAGATTTCTTATTAGAACCTGTGAAAGCTAGAATACAAAGGAATGATATACTTAAAACACTGAGAGAAAAAATAAACTGCTAACCTACACAAAGTGAAGCAGATCCATTTTCAGAAAAACAAAACCTGGGGAAATTTGTCATCAGGCTGTATGCATTACAAGAAATGTTAAAACAAGTTTTTTAGTTAGAATAATATCGAATGGAAACTTACATCTATAGAATGGAATAAAAAGGACCAGAAATAGTAAACGTGTGGGTAACTAAAAATGCTTTTTTCTCACATTTTTAATTTAAACATAACTGAGACTTTACAGTAAAAATATTAATACTTTATTTCATGTTTTATCAAAGAAGTACAAGTAAATTATTTGAGAATAATAAACAACAGATGAATTCAATATATACTTTGACAAGGTTTCTATGTTACATGCAGTGTGATATAATAGTACTTCAAGATGGACAGTAATAAGTTAAAGTTCTATGTTGTGAATCCAAGGGCAACCACTAGAAATAATATTATTAAGCAAAGATGGCATTAAAAATATTCAATCTAATTGAAGGTGACAACACTAAGTCAATAAACTCATTTATAAAACTCAAAATACATCAGAAAAAATGAAAAAGAAATGAAAAAGTACAAATAGAAAACAAACGGCAACATAAAGAATTTAAACCCAATCATATTGTTATATTAAATGTAAAATGTCTGACTACTTCAATTAAAAAGAGAGATTGACACATTATGCAAGAGAAAGAAGTGACATCCAACTGTGTACTATCTACAAGAAACTGACTTTAATATAAAGACATACATAGGTTATAAGTCAATAAATAGGAGAACATATACCATGCAAGCATCAGTCAGCAGAAAGCTAGGGTAATTAATATAAAGTAGAATTCTGAACAAGAAATATTACCATGGGGAAAGAAAAGCATTTCCTAATGAGAGTGACAAACTGATTGCGATAATTTAATAATCGTAAATGTGTGTGCATCTAATAAATGAAATTGAAACTCCGTAAAGAAAAAGTGACCTAACAATTAGTCAGAAAATGAGTAAAAGTATTGAAAAGTTGGACAACACTATCAACCACCTTGTCCTGACTAATAGTTATAGAAAAATCTACCAGTCATATTTTTTTCAATGTGCATAAAACATTTACCATGGTAGACCAATTTTTGTGTCTTTAAAAAGGTATTGATAGCTTTCAAATATCAAAATCATACAAAATGTGTTTACCAATCACAGCAGAATTAAACCAGAACTGATAATAGAAAAATTTTGGGCCAGATATTAGAAATTAAATGACACACTACTGCATAACTCATATGTCAAAAAAGAAATAACATCAGAAATTATAAAATATAACTTTATGTTTTATTAAAAAGTGTTTTGTAGCAAACACACAAATATGATATATCAAAATTATGATTTCTAAACAGTGCTTATACAGAAATTTATAGATAAAATGCTTATAATTATAAATGAATTAAGGTCCACAATCAATGAATGAAGTTTTCTCTTTATTAAGTTAGAAAAAAATCCAAAATAAGTAAAATTCAGGATGTAATAAATATTAGAAATAAATAGAATATAAATTGGACCAATAATAGAGAAAATCAATGAAACAAAAAAATTAAATTGAAGCAATTAGTAAATACAATTAACCCCTAGGTAAACTATTTAGTGAAAATATATATAACAAAAAAACTTCTAATATCAGGTAAGAAAGAGGAGAAACACTCCTGATCCTAAATACATAAAAAGAATGACATAAACAATTTTAGCCAATACATTTGCCACTTTTAATGAAACAGACAAAATTCCTGTACAAAATGTAATTCAAAAAATAAAATCTGAATAATCATGAAGTGCAAAGTTTAACTTACAATAAAAAACTTTCTCACAAAGAAACTTTCAGTTACACTAGTTTCCCTGACAATTTTTATCAAATGTTTCTCAAAGTTACACATACACTTTCAGAAAATAGAGGAAGAGGGTACACTTTTCAACTTGTTAAAGAGCCAAGTATATTCTGAATCCCAAAACCTGGCAGAGACATTACAAAAAAGGAAAGATCAATATTTCTTACTTCACGGAGCTATATCCTAATTGGCAGGTTGAAAAATATATCTAATCTTAGTACTATTTTACCCTGTTCTCTCTGAATAATAAACCTTACCAAATTAATCTATACTACAGTGAGATAAAACTAAATTACATTTGAAAATCATTTTATTAGATTCCTATGTTAGGCAGAATAATGGCTAACATTCTAATTCCTGAAACCTATATATACACAATCTAATTCCTGAAACTTATATATACACATTCTAATTCATAAAACTTACATATACACAAAATGTACAAGATGTACGTAAATTATATATCTGTGTCTGTGTCTGTGTTTGTGTGTGTGTGTGTGTGTGTGTGTATAAACAT
The DNA here is from genome assembly GCF_000001405.40 of Homo sapiens. Lineage (NCBI taxonomy): Eukaryota > Metazoa > Chordata > Mammalia > Primates > Hominidae > Homo > Homo sapiens. The sequence goes on along the minus strand of NC_000001.11, from coordinate 190,966,688 downwards.
ACATGGCAAAATGTGATAAAAGTAAGGATCTTGCAATGGAGAGATTAGATTGGATTATTGGGGGTGAGTGGGTGGGGGGGCAATGTGATCAAAAGGGTAATTACAAATGACAGATGGAAAAAGCAAGGTCAGAGTCACAGAAGGAGATATGATGACAGAAGCAGAGGTCAGACTGAACAAAGGAATGTGGATAGCCTCTGGAAGCTGGAAAGGGCAAGGAAATGAATTCTACCCTAGATCCTCTGGAATAAATGTAACCCTGCCAATAATTTGGTTAAAGCCCATTGAGACATATTTTGGACTTCTGACCTTTTTTATTGTAAGATAACAAATTTGTGAGGTTTTAAAGCACTAAATTTGTTATAGCAACAATGTAACGGCAGCAATGGGTAATTAATAGAGTTACAATCAGAATCAGGCATTCCATGGTTTATAAGATATTATTTTAAGGTTCCCAAGGAAAACATAAATATTTTTCATTTAAAAAAATCACAGAAAACTGTACCTGGGTATTGCCCCTCACTAAGCAACAATAAACACTTAAACTAACACCCAACATCTGACTTCATTGTGTTGGTAACCACTGTATTTGTTCTAAACTTTTAACCGAAAAGCTTAAATATAGAATCTTAAAAATATAAAAATTTATTTAATTTGTCTAATATGCATTAAAGATAGCCTTATAGCAAAATAAGAATAAAAATGAAATAATTTATGATTTTTTAAGGAAAAAATGAATTTCTATACCATTTCAGTTATAATGCATACTATCCTAAGATTTGGTCACTAAAATATGTTTTATTATATTTTGTTAAAAAAATCCAGTGAAGGGGCTGCAACCAAATAATATATGATAATGCTAAGCCTCCAGCAATGATTGTTGTGTTGTAATTCTATTGTTATCACCTATGGAATTAGGTCTTGTGTGCACTTTTTCCCCTATGACAGTCGAAAGAATAGTTGGATCTTAAGTATACAAAGATGCCAGGTGGGTGACATTAACTTTCCCTCAAATCTAATATAATGCACTAGGTTTTAAAGATCTAGATATACAGAAGAAGAAGAAAATAATGATAAATAGGTAGGTAGATAGGTAAATAGATAGATGACAGAAGATAGATAGATGGTAGATAGATAGACAGATAGACAGTTGATACAAAGAAAGATAGAATAAACAGTAAGTGAGAATGCATATTTTATTCATAAAACACTTATAGCTTCCTGAATTACTCATTTTTGTATATGGAATAGTTTCACAAAAGAGCTATTCTCAGCCTTTCATTACAATAACGCTTTGAACTGGCTTTTCAAATACATTTACAACTCAAGTGAATATTGTCTGGTACAGCTCTATTAATTCAACAGATATTAACAGATACTATCTATTTGTAAAGCATACTGGTAGGTTTTGAGAATATAATGATGATTATACCTCTCATCAGTGATCTTGAATTTCAACTTTTGTGTGTGGTACTTACCTTGGAAATTCCATACCTAGAAAATAGTGGTCAAGTGTAGAGCAGTATCCAATAGATATCCTGCCTAAGTTTTAAAATGAAATTCATATATAGTGATAGAGAGTTACAGAACACCTAAGAGGAATCCACATTACTGAATGTCATTTGTTAAGGACACAGAAAACAACAAAGCTTCATCAAATATGTGACTTTCTAGGAAAACACAAAATTCTTATAGCTCTATGGGAATTGTCTGTGAATCAAATAACCAATGGAATCTCTTATTTTAAAACCTTTCCATTGAGTATACTTATTTGTTTATCTCCTCAGTGTATTTTCTTTGGACTCCCTGTTGCAAAAATATCATACCAATGATTTGCCTTCGGAGTAAAATATTGAACTGGAAACATTCTCACAATCCACTCTTGTTCTAAATTGCTGTTGACATTTATGTACTTGGCATACATAATTGCCCTAATCTCTTTCTAGACCTCCTAAATGTCCTTCTGGACTAAACTGAATTTAAAAGACAGCAACTTCAAATACTGCTGTGATTCTTAACGGGTTTGCATTGACACCATTATTGCCTGATATAATATTTTTGATAGCCTATTTATTTCATTAAATATATTTGACAGTTTTATTTTTGTAACACCATAGAACTATGATTTAAAAAAGTTTATCTCTAATTGGAAATAAAAATTAATACTTGATAAAAGTGTTATTTAAAATTTCTTTCTTCTACTAGTGCCATAGTAGCATTTATATTCCAATTATGATGACCTTTTATTAGATTGATAGTGAAAGAATTCTAAATTAAATCTCTATTTTCTATTTTTGTGTATATTTAATAATTTTTAACTAGTATATAGTTTTGCTGGTTTTAGGAGCTTTTTTTGTTTCCAAATGCTTTTGATGGCACCAATTTTTAAAAATGTATGTATTGTGGTTGTCATTTCCAATATTTTACTTAAGATACAAATCATAGATTTCTAAATGTTAGAAGGAAAGAAGATGTAGTTTTATCTATAAGCTAAAATTTAGTTAATAAAAAGAGGGGTTTAAATCAAAATACATTAATCTTACCATAACTAGAAATATTTATTTATAGTAGAGAAGAAATGATGACTGTTATTTGTCTGGTGTGTGAGCAGAAGAAGAAATTAAAGATAACATTTTGCAGAAGAAAGGGAGTGGGAAGCTTTTCCTCTTTATTTGGTACAAATTTCAGTGTGGTTCCCCTACTTATCAGATCTACTTATTAGAATGCCACTCATTTTTAAAACAATTAGCGGTTATTTTAATTGATAGGATAACAGTATTTTCAAATCCTTTATAGATGATTATACTTTTCTCGTCTTGACCATTTTTATCTTTTTTCTTTATATTTTTATTTCAAGAATTCAGGGGGTACTTGTGCAGGTTTATGACACTGATATATTGCATAGTGGTGGGGTTTGAGCTTCTAGTGTATCATTCACTCAAATAGTGAATATTGTACCCAACAGGCAATTTTTCAACCCTCATCCCCTTCTCACCTTCTGCCCTTTTGGAGTCCCCAGTGTCTGTTATTGCCCTTTGTAAATGTCCATATGTATCCATTGTTTAGCTACTACTTACGAAGGAGAACATGTGGTATTTGCTTTTCTGTTTCTGAGTTATTTCGCTTAGGATAATGGCTTCCAGCTTCATCCATTTTGCTGCCAAAGACATGCTTTCATACTTTTTTATGGCCAAATGGAATTCCATGGTGTATACATACCACATTTCCTTTATCCAGTCATCTGTTGATGAATACTTAGGTTGATTTCATTAGTTTGCTATTATGAATAGTGCTGTGGTAAATATACAAGTGCAGGTGTCTTTTTTACTTAATGACTTATTTTCCTTTGGGTAGATGCCCAGTAGTGGGTTTGGTGGGTCAGGTGGTCTTTCTATTATTAACTGTTTGAGAAATCTGTTTTCCAGTGAAGTAGTACTAATTTACATTCCTTTTTCCTCCCATCCTAGGCAACATATGTTAGTTTCCAACTTGATTGGTGTGAGATGATATTTCATTATTATTTTAATTTGCATTCCTCTGATTAGTAGTGATGCTGAGCATATTTTCATGTTTGTTTGCTACTTGTATATCTTCTTTTGAGAAGTACCTATTCATGTCCTTTGCCCACTTTTTAAAAGGGTTATTTGTCATTTTCTTTTTGAGTTGTTTGAGTTCCTTGTAGATTCTAAATATTAGTCATCTGTTATAATAGATGCATAGTTTGCAAATATGTTCTTTCATGTGGTAAGTTGTCAATTTACTCAGCTGATGTATTTCGCTGTGCATAAGCTTGTTAGTTTAATGAAGCCCCACTTATCCATTGTTGCTTTATTGAATTTGCTTTTAGGGTTTTAGTCATTAATTCTTTGTTTCAGCCAATGTCCTAAAGAGGTTGTCCTAGGTTTCTTCTAGGATTTTTTGTAGTTTCAAGTCTTAAGTGTAAGGCTTTAATCCATCTTGAGTTAATATTTTTATATGGTGAGAGATAAGGGTCCAGATTTTTTCTTCTGAATACGTCTGTCCAATTTTCCCAGCAGCATTTGTTGAATCGGAAGTACTTTCTCCATTGTATATTTTTGTTGACTTTGTTGAAGACTGGTTGGTGGATGTATATGACTTGATTTCTGGGTTCTCTATTCTCTCCATTCTGTTCCATTCATCTATATGTCTATTGTTATGCTTGTGCCATGCTGGTTTGGTTACTATAGCCTTGTAGTATAATTAAAGTCAGGTGATGTGATGCCTCCAGCTTTATTCTTTTTGCATAGGATTGCTTTGGCTATTCAGGCTCTTTTTCTCGGTTTCATTTTATTTTTAAGATTGCTTTTTATAATTCAGTAAAAATGATGTTGGTAACTTCATAAGAATTGCATTTAATCTGTAGATTTCTTTGGGCAGTATGGTCATTTAAATAATATCAATTATTCCAATCCATGAGCATGAGAGATTTATCTATTTGTTTGTGCCATCTATGATTTCTTTCAGCAGCATTTTGTAGTTCTCCTCATAGAGATCTTTTACCTCTTTGGTTTTTGTGTGTGGCTATTGTGAATGGAATTGAGTTCTTGATTCTCAGCTTGAACATTATTGTTATATAAAAATGCTACTGATATTTGTTGATCTTGTATCACTAAGGTCATTTATTAAGTACAGAAGTCATTTGGATGAGTTTTTAGGGTTTTCTAGGTATAAAATCACAACCTCAGTGAACAGAGATAATTGATTTCCTCTTTTCCTATTTGAATGCATTTTATTTCTTTCTCTTGCCTCATTGCTCCAGTACAATGCTTAATAGGAATGGTGACAGTGGACATCTCTGTCTTGTTCCACTTCTTAGGGGAAATGCTTTCAACTTTTCCCCATTCAGTACAAGGTTAGCTGTGGGTTTGTGGTGTATGGCTCTTATTATTTTGAAGCGTGTTCTTTTGATGAATAGATGGTTGAGGGTTTTTATCATGAATGGATATTGAATTTTATCAAATGCTTTTTAGTTATCTAATGAGATAATCTTATGGTTTTTGTTTATAACTCTGTTTATGTGGTGAATGACATTTATTGATTTGTGTTCATTGAACCATCCATGCAGCCCTGGAATAAAACCCACTTGTTCATGATGTAGTTATTATTTTTTTGATGTGCTGCTGGATTTGGTTTGCTGGTATTTTGCTGAGGATTTTTAATCTATGTTCATCAGTGATCTCTGCCTAAAGTTTTCTTTTTTGGTTGGTGCTTGACTGATTTTCATACCAGGGTGATCTTCCTTTTTTTAGAATGAGTTAGAGAGTCATCCCTTCTCATTTTTGTTGTTGTTGTTGTTTAATTTCTGTAAGGCTGGTATAAGCTCTTGTTTGTATCTCTGGTTAAATGTAGCTATGAATCCATCTCATCCTGGGCTTCTTTCTTTGGGAGATTTTTGATTACTGTTTACATTTCATTACTCATTATTGGTCTGTTAAGGGTTTTTGCTTCTTCCTGGCTCAATCTTGAGAGGCTGTATTTTCCATAAATGCCACCTATTTTTGTATGGTTCACATGTCTGATGACTTTCTATTTGTTTTCCATTTGCACATTTTGATAATTAGAAAAAACTCAAAAGAATAATAATATTTTGTGACACATAAAAATTACGTAAAAGTAATGTCAGTATTCATTAATTAAGTTCTATTGTAACACAGTCATGCTCATTTACTTAAGTATCATCTATAGCTAACATTTGTGTGACAATGTCAGCGTTCAGTATCTGTCATAGAAAAGATGTGGTCTGCTAATTTTGAAATGTTTATTACTTCTACTTTTATGTAAAAAGTTTGTTAATTCCTAGATTGCTGTATAAAGAGGACTTTGCTATGTGGACATTCTATTTGCTTTGCAAAAACAGAATCAAATTGGATCAAGCTAAAGTTGGAGTACATTTTAAGGATACAGGGATGATTCATGAAATGGAAGGAAAAGAATAGGGTTGTACTCAGAAACATACCAGGATATCAGTTTAAATGGCCGTATAAAAACTCTAGTTTGTAACTTCCGGTTCATCAACTCCATTTCATTTACTCTACTTGGAAAAGAGTCTCCTGTTTCTTCAGGCAACAAAGTTTTATATATATATATATAAAACTCATACCTCACATACGTATACACTTTCTATATTCAAGCTTCTAAACTTATGTATTACTGGTCAAGCTACCCAAGCATATATTGTTTCTTGGCCTCAATTCACAATTCCTGGGAAAATTACTCACTGGATAAAATGTAGTCAGGGTTCCTCCTATAGGTCAAGTAACAATATCTAAGGAAGGTAATCATATTGTAAAAACATAGTTGGCCATAAATTTCTCCATGTCCACATCATCATGCATGTGGAAGGTGGAATTCCTAAGATTATCATTATGTGGTAGATCAGCCATTATATTAATCTAACAGTAAAAGTAATATTGGACACGATCATTACACATATTCCCACACATAAAGTTAAAAGGTATAATGAAGATATCAAATTATTTTGGGTGGACTTCAACTCTTTCTCTTTTGACATCAGAAAGGGAGAAGGAAACCCTTTCTCTGTTTATTTCCCAAAGGGAAGTCAAATAGACAAAATTATGAATATGCAAAATACACTTGATCAAAACAGAAGCACACAGAGTTAAACAATAAAACTACATGTAACTACATACACAAAAAAATCCATGGCAGCAATAGTAATAGTTTGTAGTGTTTATTTGTCTCTCACATTGTACAAATATTTCTAAATATTTGTTTTGTATTATATATTTCATCTAACTCTTACAATAGACAATGGGGTAGGTAATATGAGGACCGCCATTGATACATAAGAATTATCTGGCTTAGATAAGTCAAGTAACTTGACTCAGGCTGCACAACTGTAAATGTGTCATGTCTGAAAACTAATACTGCCTTCTTCTCTACTAATCTATTTTGCAGGATGAAAGAATTAACAGAATTTTAATTCATCAAATATATATATATATATATACACACACACACACACACACATATATACACATATATATATACACATATATATACACATATATATATACACATATATATACACATATATATATACACATATATATATACACATGTGAATTTAATAATTTTATCTTGGGATACTAGTTTCTAAAGTGTTTACATAAAAAAGGTAATAGTAATAATATATACTTGTTTCAACTAGACAATTTTATCAAAACTGATTAGAGGGCCAGGCACGGTGGCTCACACCTGTAATCCCAGCACTTTGCGAGACTGAGGAGGGTGGATCACTTGAGGTCAGGAGTTTGAGACCAGTCTGGCTAACATGGCAAAACCTCATCCCTACTAAAAATACAAAAAAATTAGCTGGACATGGTGTCAGGCGCCTGTAATCCCAGCTACTCAGGAGGCTGAGGCAGGAAAATCGCTTGAACCTGGGAGGTGGAGGTTGCAGTGAGTCAAGGTTGCACCACTGCACTACAGCCTAGGCGACAGAGCAGGACTCTGTCTCAAAAAAAAAAAACAAAAAACTGTTAGAGAACAAATGAAATTCTGCATGCAAAAATTATTACTGTATCTGTGAAGGAAAAACTAATACTTCTAGTGTGACTTTTTGTTTCCTCAGTCAAATTTAATTCAAAATGAATGAGAAACGTTGCAAATTTCTGAATAATATTAAAGTAATTTAATATAATTATTGATAATTAATATTAATATTGATAATAATAGAATGTTCCTAGACTGCTTCTTGTTTTGCAGCTTAGCAAACTAAACAATATATATATTTTAAAGTATAGTTTTTCTAATATTTTAAATTAGTCGTATATTTGGTAAATCACATACCTTTAGCCTTGTTTTTTTTATGATTCTGAACACATTTTTCACCATTTGAATAAAACTTAGCTCTTCCTCAAATTTACATTTGCCTGAATGATTTCTTTCAATTAGAGAATTGCATACGGTTCTCTCAGTTTCATTTCTGGGTTTAACACCACACTTGACAAACTTCACCTTGGCAATAGTTTAGAATTTGGTTTATTTTGACAGAAGGATATATGATCTTGGTGAAGAAATCCGCTGCCTTTCAGAGTAGTATAACTAACTATTAAAAAGATGTATATCAAAAGATGTTAATGCCTTAATCAAAATGGTGCTTACTCTTGATAAATTGTATGCGTAACTTTAAATACACATACAAATATATTTATTGAAGTTTTATGCAGTGTCATTCAATATTGTTATTTTAAATATCTGATGAGTTTCTCATGCAGCAAGAAAAAAAAGAAATATTCCCATAGGATGCCTAATATATTGAAATTCAGAAAGATAAATTTATTTTCATAAAACATTACATGAATGAAAACTTTATAACACCCCATGCTATTCATAGAAGTGTATACTAGACCACGATGTGCCTATGGGTATTATCATTTAAAAAACTTTCCTTACTTCTCCTACTATATTATACAAAAGCCGTTCCCAGAAAATACAAATTTGATGAATAAATTTAGCACTTTATATATTGTTTTAATATCTGTTTTCTAGAGCCAGATGTTCTTCTAATTTATTTTAGGCCTAATGAGCAAAGGCTAGAGGTATAGCACATGATATAGAGCAATGGCTTCAAAAATTTTTGTCTACAACTCATAGTAAGAAAATGTATTTTACATTATGACCCAAAGTACACACCATTAGATATGTATACAATAGATATGCATACATATCTAAACAAAGAAAAAAACTGAGATGGATTAGATGTGATACATTCTCATTTGAATTGTATTCTATTTCATACCATCATTTTCTGTTCTATTTTATTTCACTTTATAATGTTGTTTGAGGCCCAATAAGTAGATTTTGCAAAACACAGTTTGTAAAACACTACTCTAAAACCATTTATCTAGAGGCCTAGATACTGCAACCTCACTCCCTCTAGTGTGAGTATTTAATACTGGTTTCAGTTTATCTTCTATTATGAGTTGTTAAAATTTCAAGAAGAGAAAGAAGTACATAAACTTACTATTTGTAGAGAAGACTGTCATCCATACAATGGTCCAGAATATTGGAAGTGTGTTATTTGAAAGGTAATTTATTAAATCATTAGAGACTTTAGAGACTTGAGCCAACCAACCTAAAATGTTGAGAACTCTATGCTCCTCCAAGAAAAAGATGAGTGACATTATTCAGTAGTAGAATTATTGGCATAGCTCATCTCTAAAGCAGATACAACTCAGAGAAAATCAGTTACTCCCATTCAACTATGAAGAATACAAATTTTAATAAGAAGTGAAATTTCACAGTCAAAAATGAGGGGGAGTGTAGTAAGAAGGATATTCCTAATTTATTAGACCTGTCACTTACATTTCCACTCACACGATGACGTCCTTTTAAGTCTCAGTGAAGTATGAAGATGAAAGACTTTTGAAGTCATATCAAAGAAAAATAAGTTCTTTGACATAGAATACAGGTGCCTGAATTTAATGTCTTTTCAGCTTTCACTTTCAATACTCATTCATAATTTACCAATATAAACTAGTACAATTAATGATAATTGTAGTAGCACTTTTCAGGAAAACAATTTTAATTACTAAACCATCCCTGATTCGGTTACTGAATGCAAAAGTGATCTATTTAACAAATGAAATAGATAATTTTAATGTTAAAAGTTTAAAATCATTCAATAAAATGTACATATTAAGTTGAAAGTATTTTGATATCTATACATAGTTGAGATATATAAAATTTCAATCTCTAGACACATTAAATTTCTTTAAAATTATATGTTATTTAGAAAATATCATATATATAAAATTATTATGCCTTATTTTTTAATCATTCTTTGAATTTTATTTGTTGCAAAGAAAAGCATGTTTCCCAAAGTTCATACCCTTCTAAATGACTGTATACAATGGTAGAGGGAGATTATTTTCATATCCACTTTTTTCCCTCCATATATTTGCTTCAATAATTATCTATAATAAATAGATAATGCTGTATAATTATGATATATTTATTTTAATATTACTGAGAAAATAATTTTACCTTAGGATGCTTGACTATTGCTTGTTTCAAGGATTTTTCCCCAAAAAAACTGCTTTTGTCGAATATCTTTACCGAATATTATTTCCTGTTTAATCTGTTAATTTCTGACAGACAAATGTTGATGTTGCTCTATAGTAGTGGTTACATCTCTTTTTTCAATTCTAACGTTTTTTTCTCATATATTTTCATGTTATGTTGTTAGATGCATGTATTTTTTTTCCATTGTTATGTCTTGTTTGATAATTGCACTGTTCATCATTATCTTAGGTCAGTGCAAAAGTAATTGCAGTTTTTGCTATTACTTTTAATGTAACATCCCCCCTTTTTTATGAAATTAATATTGTTATTTTAGCATTTTTAAAATTAATGTTATCATGGTATATCTTTCACCATTCCTTTATTTTAATTTATCTGAATGTTTATATTTAAATCTGACTTATTTTGGACAACATATAGTTGGATCTCTTTTATTAATCCACAATTATGATCTATCTTTTAGCTGATATATTTAGACTCTACACATTCAGAGTAATTGTTGATATAGCTAGATAAATGATGACCATGTTTGTGACTGTTTACTGTTGTTTGCTTTTGTTCCTTGTTTCTTATTTTCTCTCTCATTTTTTGACTTCTATGATTTTAATTGAGGATTTTATATCATTTTATTTTAACTCCTCTTAGCTTACCAATCATACTTAAAAATGATCATGGTTGCCCTAGCATTTACGATATCCATTTTTTAAGTAACTAATTCCTTGTTCAAATAACACTGTACCACTTCACACAGAGTATAGGTATCTTATAACAGAATATCCCCAAATTCCTACTTTCTGTCCCTTGTGAAATTCCTATCATTCACTTCATGTATTCGTATACTGGAATCATTCAATGTATCACTTCCATTATTGTTTTTAATAAACAATTATCATTATATAAATAAAGAACCACAAAATTACTTTTTAAATCTATTCTGTCTTTGATGCTATGCAATCCTATATGTAGATTCATTTATGGCCACTCTTATTTGTCTTCAGCTAAAAAAACTGTTAAAATTTATTGTGTGGCAGGTCTGCTAGTGATAAAGTTTCCTATTTTTGAGTGTCTGAGTAATTCTTTATTTCTGCTTCACTTAGGAAGAATAATTTTATTGGCTATATAATTCTAGGGGCTTTATTCAAAATATTAAATATTTTCTATGTATTTTTCTAATTTTTGACAAGAAATGCCTTGTAGTTCTTATATTTGTTCTCTTCTAGTAAAGTGTCCTCCCATCCCTGGCTTGTTACAAGATTTTTTTCTTTGCCTTTGGTTTTCTGCAACTTGAATATGGTATGTAGTTATAGGTTAAATTGGTCCCCCCCCTTCCAAGTTTATATGTTTAACCTATAAACCCCAGTACCTCTGAATGTGACTTTATTTGGAGAAAAAAAATTTACAGAGCTAATTAAGTTCGAATGAGGTGATTCAGGTGGGTTGTAATCCAATATAATTGGAGCTCTAATGAGAAGGGGGAATTTTAAAAGACATCAATAAAAAAGGATAATGTGAAGACACAAGGAGAAGCAAGCTGTCTGTAAGCCCAAAAGAAAGGCCTGGAACAGATCCTTCCATCATGGTCATCAGAAGGAACCAATCTTGCCTTTATTTCCAGAACTCTGAGAAAACAAATTTATGTTGTTTAAGCCCCACAGTCTGTGGTAGTTTGTTATGCCAGCCCTCCAAACTAATACATACACCAAGTTTTGACGTTTCACGTTCATTTTGCTGTTTATCCTGCTTGTTTTAGAGACAGCTTTCTGTATCCATCATTAAATTTGGAAAGCTTTTAGCCATTATGAATCAAACATTAATTCTGATTTATTTTCTGTTCTCTTTCTGACATTCCAGTTACACCTTTTGGAACTGCTCAATAGTTCTTGGAGGTTCCATTCTTTCCCTCTCCCCGCTATGATTTTTAATTTTGGGAATTTTCTATTTAATTAATTTTGGGAATTTTCTATTTGAACCTCACTGATTCTCTCTTCAGCCATATTAAGCCTACTGCTGAACCCATCAAAGGTATTTCTTCATTTCATTTCTGTTGCAGTGTTTTGGTTGCTAGTACTTCTTTTTGATATTTTTCTTAGAATATTCACCTGTCTATTTACCTTCCCCATCTGTTTTTTTATGTTGTTTACTTTGCCATTAGTTATTTTAAATTTCTTATTTAATTCCAAATTATGTCTTTTACAGTAGTCTGATTCTGATGTTTGGTCTATTCCTACACTGTTGGTTTTCTTGCCTGTTGGCATTCTTATAACATCTTGTTGTAAATGACACATATGTGTAATAGGAACTGAAATTAATTGGTCTTTTATGTGACAACAATGCTAATACGGCTATCAGTGGTCTCTGTCTAATGTTTCCGATAGCTATAGTTGTCACAGACTTAAAATTCTTTCAGTACTTTTATTTTTGTCTTACCTGTTGACTTTGGGCACCCCTGAATACTCCTCCTTGGAACAACTATTGCAGGTGCTTCCACCATAATCCACTGTTATTGTAATGGAGCCCTGTTTGTGTAATGATAAGGTATGGAGAAATGAGTACATTCTGTAAACTTCCAATTAAAGCATCATTTTTTTCATAGACTTATTTTTGGAATTATGATCTTCAATGGTATTTTGAGAATTTTTGGAGCAGTGAGATTCTTCTTTATGGTACTACAATGGTAGTTAAAGATCACTACACATTTGTCAAAACCCACAGAGTGTACAACTCTAAAAGTGAACCTTAATGTAAACAATGGACTTTGGGTACTACTGATATTAATACATCTTTGTCAGTTATAACACATATACCACTGCAATGCAAGATGTTAATAATGGAAGAGTTGTGTATGTGTAGGGGCAGGAAGTATATGGCAACTCTGCTTCATTTTGCCATGAACTTTAAAATGCTCTAAAAATAAAGACTTTTAAATATTTTTAAACCTTTACTTTAGTAATATAGTTGTTGATTTTTCCTCCTAACCCCTGCATTTTCCCAACATATTTATTTGGCCACATTCCCAATATATTTATCTGAAGCTCTTACCCTTGTTGATTGTTTTCTCCCTTTTAGATAATATAGGAAGGCTGGAGGGTTTTAATAGGAGGGCTTTTCATCTCCCTAACTGGGAGAAAGCACTGCAAATTCTTTTCCCCAGAATAGTAGGCCTTTGCTATAAAGAAGTATCTGTTGTATTTTGCAATGATTTCTCCTCCCCTTCTCCTGCCAGAGCTGTAAGAGAGGTCTTCAGATTTGAACCATAGGGACCAGGTGATGTTCCCGGAAACAAAGTCTAAAAAGTGTTGCCCTTCCCTAAGACTATGACTTTCAGGAGTTTTTTTGTTTTGTTTTCTTTGTTTTAATTCTCATGCCAGTATGCACTCAAGCTCCATAAATGTGTCAAAATTTCAATTTTACTCTTTCTACCAGTTTGTAGCTTGAGGTACTTTGTCCCAGGTAAGATTATCTTGGTTGTGACTCTCAGGAATCTAGTGTGCCCTGTAGCCTCAGTTCTCTAAGTGGTCCAAGAAAAGTCATTGATTTTAGTTTGTCCAATTTTCTCTTGTTGTAAGAGTGGGAGTGATGAATTCTAAGCCCTTCATATGTTGCAGCTAAAATTATAAATCTCCACTTCTGTAGAATATATAAATATGATCATCTCAGAAAAAATTATTTTTTAAATTACTAGATTTTTTTTTATCTCCTTCAACCCTCCACTCTCAAACTCACCCTGAGCTAGGCACATGGTAAATATTTGAAAACTGTATGAAATTTGGTTGAGTCAATGAGTAAATAGTTAAATAACAAATTTCAAAATAAAAAAATTTCATAGTAGAAAAGAAAGACTTAAAAATACGAATTTGTCGGGTTTGGGGTGTCACTTGCTTAAAGTTCAAACTCAAAGATGGGCCCTTTCTCTCAGCCCACATCTTGAATTCAGTACATCACATTTTACCAGTTTAACTTGTAACAGGAAGTATGGGAGAAACAGCTAAGTTAAAGAAAAGCCTTTATAATAAGAGGCTGAATTTGAAATTCGTTTAAGCTGCCCACACGATGGCTACTAATTCTGCTGCAATGAGTTCCAAAGGTTTTAGTAATTCTCATGTTAGGCAAGTCCTCTTAAAGAGTGTGGCAGCTCATGATGAAAAGCACATCACCTACAAAGAGGAGGAGTGATCCAAAACAAGGCTGTATGTTGAATTTTATTTCGGCAGAAACTCAGCCTTTGCAGTATCACAGTTTAATTACATGTTCTTTATTATCCATTTGTGCCCTTGACTCATGTATGACAACAATTTTTGTGATAAAACCTTTGGAAAAAATGGAGCATCAGTAGAGTGTGTCCAGCCAACGTCCTATGCCTTCCAAATAATATTACATGCAGGTATCAGGGAGAATAGGCTCTTCAGGAATAATTAGATTCAGGAATTCCTTAGCCATACTTTTTCATTGTTTTTCAAACATGACAAGAATTCCCTCACCTCAAGGCCTTTTAATTTTCTGTTTCCTCTGCTTAGTATGGTATTCCCTGTATATAAATATGGCTTATTCCTTCACTGTTTTAATATCAACTTATTATAAAGGACATTCTCAATCACATTATAAATAATAGTACCATGCTTACACAAATCATTAATATACTTCAATACTTTCCCCTCTCATGATACCTTTTTCATTATAATGTTATCATCATCTGGCAAACTACGTATTCATTTTTTCGTGTTTGCTATATCTCCCTCAACTAAATTATGCATCTCAAAGAAAAGAAAAGGCTTCATCTTGTTTCTCACTGATGTATTTGTATTACCTAAAACAAACCACATATGTTGATATAAAAAAAGACACGACTAAAAATTGTAAAACTTAAGTGCTACCTATTTTTCATACCAATAAAAGATGAAGAATGATGCAATGTATGTGGGTCCCTAAGGCTAGGGTAACTAGAAAGAATATGATTTTTCATTTTGGATGAAAAATACATTTACTTTTATGGCAATATTGCTTGGGATATTTTCACAAATCAAGGGCATATTCCACCTGGTATTTTTATTTGTCTCTTTGTTTATAGAGATTACTGCTTCTGGACGGGTTTTCTGTTTTGCCTAGGGAAGACAACACAAGGAATTCTTTCTATTTGTCTCTCATTTGTAAATAAATAATATAGTTAACTCACAAGTCAGAAGCTATGTTTACAGGTATTGATCTAATAAGGTTCACAAAAATATAGGTATGTTAATTTTCTTTGAGATTTTTGCAAATAGGGATGCTTTTGCAAATATTCTTTCACGATGTTCTTTGTTATACTTGTTCAGTGGGGTCCAAGTGAGATACAGAATAATACATTTTCTTAGTTTATCTTTTCTAATTTTTATGTTCTGATTTATTTTCTTCAGTATGGTGATATATTTCCAAAATCATTTCAAATTCTGTGTATGATGGAATAACTTTTATTTTACTTCACCAGGGTTCTCACAGGCTAGTTTTATGTGTGTGCATTTGAATACAATGCACACTTCCATGAACTCTGATATAAATCCCGGGTCTTCTGATTGCTGCTCTTGAATTTAAATGAATTAAAATCAAAAAGAAACACAACTATGTTATATATAATTTTTCAGTAAAATCGTTTTTACCAACAAGTGCCTATTTTAATATATGGTATTATACCCTTTGTGGCTATTTGGATTACATTTTTTGAGTCTCCATGAATCTTTTGTACTCATTACCATAGTGACCCCTATCCCCTGAACACTGTCCTCAATGAGAAATAAGTGTAAATGCATCAACTGGCTATTTTTTATTACGCTATTTTCCTTTTAGCCTTTGTTGCTAAAGGACATGCTGACCTATCTACTCAAACAGAAAAAAAAAAAAATCAAAAGAAAGAAAGATGAGAAAAAAAAAAGATCCTGAGGCAAAGGGGACTACATGGTCAAACATTTTAGTTTTGGGAGCTTGAACCCTGGCTTCAGGACAAGTTTTTATATCCTTAGAGATTCCAATTTTATCATATGTCACGATAATTATAAAGCCAGTATCCAAAGGAACATTTACTTCAGTAACTTGAAAAAAAGAAAAGAAAGAAACCAAGTCAGCTTCAGAGATCAGAAGAAACTTGTAGCCAAAATGTAAATAGTTCACTAAGTACTCCTTACCAAGGACTCTAATTTTCAACATTGTTGTCCTTGACCTAGAGAGCACGTATCTAAAAATGTATGAAAAGCTTTGCTCCAATGCTGACCAGAGCAGAATAATGCCTCTAAAACAGTTTCAAAGTGAAAAGAAGAAAGCAATAAGCACAGTGGTTGGTAGATTGGAGACTGTGGGAATATACCCTCAAAGGAAAGCCTTCGTATCCAAATGAAGAGAAATGAGGAAACAGCACTGCACACAGGCCCGGGTGTAGCTAGATCTGTTTTGACTCAGCTTATTTTCCCCATCACTGAGAAGGGGCAGCTGTACCATCAATCATAGTCAGATCATTTTTTTCTCCGTTAAATAGACAACTTGTCAGGTAGGTAACTAAAGGGATGTTATGCTCCAACAATGTCACTTAGGAACAGAATCAACACTGTGAGTGTGACTTTCACAATACAACATTTCATTACTAAGACGGTAGCAGTTCCAGATAAAGCTCCGAGGGCAATTTCCCAACAGCCATTCAGTGAAGTCAACATCAGTTGAACTTTAGCAGAATGGAAAATGTTACTTCAACAAAAAGTCGACCTGATTGAAATAGTTTCCCTAGTAGCTTATTTATTCACACAGAATACTTATTAGGGGTACCCTGCATTGTTTTAAGAGGGTCAGAATTGAATCCATACTTTAAACATAAAACTAAGCTATTAAAAATCAGATGGAGTTTGAAATTAGTATTGAGTTTAAACTGTGTCATGCCAGCAATGTGTTTCTAGGGAGAGGTTTACATTAAAATATATTTTGCTGCCTATATGTGTCTTGAGAAATGACTATTTGATTTTGTTACCAATTTTAGAAGTAGAGCATCTTCTATGGTACAACTCGTAGTGGGGCACTTCAAAACTTCTTCAAAGAGACTTTCTTGAATGAGTAGATGATATCTTGAGCTCTTTGGTGTACTTTATAGTTTTGAAAATTGCAAATATTTCAGAAACATTTTTATTTCTAAAGGAAAAATAAAACTGTGGCATTGACTATTGCATCGAAATATATTTATCTGTTAGGAAGATACTATGCAAGGATGCTAAAAATCTCCAAAGGAAACAACAGTGATGTGTATTTAACAATGGGGATATGCTCTGAGAAATGCATCATTAGGCAATTTCCATTTCATTGTTCTGCAAATAACATAGTGTTTACTTACACAAATCTGGATGATATAGCCTAGTATATAAGTGGGCTATATAGGATACCCTATTGCTCCTAGGCTACTAGCCTGTCCAGCATGTTACTGTAATAAATTCTGTAGACCATTGTAACACAATGGTAAGTATTTGTATATATAAACATTATCTAAACATAGAAAAGGAACAGTAAGAATATGGTATAAATGATTTCAAAATGGTACACTTATACAGGCTATTTAACAGGAATAGAACTTGAAGGGCTGTCAGATGCTCTGGGTGAGTCAGTGAGGGAATGTGAAGGCCTAAAACATTGCTATACATTATTGTAGACTTTATATGAACATTGTACACTTAGACTACCCTAAATTTATTTCTTAAAAATATTTTTCCTTTCATAATAAATTAACCTTAGTTTACTGTAACTTTTTTACTTTATAAACTACTTAATAATTTTGACTTTTTGGTTGTTTTATAATAACACTTAGGTTAAAACACAAACATATTGTTCAGCCATACGAAAGCATTTTTTCATATATCTTTATTCTATATGCTATTTTCTACTTTTAGATTTTTCTTTTATTTTACTTTTTTACTTTGTAAACTTTTCTGCTAAAAACTAAGACACAAGCACACACTAGGCTTACACAAAAAAACAAAGCTAGGCTTACACAAGCAGTAAGAATCATCAATATCACTGTCTTCTACCTCCATATCTTGTCCCACTGAAAGGTCTTCAGGAGTAATAATACACATGGAACCATCATCTTCTATCATAAGGATACCTTCTTCTGAATACCTCATGAAGGACCTACTTGAGGCTGGTATAGAGTTCATTTCTTATATAAATAGAAGTACACTCTAACCATAAAAAGTGTAGTAAAGTAAATACATAAACCAGTAACAGCCATTTATTATCATTACCAAGTATTAGCTATTGTTCACAATTACACGTGCTATGCTTTTATATGACTGACACCTAGTAGGTTTGTTTATACAGTGTCACCACAAACACATGAATAATGCATTGCACTACAACATTATAGCATTTATGATCTCACTAGGAATTTTTAAAATATAAATTTTTCAGCTGTATTTTTAAATTTTTTAAACTCCTATGTTTAAAATTGTTTAAATTTCTATTTTAAAATAGAAAATGTTCAGCTGTATTATAATTTAATGGGATCACTCTTGTATATGCAGTTTGTTGTTGACTGAAATGTTTTGTGGTGCATGATTGTATATGTTATAATCAAGGCATCCGCCAACCTTTTAAAAATGATACATTACCAGCCCTATTACATCAGTTAATTAAACAATAATAATGACCTAAGATGCTCAGTAACTAGATGCTCCATCAATTGATACAATAAAATCTGACAGTATTCTTAAATGTTGTTTTGTGAGATTTTAAGGAGCAAATTTGATTCTGACTAATAAGCATAAGCTTAGCATAAGGGACATGTTTAGATCACTTGATATTTGGATAACATTCTTTCTCTCTCCCTCGCTCCAAAGACATTGAAAGAGAAGACAGGATTTTGTAGACAATGATGTAATCAACACACACTTCCTACCAGAATTATAATGTTTTAATATATGTATGTGTCCATCCATCCTTTGATTCATCTACCTATCACATAATCCATCCTTCTGTCTACCTTCTTGTCATCTTTCTGCTTAAAACCATGTGTTTCCTTTCTTCTGTGTTTAAGTTGTAGATGACTTTACCAACCAATTGTTCAATTAAAAGTATCTACAGCACTCTTTTGGTTTATGCTTATTGTCCCCCTAAAGCTTATTTCCTAATGACAATAAACAGTCAACAATGAAAGGGACATATTTTAATGTATATAGAATTGTATTATTTAATTTGTATGTAAACATTGTTTTTATTAATTAAATCATATACTGAGTACAATAAGTCAGTTCTTGAAAAAAATCTTTGCTATGGTCTGAACATTTGTGTTCCCCAAAATTGATATGTTAAAATCCTCATCTGTCCACATGATAATATTAGGAGGTGAGGGCTTTGGGAGGTGATTAGGTTATGAAGAAGGAGTCCTTATGCATGGGAGTCGTTATAAAGTTCCATTATAAAGGAAGCTTAGGAGAGCTCCCCTGCCCTACCATGTGAGGATGGAGTCAGTATCATCTATAAGAAAGTAGGCACTTGCCAAACACTGAATCTGCTGACACCTTAATCTTGGACTTCCCAGCCTCTAGAACTGTGAGAAATAAATGGTCACTGTTTATGAACCATAGAGTTTATGTTAGTTACAGCAGCCCAAGCCGACTAACTTGCTCGCAATGGAATTTTTTAGTAAGAAAAAAAAAGGGGGGCTTAATATTTCTGATCAACCCATGCTTCCATAATTTGGAATATTTAAATCTTCATTTTTAATACGGTGGGTTATTTAATTAGTAACAAAATACAAAGTGTAGATTGAGTTTCTGCTACTAAAAATTATATTGCACACTTGAGATAAACAATAATAAAAGAATAATATGTGGGTACTGTCCTCACATTTATAATGTAGCTATGAAGAGAAAAACAAATATACAAATATGAGTATGAATTCAAACAAATTTTAAAATTCACACCCTTTTAATAATCATCTAGACTTTAATTCTTTCTCCATGATTTTGCCCAAATATTTTGTTATTACTATAGACAAAACTGCCCATTGTCTAAGATAATAACTACCATTTAGCATGGTACATAAAACCTTTCACACACTTGAGTTTCCTTAATTATACCTTGAGCATATTTTTAATTCCTATTTTCACTTTGAAGGAGACAAACTAAAGCACTTTTTATTCCTGCAAAGTATTATGGCTTTGAAAGTGTCCTTGACTTGAAATACCCATTCATATATCTTTCTTACTTGTCCTTGTATACTAATCTCTTTGTAAGGAGACAGTTCCCTGACTTCCTCAGGCAAATCTAGAGACTCCTTTGTGGGTTTTCTGCCTCTCTTATCTATACCCTACATTATAACATTACAGTGTAATTTGCACCTCTAGTCAATAGACTGGATGTTTCTTGCTGGCAAAGACCACGTCTAATTTGTTCACTGCTCTTCTATTTACCACACATTTCATGCATAGTACATATTTAATAAATATTAGTATTGAATATATCATTCTACAGACCATTTTTGCCAGTAAAATGTCAATTGAGAGAGGAACTTACAGATTTTTCTACATTTCAGTAAGATACTGAAGTATGACGCATAGCAGAGGGCACGTTTAGTAATCCAGAGAGCTGATGCTTTGTAAAGTTAAACTGGTCTATTCTAAAAAGTTTATGCAGGGGCATTTTCATAGTGATCCTATCATTATACCATTCCTAATGCTCAATGTGATTCAGCACAAGAGAGGACCTGATTTTCACAAGGGTTCTCATTTTATGCAAGCTCAGAATAGTAACGTATAAAATTATCATATCATTTTTTTCTTTGTCTTGGGAAATATAATTATTTCAACAGACCAGAAAACTAAGCAGTATGATTAGCATATTTTTTTAAAGTCAGAAACAGCAGGAAGTCAAATAATAAGCAAAAGGTGACTTGACGAGTGTGGAATCAGTATAATGTTTGAATGTTGAATTGCATGAGGCTAATCCACGCTATGCTCGTCGCCATAATACAGCTATGAATGTCAATGGCACTATAATACCCAACCATTGGCTGAAACTCCTTCTGACCTCACATGTGCTTGGATGATCAATATGTATATTTGTTCTATAAGTATTTGTGTCTCACCAAATTTTCTTCTGATTGTCTCATCTTTCTTTAGTTAATGAAAATTAATCAGATTTTAATTAAGTATAACCCATCTGAGAAGATTGCTAACATTGATACAATATGCTCCACTTTATCTCTCAAGGTATAAACAAGCCTGGAAGTTCAAAATCTGCCTTGGTTCTGTGTCTTGCCTGCTGTCAAACATCATTTTTAATTTCTTAAAGCAAAACGAATTTTTTAACAATTAACATAAAGCAATAAAAGTAGCCAATAATGTATATAGATATGTTAAATGCACATATTTAAAATATCAAAGTGTCTCCAATATTTTTTCTTCTATATAAATACAGGTAGGGTCAGGCACAGTGGCTCACCCCTGTAATCCCAGCACTTTGGGAGGGCAAGGTGGAGTCAATCACTTGAGCCCAGAAGTTCGAGACCAGTCTAGGCAACAGGCGAGACCCCATCTCTACAAAAAATAAAAATATTAGCCAGGCATGGTGGTGGATGCCCATAGTTCCAGGTACTTGGGAGGCTGAGGATCACTTGAGTCCAGGAGGTCAGGGATGCTGTGAGCCATGATTGAGTGACTACACTCCAAACTGGATGACAGAGCAAGACCCTATTTCAAAAACAAACAAAATACTAATAAACAGACAAACAAGTAAATACTGGTAACTCATTTACAATGAAACAGAACAGAGAGCCCCAGAATAAACCATGAATATATGATGAATTGATCTTTGATAAGGTTGCCAAAAATACACTATCGGGAGAAGGTGATTTCTTTAAGAAATGATATTGAAAAAACTGGACATCTACATGCAAAAATAAACAAAAAGGGACCTCTATACCACACACATAATTGAATCAAAATTAATTGAAGACTTACTTCTTAAATATAAAACCTGAAACTGTACCACTTCTAGAGGAAAAGTTTCTTGGCCTTGGCAATGATATTTTGAATGTGTCACCAGAAGCAAAGGCAACAAAAGCAGAAACAGTCAAGTGGTACTACAACTAACTAAAAAGAAAGAGAAAAATCATCCTGAAGAAATTAATCAACAAAATGGAAAAGTAACCTATAAAGTAGAAAAACATATTTGGAAATTATATGTTGTTAAGTTGTTAATTTGCAAAATACATTTAAAAAGCCTAGAATAGCAAAAACAACAAATAGCTATATAAAAACTCCTATGCTGAAGAGCAAAAACAATAAAAGGCAACAACAAATCTAATAACCTAATTAAAAAATGGCCAAAAGGTTTGAACAGAAACTTCCACATACAAATGGCCAAAAGGTACATAAAAACATGCTCCAGGCCAGGCGCGGTGGCTCATACTTGTAATCCCAGCACTTTGGGAGGCTGAAGCAGGCGGATCACCTGAGATTGGGAGTTCAAGACCAGCCTGGCCAACAGGGAGAAACCCCATCTCAACTAAAAATACAAAATTAGCTAGACATGATGGCACATGCCTGTAATCCTAGCTATTCCAGAGGCTGAGGTAGGAGAATCGCTTGAAACTGGGAGGAGGAGGTTGCAGTGAGCGGAGATCATGCCATTGCACTCCAGCCTGGGCAACAAGAGTGAAACTCCTGTCAAAAATAAATAAATAAATAAATAAATAAATAAATAAATAAATAAATAAATAATCCGGCTGGGCACAGTGGCTCACGCCTATAATCCCAGCACTTTGGGAGTACAAGGCAGGTGGATCACAATGTCAGGAGTTCAAGACCAGCCTGGCCAAGATGGTGAAACCCCATCTCTACTAAAACTACAAAAATTAGCTGGGTGTCGTGGAGGGCACCTGCAGTCCCAGCTACTCAGGAGGCTGAGGCAGAGAATTGCTTGAACCCGGGAGGCAGAGGTTGCAGTGAGCCGAGATCGCGCCACTGCACTCCAGCCTGGGCGACAGAGTGAGACCCCATCTCAAAGCAAACAAACAAACAAACAAAAAATAAATAAGTAAATTTAGAAAAAGCTCCAAATTATTAATTATCAGGAAGATTCAAATCAAAACTGCAATGAGATACCACCATACTCCTGTTTGGATGGCTATTATCAAAAAAGCAAATGATAAGCTGAGAATGTGGGAGAAAGAGAACTCATATACCATTAGTGATAAAGTTTAATAATGCAACCATTGTTAAGGTTCCTCAAAACATTTTAAATGAATTACCATATGATCCAGCAATTTCTCTTTTGAGTATATACCCAAAATAATTCAAGTCAGATTCTAGAAGTGATATCTGCACTCCCGTATTTATTGCCACATTGTTCACAATAGCCAAGATATGGGAAACAAAGAAGTGTCCATCAACAGATGAATGGATAAAAAAAATGTGAAGCATGCAGTCAATGAGAATGTATAACAGAATATCATTAAGCCTCAAAAGGGAAGAAAATTAGCCATTTGTAGCAACAAAGGTTAACTTGAAAGGCATTATGCTAAGTGAAATAAGCCAGTCACAGAAGTATAAATAGCGTATGATTCCATTTTATATAGGGCATCTGTAATAGTCAAACTCACAGAAGCAGAAAATATGACTTCCAGGGACTGGGCGGTGAGAGAAATGGCCAGTTGTGGTTCAATAAATATAAAATTTTAGTTACTCTAGATAAATAAGTTCTAGAGATCTGTTGTACAACCTAGCACCTATAGTTAAAAATATAGTATTGTGTACTTCGAAATTGTAAGGAGAATAAATATCATGTTAAATATTCTTGCCACATATAGACACACACAGAAAAAGAGAAAAGAAAAAGGAACACGAAGAAAATATGGAAGGTGTTGGATATGTCTAATGCCTTGATTGTGGTGATAGTATCACAGGTGCTTGCATATGTCCAAACTCATCTTTAGCATAAATGCATTAAGTATGTGCATTTCTTTGTACATCAATTATATCTTAATAGCAAGTATGCATATGCTTAACATATGTTGCATTGGATTGTTAATACGCATGAGTGCCTTTATGGAAATTTTATCCTTCTTCATGTTTTCTCAAATAACAGTTAATATTCAGCTACTATTTCATAAATGACCTCACACCCTGAAATGTAAGTGAAGTGGCAAACCAAGGTAGAGGATAACTCAATGTGCTAAATGAAGTGTGAGCAGACAGAAGAATTATAAACAGGTTTAATAGAAGGTGCAGAATATGTAGGAGGAAAGACTTTCTATTTTTTTAAAAGTGCTGCAGCCTTTGAAAACACATTATATGTTCAACTTACATACATAACTTTATATCAATTTCTCTCTCTGAAAATTTTGAAAGTAATTTTTATTTCTTATTGACATTAAAAAATCATGTTTTAAGAATTTATCCTGTTGTGATCGTAGTTAGTCTATTATGTTATGTGTTTTCTAAACAATTCATTTATGCACTCTTAAATAGTAAGCATGTTTATGCCATTTTTTCTATTAGCAATTACCATCACCTAAATTCAATTCGCAAGCTGTTCAGAGAATACTTTGTTGTCTCTGCCTTTCTATTACTGCTCCTCAATTTCCTCCTTAAAAGTTATGTCTTAGATTATGAAAAATTGCATGATATATAGGTGATTCTGTATAGCAGATTGGTATCTAAGGGAAATAAATAATGCAAGACAATGCATCAGATCCACCTTTGCATTCAGAAAAAAAATTGACTTGAGCCAGGATTCATGAATTTAGCGTTTTCCCTTCCCAGCTACACCAGGAAGTTCTTGTAACCTCTGTAAGATTTCAATTAGCATAGAAATTCCAGGCTTGTAATATGGTACCCAAATGAGTTTTTTGAAAGGGTAAGCAAAAATAAAATGTTACAAACATAATTAACACCCAATGCTAATGGGACTGCTATTTGCTCTCATATTACTTATTCCTTTGTTTATTATATGAGATGAGTTATTAATTATATTAATTATATATTAATTAATATATAATTAATATATATAATTATTAATTATATATTATATAATTATTATATAATATATATTATATAATATATAATTATATAATTATTAATTATATATTATTATATAATATATAATATATAATAATATATATATTAATATATATAATAATTAATTAATTATATATAGAGACTATCAATAGATTAGTTTCCTGTAAGTTATTATTTTTCTTAATGACTTTTTTAAGGAAAAAATAATAAAATTTGCCTAAGTTCTTAACTATACCTGCAGTCACAGAGTAAAATTCCTTATAAATATTTTCAATTTACAACGGAATGATCAGTTTTCCCAATTTTAACTGTGCCTCTTGAACTAATAAAAAATACCACATTTTAAAAATGTACATAATATCTTATTTGGTAATAACACTTAACATGAGATCCACCCTCTTAACAAAATTTAAGTGTACAGTACATTATGAACAATAGTTACAATATTGCACAACAGTTCTCTAGAATTTATTCACCTTACTTGACTGAAACTTTAATTTATTGAATAATAACCCTCCCATTTCCCACTCCTTACTGCCACTGGCAACAACCATTTAACCGTTTGATGAAATGAATTTGACTATTTTAGATATCTCATCTCAGTGGAATCACACAGTATTTGTACTAATGTGACTGTGTTATTTCACTGAGCATAATGTCCTCAAGTTTCATTCATGTTACTGCATGTTTCAGAATTTCTATTTTTAGGCTAAATAGTATTTGTGTGTACATACTACATTTTCTTCATCCACTCATCTGTTGATGGACATTTATGTTGTTTTCGTATCTTGACTGTTGTGAATAGTGCTGCAATGAACATGGTAGTGCTATATTTTCAATACTCTATTTTTAATTATTTTGGTTAAATACTCAAGAGTGGGATTGTTCAGTCATATGGAAATCCTATTTTTAATTTTTTGAGAAATTTCCATATTGTTTTCTACAGTGGCTGGAACATTTTGCATTCCCAATAGTGTGGAAGGGTTTTCATTTCTCCACATCCTTCTGAATATTTGTAGTCTTTTGTGTGTGTGTGTGTGTGTTTCAGAATAATAACCATTCTGATAGGCATGAGGTGATATCTCATTGTGGTTTTCATTTACATTTCCTTCAGGATTAATGGCATTGAACATTTTTCATATAAACTGGTTCATCATTTGTATTTCTTTTGAGAAATATCTATTCAAGTTATTAGTTCCTCTTTAAAAATTGGAGTAACTAGGTTTTCTGTTTTTTTTTTTTTTTTTTTTTTTTTTTGCTATTTAATTGTAAAAGTTCTTATATAATTTGAAGAGTAATAGAAAATTATAGTATTGGTGTAATGACAGTTATATAGACCAATGGAACAGAATAATGAGACCAGAAATAAATCTATGCATACACAGTCAACTGATCTTTGACAAGAATGGCAACAACACATAATAAGGTAAGGGAAGTCTCTGAAAAATTGTTGTGGAAAAACTGGATATCCATGTGCAAAAAAATAAAATTGGAACCTTAACACCATACACAAATATCAAATTAATGTAGATTAAAGACTTAAACATAGATCTAAAACTGTAAACTCCTAGAAGAAAACACAGGGGAAAAGTTTCTTGTTATTACCATGGGTAATAATTTATTAGGTATGACCCCAAAAGCACAGACAGAAGCAAAAGTAAACAAGTGAGATTGCAGCAAACTAAAAAGCTTCTGCACTGAAAAGGAACCATTAACAGAGTGAAAAGGCACCTCATGCCTATATAAACGGGAAAAATTTGCAAATTATATACTCACTTTATTAAAAGCTTAAAGTCAACCTTTAATACACACAGGCTTTCAAAGAAAGTTGAAGTCTTCACTTAGTAAGATACACCACTGAAGAAGAAATGAATGTTGTACGCTAAAGCAACTACTAGTCCTACCACAACTAAAGGGTGTGCGTTCACACATACATACCTATAGTTTTCAATGTGGATGTTATTAACAATCACTAGGAAGAAAATGAATCCTCATAACAAATCTGTGTGAAAACACCTTGAAGCCTGCTGTACTGATTGCAAGGCTGCCTTGCCAAAAGCAAACACTGCTGTGAGAAGGGCAGCAAGCTCTCTATCATTTCTTTCAGTTTGTTTTCATAAATTTTAAATTACTCCTTCTCAAAAAATCATTAAGTTTTGTTTGTCAATTGTTGAAACTTATGTTGGAGAAAGCTGTTATGCCCCCAAATCTTTCTCTCCAAATGTACAATGTTGTACTTAATAGATGGGATAAAGCAATTTACAAATAATTCCAAATTACACTGTGTTTGCATGGTACTTAAGTGAGACATTTCACAAAAATAAAATGCTGCATTTTGATTAGAATCTAACCTATTCAAGACATTTTATGAATAGCTGCATTGAGAGGATCAATATGTTCATTTTGGAGGAGTATAAGTTTATATTAGACAAATTTTTAATGGTAATGCAAAACTATTTTTTATCTTATAGCTGTGAGAACCAGTCATCATGATACATTTGATCATTTTAAGCACTGTTCTCAAAAAACTTATCTCTCATATCATATTATAGATTTATTTATGTTAATAAATGAAGTAGTCTGGACCCATATTCCAGTATAGTATGATACTGGCAGCTTCCAATTGCATATTTCCTCAAGAACCTATGGCCTTTGAGAACTTATCAATCTTTTATTTCTCATTACATTTTATTAAAGATTATTGCTGATTTTAATATTTTATTCAGCATTTCAATGATATATATGTGATATCAATCAAAATGTGCCAATATCACTTTTTACTGATTGATATGAACAAAAATGTGCTCTACTTTTTAAAGTCTTTAAAGCAGAACTTCTATTAAACTTCACATGTGTTCCCTCTATCACCCAGCACATCTTTTACAATAGTAGCTTCAATGAAAATTCATTGAAGGTGTTCAACTGGCCATATAAAATAATGATACGAAAGTAATACATTTGTGACTTAGTAATACTGAACTGAGCATTAATAATTTTCAAGGCATTGCATATGCAGTACCTTGTTTAATTATGTGAAAACCTTATAGAGCTGCTATTTGTTAGTTTCTTTTGTTTTTGTTTTTGTTTAAGATGGAGTTTTGCTCTTGTTGCCCAGGCTCGAGTGCAATGGTGCGATCTTGGCTCACCGCAACCTCCACCTCCTGGGTTCAAGTGATTCTCCTGCATCAGCCTCCCAAGTAGCTGGGATTACAGGCATGCACCACCATGCCTGGCTAATTTTGTATTTTTAGTATAGATGGGGTTTCTCCAGGTTGGTCAGGCTGGTCTGAACTCCTGACCTCAGTTGATCCGCCTGCCTCGGCCTCCCAAAGTGCTGGGATTACAGGCATGAGCCGCCACACCCGGCCTTGTTAATATTTTAATATTGATTTTTACAGGTAAAATATATCAGTTTAGAGAGACTAGAATTAGAGTTTTTGAGATTAAAAAAATAAATCTTTTTGAACTGCTGTTTCTTTAGTCTCTGTAATTTTTTTTCTATAAAATAACTTCCTCTTCTCTCCACTTTCCAAGAAAAAATACAGCTACTCTTAAAGGATATATTTCCACAATATAATTAGTTCATTATGCAGAATTTTTTATTCAGCGTTAACCTCATGTTTTCAGGGCTGAGGTCTAATTGGCTCATTGTAGCTTTGCTCCTGTGACAATAAACTATAGTGTATGTATATGCTTGTGTGTCTGTGTTTTAGGGAGAAGAGCGTCTTACTGAATTAACAAAGCAGATAAGAGACCACTCGTGTTCAATAGGGTGATACTACGGCAGTAGGTCTAAATGTCAAGAATGTTTCAATAATGAGTAGAATTGAGTTGTTACAGCCTCTAAGACTTTCATTTTTTATTGAGATACAATTTACATGTAACCAAATGTAATGATCTGAAGAGTTTGACTTGATAAGTTTTGATAGCAGCATATATCCGTGTACCCCAAACCCGAGTGAAGTAAAGATATATAGTGAAGATAAATAACATTTCCACAAAAGAGGAATTTTTTTGACTCTGCACCTTCCAGTCATTTTCTTCCCAGGCTTTGAACCAAGCATTTTCTTACTTTTATCACTGTAGGCTCTCAGTTCTAATACTTCATATAAATGGAATCATACAGTTCTATTTCTGGTTTCTCATATCCAAATTAATATTTTTGAGATACATTCATATTGTGTCATTTAGAAGTAGTTTATTTATTTCTATTGCTAGTAGTATTCCATTGTATGACTGTTACACAAATTGCTTATGTATTGTTTGTGGACATTTTGTTTGTTCCCAGGATTATCTCTTATGAATAAAGCTGTTGTGAACTTGCTTTTACAGCTCTTTTTGTAGACACAGATTTTCATCACACTTAGAACAATTGCATGATTCTCACTGCAGACTAGGAGCAATGAGTACAAAACATTAATGCTTTTAGCTAAATATAAGAAAGATCTTGGGAAATAGCTACAGTTATTCAAAAATGTAATAAAATATTCCATGATCCAGCTATTTCTACAGGATTTAAAAGGTTCAAGGAGAAGCTAAAAAATATCTTAAGTGTTAGGAGGAATTTTTTGCATTTCTGGAAATTAGGGATGTTACCTTCTTTGTACTTTTTCAACTCCAGCATTCTAAAATGACATGATTATGGTATTTAGTAAATTTAGTAGATTGAGTATATCTAGTACATTTACTTGATGTTTTAGAACAGGTAATTTATTTAATGCAAATCATATGTTTTTTATG
Organism: Homo sapiens; assembly: GCF_000001405.40. Classification (NCBI taxonomy): domain Eukaryota; kingdom Metazoa; phylum Chordata; class Mammalia; order Primates; family Hominidae; genus Homo; species Homo sapiens. Next base: position 190,936,860 of record NC_000001.11, on the reverse strand, counting down.
GAAAGTAAATTGAGACATAAAAATAGTTAAAGAATGTAAGTAGAATGTTAACCATACTGAGAGAAAATTTATACTTGCATCATTGCATTTGGGGAAAAATAGTGATTGCTACATTGAAATTAACTTATACAAGATTTTGCACAGAGAACAATTTTTGCAATATTCAGATTTTTTTTACATATGGAAATGCAATTTTTTTAATGTTAATAGATACTCAGCATCAGTGAAAAATGCTGTATAGTTGTTAGAGATTGCCAAAAATTTAATCTTGAAGAGAACATTTTACAAGGCCAACAATATCTGCATATATGCAAGTCCTCAGGGCATTTGTGCACACAACTGCTGGCATGCATATACAAAGCTCTTATATTTGTGTTTCATAGTAAGAAAAAAAAGTATTCCCAAATGACTATAAGGCACATAAGTAAAAATTAAAATTTATGAAGCTGTTGAACCGTGATTTACTAAACTTGAAGTTTTTATTTTTTCTCATTGTACCAAATTTTAAAGAGTGTTATTTAACAAAGTGGCTTTGGTTTGTGTGTGTCCTTTCAAAATATTCTGGTAATCTGACTTAGCAGCAGGGCTTTTGCCATTGACTCAAACTACTGCAAAAAAAGAAAAACTCTAAGAAACGCAATTGTTCTGTGAGAGTCCTCTGTGGGAAGTAGAAATGAACAATGTGTTGAAATGTAAATTTCCTTCAGATTCTTACAAATGCTGCTCTACAGGGATTTCACTTTTCAAGGGAATCTTCTATATTTACTACTCTACTTGTTAAATTGTAACTCCCTGGGCCAGGATTTGTCAAATGATCAGAGAACTGTCACCACAGGGCTAATTCAGGCATGTTCCCACACTTGTTACACTGCATCCATTTCTGTCTAATAGTAAAAGACTGTGTCTGGAAAGTGGTGTGGAAGAGATTTTAAAAATGCAGCTTTTAAAATATTTCCATTGCCTTAATATCATAAAAAGTTAATAAAAGGGGCCATTCTTGGGACTTAAGGTAAAAGCCATGGATACATCCTACTGTATGTCATTCCTCTCCCCATCCACAGCTTAATCTAATGTGTTTATAAAGATTAATTAAATAAGTGAAGCAATTTTGAATTTGAAAATAACTTGGCAAGTTCTTTAGAAGATTCCTAACTTGTTCTCAGCTGCAATGTCCTTGTAGAGGTAATAGACTGCTGTTAGGAACCGTATGAACTTCAGAGATATTTCTTTTGAGCATCAGATTCTGTAGATAATTTTATCCCCTACTGGATATATTCACTATATAGTATGTGTACTCATGACACTTTAGATTAGTAGATTTCTTCACGTGTTTTCTACATCAGAAGCTTTTGGTGATGAGAAGGAGGATTTTCTGTCTTGCCAATACCATTCCCTCCTATCAACCAGAACATCTTGTTAATCTGCTTTGATCTGATTCCTTATAGTATTTCCACGTAAAAAGAGAATTGTATAGTGAATATATACATATATACTACACAGGCACACGTGTGCATGTGCACACACCCACACACCCCAATTGTATATGAGTTTGCCATTAATATCCCAACCACAAACTTGTGTGAGCCAATCTCTCTGATATTTCATTATACAAATAGGAAGGTCTCCAATTACAGAGAAAAATGTCTATATCTTTATTGACGTCTACATCTGTGAATCTAGCTATAAATGCAGCTTAGATTTAGCTTATTTAATTATAGAAACTGTCGTTTCCTTTTGTTGTAATGAATATGCATCTCTTGTTATCTATCTCTGGTGTCTGCTGCACACAATATGGGAAACCATGGAGCATTTTGAGAAGCTGACATAATCTGATTTATAGTATAAAGTTACTATTCTTGGCCACTGTGCTATGAATATAATATAGAGTGCCACTTGTAGAAGCATGGAAAACTATTGCTCAATTAGCTCAACAGTATAGGTAGGAATGACAGTAGATTGAATTGGCAGTTACGAGCAGTAGTTAGGTGATGCCAACATTTTAAAAGAAATATTGACTAACTAGATTTCCAAAAGATTAAATATGGCATGTAGCAGCACTGAACATACCATTAGTTAAAACTGTATGGTACATATATTGGATATAGAGTAAATAGAATTTGTAGGTATGATAATTGCAGGATGGGAGGGCAAGCAACAGAGTAGAGAGTCTCTGTGGAGGATAGTCACATTAACTGAGACTGTAGAAACTAGAAAAACAGTTTTGAAGGAGAAAGTTGTTTGTAATGAAATATTTACCTACAATTCTTGTTGTTAAGTCTAATAAATTAGTGATTCTACTGTTTTAAAAACTCCAAACTCAACGGTTTAAATTAACATTTTTAAAATAAATGACTATTACAGGCTCATCAATCCTGAGGTAAAAGTCAGGTAATACTGGCTAGGCTCAGGTCAGCTGGACTGAATCGCATCTGAGGGTTGTTTGCTGGTACATTTTGAAAACAGCAGCTTGGCTTGCAATAATGGAGCAGGTCCAAAGTAAAAACCAGCAAGTTTAAGAAAATAACAGTAAGTAAAGAAGAAGTAAAAGAGTCAGAAAACAATGCAACATATATTTTTTGCATTCTTGCATAGATTCCAGAAGACCTAGGTAATTAAAACATGTTAGACTCTATTTTTAATAGAAATACCATTACTTGAAGTTTATATACTTAATATTCAAGTGTAGCTCTGTTGCTTAAAATATAGCTTTGGGGAAATAAACGCAATAAAAATTACATTCTATGAAATCCCCAGAAGACTGAGAAGATTTTATGTTATATTCTTAACTCTATCCCATGGCTATGTTTAATTAAGAAATAACTAGTGTGTTTTAAAAATAAATTATACATTCTAAACACACACACGTGCAGACATGTGCACACACACACGCACACACACACAAGCACTGAGAAAGGCTCAAGATTTGTATACCCCTGGATACAGCTTATATAAATTAAAAAAGTAGAATACATTATCAAAAATTTAAAATAAAAAATTGGTAAAGATACATACTTTATGATTATTTCTTTTTTCACTATACTTTAAGTTCTGCGATACATGTGCAGAACGTGCAGGTTTGTTACATAGGTATACACGTGCCATGGTGGTTTGCTGCACCTATCAACCCATTATCTACATTACATATTTATCCTAATGCTATCCCTCCCCTAGCCCGACACCTCATGACAGGCCCCAGTGTGATGTTCCCCTCCCTGTGTCCATGTGTTCTCACTGTTCAAAATGAAAAATGTGGTGTTTGGTTTTCTGTTCTTGTGTTAGTTTGCTTAGGATTATGGTTTCCAGCTCCATCCATGTCCCTGCAAAGGACATGAATTCATGCTTTTTATGGCTTCATAGTATTCCATGGTGTATATGTGCCTCATTTTCTTGATCCAGTCTATCACTGATGGGCATTTGGGTTGGTTACAACCCAAATTTGATATTGTGTATAGTGCTAAAATAAACATATGTGTGCATGTGTCTTTATAGTAGAATGATTTATAATCCTTTGGGTGTATAACAAGTAATGAGATTGCTGAATCAAATGGTATTTTTGGTTCTAGATCCTTGAGGAATTGCCACACTGTATTCCACAATAGTTGGACTAATTGACATTCCCACCAACAGTATAAAAGCATTACTATTTCTCCACATCCTCTCCAGCATCTGTAGTTTCCTGACTTTTTAATTATCACTATTCTAACTGGTATGAGATGGTATCTCATTGTGGTTTTGATTTTCATTTCTCTAATGACCAGTGATGATGAGCTTTTTTTCATGTTTGTTGGCCGCATAAATGTCTTCTTTTGAGAGGTGTCTTTTGATATCTTTCACCCACGTTTTGATTTTTTTTTCCTGTAGAGTTGTTTAAGTTCCTTGTGGATTCTGGATATTAGCCCTTTGTCAGATGGATAGATTGCAAACATTTTCACCCATTCTGTAGGTTGCCTGTTCACTCTGATGATAGTTTCTTTTGCTGTGCACAAGCTCTTTAGTTTTTTAGTCTTTGCTCATGCTTATATGTCCTGAATGAATTGCCTAGGTTTTCTTCCAGGGTTTTTATGGCTTTAGGTCTTACATTTAAGTCTTTAAACTTTCTTGAGTTAGTTTTTGTATAAGGTGTAAAAAAAAAAAGGTCCAGTTTCAATTTTCTGCATATGGGTAGCCAGATTTCCCAACACCATTTATTAAATAGAGAATACTTTCTCTATTGCTTGTTTTTGTCAGGTTTGTCAAAGATCAGATGGTTGTATGTATGTGGCATTATTTCTGAGGCCTGTGTTCTGTTCCATTGGTCCATATCTCTGTTTTGGTACCAGTACCAAGCTGTTTTGGTTACTGTAGCCTTGTAGTATAGTTTGAAATCAGGTAGCATGATGCCTCCAGCTTTCTTCTTTTTGCTTAGGATTGTCTTGGCTATACGGGCTCTTTTTTGGTTCCATATGAAATTTAAAGTAGTTGTTTCTAATTCTGTGAAGAAAGTCTATGGTAGCTGGATGGGGATAGAATTGATTCTGTAAATTACTTTGGGCAGTATGGCCATTTTCATGATATTCATTCTTCCTATCTATGAGCATGAAATGTTTTTTCATTTGTTTGTGTCCTCTCTTATTTCCTTGATCAGTGTGTTGGTAGTTCTCCATATAATTTCTATCATTTTTTAGTTGAAGAAAAATTAAGTCCTCAGTATTTTCCTCTTCAGTATATCCTCCTATCTTCTATCCTCCCCCAAAACTTAGTGATTTCAAAGAAGTATTTATTTAGCTCATAATTTTCAGGTTTGTAATTTTTGGCTAGGCTTAGCTGGACAATTCATCTGGTTTTGACAATGGGACCCCTCATATCTGTGGTCAGCTGTAAATGGTAGGCTAGTCATCTCTGCTACTCAGTATTGGCTGACTGTTTGCTGAGATGCTTTTATTCTTCTTCATGTGGTCTCTCATCCTGCAACAGGTTAGTCAAGCTTGTTCTCACAGCAAAAGCAACTCTATCATGAAAGCAATTAAGATTGCAAGCAGAAGCATACAGAGCCATCTTAAGGTCTCAGCTTAAAACTTAGAGGTCTAGGCTTAAAACTAGCACAACATTACCTCTGTAGCATTCTATTGACCAAATTAATTGTAATGTCAGCCCAGAGCTAGAATGGGTCGGAACTACACAGTTCTAGATAGGAGATATAGATACAGAGAGACTACCATCAATGCATTTTATCTAACAGACTTTCCACAGTGCAAATCAGATTCTCCATAGGAGTTTGTAGCTTTAAAGAATTCAGGCCAGGCACGGTGGCTCACGCCTGTAATCCCAGCACTTTGGGAGGCTGAGGCAGGCGTATCACGAGGTCAGGAGATCGAGACCATCCTGGCTAACATGGTGAAACCCCGTCTCTACTAAAAATACAAAAAAATTAGCCAGGCATGGTGGTAGGCACCTGTAGTCCCAGCTACTCGGGAGGCTGAGGCAGGAGCATGGCGTGAACCCGGGAGGCAGAGCTTGCAGTGAGCCAAGAACGCACCACTGCACTCCAGCCTTGGTGACAGAGTGAGACTCTGTCTTAAAAAAAAAAAAAAAAAAAAAAAAAAAAAAAGAATTCAAAACAAGTATGAATTCTGCTGTATTTTGTACCTTTTAGAGTTAAGGAATATTTAGAACATGCCTAGCATATTGCAAAATATATACACTTCAGAATCAGATAGAGCTGGCATTTGAATCTCTACTTGGACATAGTTATGTACTGTTAAGACCATTTTATTTTATGTAAGTTATAGAGAATAATGCAGATTTTCCAAGGTATTGGGGGTGATGTTTTAAAGCATCTACCTCTTATTAGGTACTCAATAGATTCTACTTAATTTTATTACCGTATGTCAAATTTTAGTTCCTCATGGTGGAGTATTAGTCCATTCTCACATTGTTATAAAGAACTTCTTGAAAGTAGGTCATTTATGAAGAAAAGAGGCTTAATTGACTCATAGTTCTGCAGGGTATACAGGAAGCATGGCTGGAAGGCCTCAGGAAACTTTTATTCAAGATGGAAGGGCAAAGGAGAGAAGCAAGTACCTTCTTCACATGATGGCAGGAGAGAGAGAGAGCAAGTGGGGAAGTGCCACACACTTTTAAACCATCATATCTTGTGAGAACTCACTATCACAAGAACAGCATGGGGAAAATCCACCCCCATGATCCAATCACCTTCTACTAGGTCCCTTCCCCAACACTGGGAATTACAATTCAATGAGATTTAGGTGGGGACACAGAGCCAAACCATTTCATTCCACCCCAGCTGCTCCCAAATCTCATGTCCTTCTCACATTCCAAAACCAATCATGCCTTCACAACAATCCCCCAAAGTCTTAACTCATTCTAGCATTAACTCAAAAGCCCAAGTCCAAAGTCTCATCTGAGACATGGTAAATCCCTTCCACCTAGGAGACTGTAAAATAAAAAATGAGTTAGTTACCTCCAAGACACAATGGTGGGGGTGGCAGCACATGCCTTGGGTAAATGCTCCCATTCTAAAAGGTAGAAATTGTTCAAAACAAAGGGGCTAGAGGCCCTATACAAGTCTGAAATCCAGCAGGGCAATCATTAAATCTGAAAGCTCCAAAATAATCTCCTTTGACTTCATGTGTCACATCGAGGACATGCTGATGCAAAAGGTGGGCTCCAAAGTCCTTGGGAAACTCTGCCTCTGTGACTCAGCAGGATATAGCCTCTGCAGCTGTTTCACAGGCTGGCATTGAATGCCTGTAACTATTCCAGGCACATGGTGCAAGTGTCAGTGGATCTACCATTCTGTCTGGAGAACAGTGGCCCTCTTCTCACAGCTCCACTAAGCAGTGCCCCAGTGGGGACTCTGTGTGAGGGCTCCAACTCCACATCTCCCCTCTGCACTACCCTAGTAGAGGTTCTCCATGAGGATTCCACCCCTGCAGTAGATTTTTGCCTGGACATCCAGACATTTCCATACATCCTCTGAAATCTAGGCAGAGGTTCCCAACTTCAATTCTTGCCTTCTGTGTACCTGCAGCAGGCCCAACACCAGGTGGAAGCTGCCAAGGCTTGGGACTTTCACTTTTTGAAGCAATGTCCCGAGTGCACCTAAGGCCCTTTTAGCCAAGGAGCTAGAGCAGCTGGAGTGCAGGGTGCCATCTCCCAAGGCCACACAGAGCAGCAGGGCCCTAGGCCTGGCCTACAAAACCATGTTTCCTCTTAGGCCTCCAAGCCTGTGATGGGAAGGGTTGCTGTGAAAGTCTCTAAAATGCCCTAGGGACATTTCCGCCATTGTCTTGGCTATTAACATTTGGCTCCTCAGTAGTAGACTGAGTAAAGATCATCCTCAGCAATGCAGTGGGCCTCATCTAATCCAGTGAGGACCTGAATAGAACAAAAAGGTGAAGAAAGATAAATTTGCTCTCCCAGCTTCAGTTGGAACATCCATTTTCTCCTGCCCTTGGACATCAGCACTCCTGATTCTCGGGCCTTAGGACTTGGTCCTGGACTCACACCGTTGGCTACCCTAGTACTCAGGCCTTTGGGTTTGTACTGGAATCATACCACCAGCCTTTCTGAGCATACAGCTTAGCAGAGTATGGGACTTTTTTTTTTTTTTGAAACAGAGTCTCACTCTGTCTCCCAGGCTAGAGTGCAATGGCATGATCTTGGCTCACTGCAACCTCTGCCTCCTGGGTTCAAGTGATTCTCCTGCCTAAGCCTCCTGAATAGCTGAGATTACAGGCACCTGCCACCACACCTGGCTGATTTTTGTATTTTTAGTAGAGCCAGGGTTTCACCATCTTGGCCAGGCTGGTCTCAAACTCCTGACCTCGTGATTCACCCACCTCGGCCTCCCAAACTGCTGAGACTACAGACGTGAGCCCCACCATATCCAGCTGAGTGTGGGACTTCTTAGCTTTCATAATCATGTGAGCCAGTCCTTTGTACTAAATCTTTTTTCAATATATCAATATATGCACTATTAGTTCTGTTATGCTGAAGATCCCTGACCATTACACTTTCCACCTTTGTAGGTACATTCTGTTCCCCTTTTTAAGAAGGGGAGTATGCTTCCCCTTTTCTTAAATTTAGTTTGGTTTTATGAGGTCCTTTAACCAGCAAAATATAATGGAAGTGACGATTTGTCAGTGGGCACTAAAAAGACTGGCAGGTTCTGTTTTCACTCTCTTGGATTCCTGATGCATGAAGAATTCTAGGTAATTGTATGCAGAGATTATTTGGAATAGAACTGAGATGCTTCAGCTAATGGTCAGTCCAAGCTGATCTTCCAGGCGAATGCAAACATATGGGTGACCCTATTAGGCAACATGTGGAGCAGAAAACTTCTGAGCTGAGCCCAACCAAACCAAAGAAGTATAAAAAGAGTAAATCATTTTTGTTTTGGACCACTAAGTGTTGTGGTGGTTTGCTATTCAGCAATACGTAATAAAAATGTAAATTACTATATAGAATTGGGGTGCTGCCATAACAGAATTCTAAAGCACTGACTTTGTCTTTGGGGCTAGGTGGTGAGCACACGCTAGAAAACAGAGAGAACACTGATAGGGAAAGTTAGAAAAGCAGAGAGATGATGGCTGCTGGAGGTTTGGGAAAATGCGACCATTTTTAGGTAGTACTTCTCATTTTGTACCTTTTAAAATGTATTTCTTGAGTTTTCTCAGATGTAAGTTAGCTTTTAAACCTTCTTTCTTTGGTTCTCTTGGATTTCCTGACTATTTTAACATTAGTCAAAGTGAAGATATTTTAGTTTGCTATAATGAGTTTTAGAGATGATTTTTTAAAAAATTCCCTAACTGTCCTCCTTGTGTATGTTAGAATAGTTCTTTCACATTTAAAAAGGAAGTATGGCCAATCAACTTTTAAAATACGAGTTCTGTGATCTTACATCTCAATGCTCTAGAACATTTTTTTCACAGTATCTTTGGTTTAATGAAGCAACTAAATATGGGGCTACTTCTCTTAAGTAAATTTGCTTTTGATCCAACCTGAAAGTTTAGATATGACCATGTGACTATTGCTGGTCTTATTCCAGGACCATGATCGAATGTAATAATAAAAGAGCACTATTTAATGAAGGTGGCCAAGAAGTGTTAGTGAGGCTCACTCTGTCAATGGTTTATTATTTTCCTCTCAAGAGTGCTAGATTGCTGTTCCCTGAAGCCTTGTAGAACACTGGCTTTCAAATGCTTTAGGGCTTCTGATGAAAATAATTCAAAAATGTCCAATGTGGTTTATACTTATTTTTTATTTCTTATAAATAAGTGTTATCATTGGGTTTTCTCCAGGATCTATATTAAATATAGGTTGTATGGTGAAATGTAAGAGATAAAAGTGAAGTGGCCACCAACCAGTATGCTTTCAAGGTTGATGTGGAATGCCAAGCTCTGGAACTCTCATACATTGTTGCAGAAGTTCTGGCTTACTTTGTTGGTATGGGCAGCAACTGGCCACTTAGCTCTTCTGGCTCTCACCAGATCTCCACTTTCAAATTACCTGAGTCCTAAGTGCAAAACATGAGGAGCTCCATGGTAAATAATGCTAGCTCCTGCTGGTTCTCTACATCATCAAGGTTGGAGGCAATGAGAGACTGATGTGGATCCCAGTGTGTTCTCCTGGGTTCCAGTTTGTCTTGACTTTCACCTCCTTCACATCCAAATTTTCATTCCCTCTAATGACCTTTATTGATCTACAAAACTTAAGGCCCAGTATCAGATGTAACAGTCATATGTAAAGTCTTTGATAGAATTATTTACCAACTCCCACCATTGCCTAAAATCTAAAGTATAACTTTCCCTATAATGAATTCCTAGTTTCACATCACTCATAACGATTATGTGTCCTTCATAAAACTCTAATGTACAGGGAATACACCAGAATGATTAAAATAAGGACTCTAGGATTTAACTTTTTGAGTTTGTATTCAAGTGTATCCTCTTCCTGGTTGTGTGACCATGGACAATTTCCTTAGCTGTTCTGTGCCTCAGTTTTTGCATTTGGAAAATAAGAATGACAATATTACAACCACATTGCCTTGTTGAATCAGTTAAGACTTAAACTATAATTAGTAAATACTGGTAATCATTAGTATTTACTTCTTATATCATAAAATTATAAACTATTTTGTTTCAGGAAAGATATTAATTCATCATTACTGTCTTCATTCAGTTTAAATATTCCTGATATTTGTATAATGAAAATGTATCAAATCTTTTTTTCCAATCTCAATGAACATTGTTTCCTGTAGGCTCATATTCAACTATGTTTAAATTAGGTTCTGAGATAGAGAGATGTAACCATCCTACATGAAGTAGCTATTTAACCAAAAATCGGAAAATTTTTTTTCTCTAGCATTTAGCACAGTGCCTAGCACACAGTATCATTCAATGTGTTTTTGAATGAATTAATAATTGGTTGTATTTGAACTACGAAATAATTAGCATTCTTATAATTAATAATAATTCATACCCCCATTTATATTTAAGAATAATTGTGAAACCATTAGAAAAATCTTTTTCAAAAACAAAGTTTAATAATCATTACTCACTACCCTAAGAAATAAAGAGTTGCTGTGTTTGTTTACATCTTTATATTATTCTCTTCATTTATATCATACTTTATGCCTTTGAAAATTACTTGAGGCACACTTCAAATTCTGTAGCACAGCTATGAAAGGTACAGGGCTTGTTGAATATTGCATCTGAAATCAAGGGGGAGAATAATTATGTTCCTGTTTACAGCCCAAGTTATCTCCAGAAGCTCAGTTGACTAAATTATAGGTAAATTTCAAAAGCTACTTATGGAAGTAGCTACAAGTTATTCCAAGTCAACTGGTCAGCTGGACAAGATTCTAGTTCTTTTTTTTTTAGTCAGAAAACTGAATTTAATTACATACATGTATGAATATTGGAGAATAACATCTTATATACAATATAGTTTTTCTTTCTGTATAGAAAATTAATTTCTTATCAGTTTATTTTGGATACTCCATCAATTATTTTGAGGAACAGTTGTCCTGTAATAGGGCCATAATAATACCCTTCCTGACAGAGGAATTACAAGTGAGGGTAGGTCAATGATTTAATATATCACACAACAGAAGAAAAACTGAAGCTTAATGGATTAATGAGTAGATCACTGAGTTACTATAATGAGTGGCAGCTATCTTAATCTGCTTTGGTTGTTATAACAGAGACTAGGTAGTCTCTTTAAAAAAAATAATAACTTCTCACAGTTTAGAGGCTGGAACGTCCAAGATTAAGGTGCTGCTGTTGGATTCGGTATCTGCTGAGGGCTCGTTTCCTGGTTCATAGATAGCTGTCTTTTCCCTGTGTCCTCACGTAGCACAAGGGGAAAATGAGCTCCCTGGAAATCTCTTTTTAAAAGGCTACTGCTGCTACTCATGAAGGTTCTACCTTCATGAGCTAATCACTTCCCAAAGGGACTACCTCCAGATACCATGACACTGGAGATTAGGGTTCAACATATGTATTTGGAGGATGGCGGTTGGGACACAAAAGTTCAGTCTGTAGCATTTTGTCTCTACACCACCTTCTGCCCCCATTCAAGTTCTGCTCACATACCCTCAACTCAAAAGTCTAAGTCTCATCTGAATATCAGCTAAATTAGATATGGGGGAGACTCAACATACAATTCATTCTGAGGCAAATTATTCTCCATTTATGAACCTGTGAAATCAAACAAGTTATATGCTTCCAAAATACAATGGTGTGACAGGCATAGCAAAGACATTCTCATTCCAAAAGAGAAAAAAAAAAAAGGAAAAAAAGAAAGGAGAGACAGATCTGAAGAAAGTCTAAAACCCAATAGGGCACATTTCATTAGATCTTAAGGCTAAAGAACAATCCTTTTTGACTTAATGCTCTGCCCTACAATTCCAACCTTCTGGAACTGTTGGTGTGGAGGTCCCACCTACCAGAACCACTGAGGTCGGGATCCTGGTCCCATAGCTTAGCCAGGCAGGGGTTGGGCCCCCAAGACACTGGGCATTCTTATTGCCCTGACTTTGAGTGGCCCTGCCTTCCTAGCTTGGCTAAATGACCACAGAATTTCTCTCTGTCTGTGCCCCACCCCCATGGTTCCCCAGAAGATTGATTCCATCCCTCTACATCTAGGCGGAGGCAAACATGCTCCCAGGGCTCATGCCTTGCACACACAGGTGCAAGGCACCATAGGGACTCTGCCAAATTTGCTGACTATATACCCCAGAGAGGTAACCACTGTTGCTTATGCTATACCTGGACTCACCGAAGCTATACTTAGGGTGACCAAGAAGTGCAGCTCCTGAGTTCTGGGAGTGGATCCTGTGATGCAGCATGCACCTAGGTCCTGCAGTGCTGGTTGGCATCTCCTTTGCAATTTTCCATTGCTCCTAGCTTTTGTTGAGATGGCTAATCCATATTATTTTCCCCCATGTCTTTGATAACCCCAGAGGCTCCTGTTGAGATGGCTGACTATTCCCTTTATCAAATGACTGTTTGGCCACACCCTTAGTGTTCTCTCTCAAACCAGCTTTCTCATTCTTTACAATAATGATATGCTAAGAATTTTTCAAAGCTTTAAGTTCTACTTACTTTCTGGTTAACAATTCCATTTTATGTCATTTCTCTCCTCTTATATTATACTACGCACAGTATGAGAAGTCAGCGCATTCTATACAACAGTTTGCATAGAAATTTTCTCTGCCAAACATCCAATTTCAACACTTACAAGCTCTACCTCCCACAAAATGCTACAACAGAAAAACAATTCAGCCAAGATCTTTGCCACTTTATCACAAGGTTGACTTTTTTTATAGTTTGCAATAACATGTTCCTAATTTTTATTGAAGCCTTCATCAGAATGGTTGTTACCATCCACACTTCTACTAACATTCCACTCAAAGGCACTTTGGTATTCTCTAAGAAGATTGAGTCATTCTCCATAGCTCTTCTCTTTTCCTTCTTGGCATTCAACGGACTCACCCTTAACAGTCCATGTACCGCAATGTAGGCTTTTTTTTTTTTTATCATGCAATTCAAAACTCTTCCAGCTGCTACCACCTATTACCGAGTTTCAAAGCTGCCGCTACATTTTTGGTATTTATTACAGCAGCAATCCGATTTTCATCACTATTGTCCCACTGTTTATATAGGGGTTTTGCTTTAAGCCATGTTGATCTCTCCTATTTTTGGCTATGTAATTTGTGTATAATTAACCTACCTCTGATAACAATAGAAACCCTAGTGACTTAAGCCAGGTTCTCACTGATCACATTGTTTTATTCTGGTTTAAATATTTTCCCCTTTCCCCAATAAGATTGAGGCAAAAAACATGGCTGTGTTGAGTAGTTGAGAATACTTTCAGCATATTTGATTTTTTGGTTGGTTGGTTGTTTTTATTGTATTAGAAATGAAGCAAACCTGAGGATGTTTTCTCACCTGGAGAAGCAGAGGAGAGAGATTCACTTCCACATAGAGTTGCCACTCTGATGATGCTGCTGGCCTCTGATTCACTTTGTCTGGAGCCACTCTTCCTTTGCACTCTGTAAGATCAGGAAGAACACCTAATGGATGCTGGGCTTAATACTTAGGTGATGGGTTGATCTGTGCGGCAAACAACCATGGCATATGTTTACCTACGTAACAAACCTGCATATCCTACACATGTACCCTGGAACTTAAAAACAAAGTTGGGAAAATTTATTTTCCCATTTTAGTGTATTTGAAATATTTTGTAACTTTTATTGTCTTGCTTTTACCAGTTTGAGTGAATTTTTTTCTTACTAGCTATGGTAGGCAGAATAATAGCTCCTCAACAATATCATGCCCTAATTACTGGAAACTATAAATATTACCTTATAATGAAAAATGGGTCTTTGTAGATATAATTAATAATCGAGATAAAGAGATTTATCCTGGATTATCCAGGTGAGCCCTAAATGCAGTCACAAGTTTCCTATAAGAGAGAGGTATAGGGAGATTAAACAGACAGGTGAGGGGAAGGTAATGTGAAGACAGAGACTGAGATTGAATGATGCAGCCAGAAGCCAAGGATTGCAGCAGCCAATACAATCTGGAAAAAAGAAGGATGGATTCTCTCGTAGAGACTTCAGAGAAAGTGTGGCCTTACACACAATTTGATTATAGTCCAGTGATAAAAATTTCAGATGTATAGTCTGCAAAATAATGAAGCAATACATTTTGGTTTGTGGTAATTTGTTAGAAAATTAATTGTAATTGTTGTGGCAGCCACAGAAATACAATGCACTTATGATTAAAATATTTCTAATTAAAAGAGTCAATAATTAAACACAAGTCTATTTAATGCCAAGGACTTTGTTCCAAAATTAATCATTCATGGAAATAGGATACAGACAAAAGGGAAAAATGCTATTTAAAAACATTTTGCCTTGTATGTGTTTTGTGGTGTGTGTGTGTGTGTGTGCATGTGTTTTGTGGTGGTGATGTATTTGTGTGTGTGTATGTGTGTGTGTGGAGAGAGAGAGAGAGAGAGATTTCTCTTGAGAGAGGGAGAGATTGAAAGCAATTCTTAGAAATTCTCATGCTCCTGACAAAGAGATTTATCTATTTCTCATTTAAAAAAAGAGAAGGAATATCTGAGGTCAGTAAAGTTGTGTGCATAAGCCTCATGCTGAATTACCTTTATCAGTTAGATATTTTGATGTTGTACTGTGTCATTTTAAAATTTTAATATTTTGTTTTATTCCATCTCATCTTTGTTTCTGAATGCTCATACTATAATTCTCACTTTCTTCAAAATGTGTAGCTCTCCAGATCCCTAAGTTATCAAATGAGTTCAGTGTTTATTTACATCTCAATAGCTGTCTTTCCTGGACACCATTCTTGATGCTGCTGCATGTGCTTGAAGTGTACTTCATCTTCTGTAAAACAAGTGTGAAGTAGAATGTATTTACATAAAAAATAAAATAGAAATTCAGCACCACTCTACTTTATTAAAGTACCTGCACATAAACTGATTTTTGTTAAATTTTCATTAGCATTTTCAGTACATATTAATTATATTTTTATATAAAATTCGAATGGACATTTAATATACTAAATTTCAACACTACTTTTTTGTGAACTTTTGTCAATTTATATATCACATAAAAATACAGTGAAAATACATTAAAACACATCTTATTTAGATTTGAGGAAAACAAAATATCAAATTGTTTCACAAAATAAAAGTCCTTGTGGTTAAAAATAAGCTGTGCATCTTATAATCCTATTATTATTTTTTACAGAAATTAATATGTTCTTGTGTTTGTTCATAAATAATGATGATTTTACATTTAGTTTATAATTTCTAAAATGTGGCATGTGATCATTAAAGCCATACCCTCCTTTTTTGATTTCCTGTTTTTTGAATACTTCTTACATATCCTTCTGAAAACCATTGCAATTGCAGTGTAATTGCTGTTTTCTTCATCTAAACGATCTTCCCAAGACTCCCCTTTAATCTTCTCTTCACTTATGTAAAGTCATCTTACCAAAAAGATCTTCTCTGAACACTGTCTGCAATACTTTTCATTAATTCTTCTAACGTATTCTTCTCACGTATTCTTATCAGAACCATTGCAATCGCAATATAATTGCTGTTTTCTTCATCTAAACTATCTTCCCAAGACTCCCCTTTAATCTTCTCTTCACTTATGTAAAGTCATGATACCAAAAAGATCTTCTCTGAACACTGTCTGCAATACTTTTCGTTACATTCTATCTTCTTATTTCTATCCTGTTTTCTTTTCACTGACTATCCGACATAGTACATGTTTGTTATGTTGTTAAGTCTGTCTCCTTACCCGTCCCACACCCCTAACAACATTCTGTACTCTCCTGAACCATATACACTACTGTACAGAGCAAACAGTGACTGTTTTACATATTTATACCTCTAGAACTTAAAACATAACTGGGACAAATTGAGAACTCAATCATTTTTGTTGAATCAATAAAATAACGGCTGTCTGCTAAATGTATTAATATTTAATAAATATTGTAACATGAATTGGTGTACAAAGATCAAGATAATGAAGACTTATTTACTCACCACCTTCAATTTTATCATTTCTTCACATCAGTATTACAGTTGGTGTTGAAGCTTACTGGGTAGACTGCCCATGTAACTATATTTCTCCATGGTAATAAATACCATCATTAATTTTATGTTTATCTTTTTGTGTATGTTTTTGTAAGTTTAATACATATTTCTGCATCCTTACAATGCATAGTACTGTGTTGTATGTTTTTCACAATTATAGAAATAACATCCTGCTGCATATGACATTTTATTCTTCATTCAACTTTCCTTTTTCCTTCAACATTTTTAGACTATATCAGATTTTTTTGAAGGCAGTTGTATCAGTGTATAACACTACAAGTTCCTTTTGTTTCTTTTTGTTACTGTCAGATTTCAGTTTTGTCTATTTAGTAGATGTTAAGTGACAATTTATTGCTTTTTAAATAGATTTCCCTAAATACTGCTGAAATAAACATTCATGTTCTAATTGCATTGAACTTCTTCTTCTGAGATGTAGCTGAGAATCCACTATATGCTTGATCATTTTATTATTTTTTCCTTATTTATAAGTGGTCTTTAATATTCTGAGTAATATGTTTTTATTATAGTAATCACTGTAAAGAGTGCACTGAAATTGTGTTTTTCATTTAATTCTATTTATGGGATCTCTTATTATGCAGAATAATTTAATGTTTCTAAATATGTTCATAACTTTAAAAAACTCAGATTCTGCCTAGCAGGAGAATTGCTTGAAGCCAAGAGCTCAAGACCAGCCTAGGCAATATAACAAGACACCATCTCTACCAAAAATAAAAAATTAAATATTTAGTAGGGCATGGTGGTGCATGCCTGTAATCCCACCTACTGAGGAAGCTGAAGTGGGAGGATTGTTTGAGTAAGGTATAATTGCACCTCCTCACTTCAACCTGGGTAGCAGATCAAGACCTTTTCAAACAAAACAAATATTTAACAATTAAAAAAAATAAATTGGGATCCTTTATGATATGCTCAAAAGATTCTTGCCATCTTAAGAGTCAAAAAGCTATTCTCATGTACTTCTTCTAATATTCTTTTCTTTTCAGTTTCTTCATTAAAGTAGAATTTATAGTTAAGTTTAATGTGAAGTAGGGAAACTCACTTAGTTATTTAAAATGAGGACAACTAGTTGTCTCAGCATAATTAGTCAAAACTCATTCATTAATTTATAACAAGTAATTTTGCTTTGGAAATGAATCAAATTTCCATATATGTGTTAATTTGTTTCACTGTACTAATTTTATTCTAATAGTTGAAGTGTGTATCCCTCTTTTAGTATTGTTAGACTTAAATGCTATAACTTTATAGTATTCCTTGTGAGTCAAGTTCCACCATCTTTTTTTATTATTATTATACTTTAAGTTTTAGGGTACGTGTGCACAATGTGCAGGTTAGTTACATATGTATACATGTGCCATGTTGGTGTGCTGCACCCATCAACTCATCATTTAACATTAGGTATATCTCCTAATGCTATCCCTCCCCCCTCCCCCTACCCCACAACAGGCCCCAGTGTGTGATGTTCCCCTTCCTGTGTCCATGTGTTCTCATTGTTCGATTCCCACCTATGAGTGAGAACATGCAGTGTTTGGTTTTTTGTCCTTGCGATAGTTTACTGAGAATGATGGTTTCCAGATTCATCCATGTCCCTACAAAGGACATGAACTCATCATTTTTATGGCTGCATAGTATTCCATGGTGTATATGTGCCATATTTTATTAATCCAGTCTATCATTGTTGGACATTTGGCTTTGTTCCAAGTCTTTTCTATTGTGAATAGTGCCACATGGTACTGGTACCAAAACAGAGATATAGACCAATGGAACAGAACAGAGCCCTAAGAAATGATGCCACATATCTACAACCATCTGATCTTTGACAAACCTGACAAAAACAAGAAATGGGGAAAGGATTCCCTATTTAATAAATGGTGCTGGGAAAACTGGCTAGCCATATGTAGAAAGCTGAAACTGGTTCCCTTCCTTACACCTTATACAAAAATTAATTCAAGATGGATTAAAGACTTACATGTTACACCTAAAACCATAAAAACCCCAGAAGAAAACCTAGGCAATATCATTCAGGACATAGGCATGGGCAAGGACTTTATGTCTAAAACACCAAAAGCAATGGCAACAAAAGACAAAATTGATAAATGGGATCTAATTAAAATAAAGAGCTTCTGCACAGCAAAAGAAACTACCATCAGAGTGAACAGGCAACCTACAGAATGGGAGAAAATTTTTGCAATCTACTCATCTGACAAAGGGCTAATATCCAGAATCTACAATGAACTCAAACAAATCTACAAGAAAAAAACAAACAACCCCATCAACAAGTGGGCAAAGGATATGAACAGACACTTCTCAAAGGAAGACATTTATGCAGCCAAAAGACACATGAAAAAATGCTCATCATCACTGGCCATGAGAGAAATGCAAATCAAAACCACAATGAGATACCATCTCACACCAGTTAGAATGGTAATCATTAAAAAGTCAGGAAACAACAGATGCTGGAGAGGATGTGGGGAAATAGGAACACTTTTACACTGTTGGTGGGACTGTAAACTAGTTCAACCATTGTGGAAGACAGTGTGGCGATTCCTCAGGGATCTAGAACTAGAAATACCATTTGACCCAGCCATCCCATTACTGGGTATATACCCAAAGGATTATAGATCATGCTGCTATAAAGACACATGCACATGTATGTTTATTGTGGCACTATTCACAATAGCAAAGTTCCACCATCTTTTTCTCCACCTTAAAAAATTATCTTGATTATTTTGTTCCACCAGTCTTCCATGTGGCTTTTAAAAGTTGCATGAAATTCCATTTAATTTGAAATTATATTAAATGTTTGATTAACATGTTAAAACACTTTTTCTTTCTATAAGATACTATTTTTATTCATTTAAAAATTATTTGATAAAACAATATAATTTTTTCCATAGATTTTTTTGTCAAGTTTTATCTTTTATCTTTATACTAAGGTAGTGAAATCAAAAGTAAAGTTTCTGGATCTATACAGAATGTGTTCAAATCCTAATTCCAGCACTTTAACCTTAAAAACTTAAAATCACTGAACAATCGATACATCATTTGTAAAATCCTAGGAAATAGAAACAGCAAACATATTGACTTATATGGTTGCTGTGATGATTAAATGAGTTAATAAATGTAAATTGCTTAGATTATCACTTGCCAATATAAAAATAACTCAGTATTTATAAACAATTATTGGTCTTTGCTAAAATTTAGATGGTGTGATATTTGTAAATAATAATTTATTGTTAAGGATGTATATACAGCATGTATTATTTTGTGCTGATCTTTAAGCAAGTAATCATGAAAATTTATCTTGTTAATTATTAAACTCTACCTATAGATTCACTTAGATTTTCATGACAATATTCTATATCTAAACATATGGGCAATCCTGACTCTATCAATGTATATATTGCTAATTCATTCTATTCATTAATTTTTCTGGGAATATATTAGGTACAATTTCTAGTATAATATTTAATCCAGAATACAAAATATTTTTATTGACAATCGTCAACATGTTGTACCATAAATAGCTAGATTTATTCACTTCACAATTTATACATACTTCAAAACATCATGTTGTAAGTAAAAAATACATACAATTTTATCTGTCAATAAAAGAAAGAAAAGAAAACTAATTAGAACATTGGTAGGAAACACTTTTCCTCACTTCAATGCATATATGAATTAATATGTTTTATGCAGGTTTCAATAGATTCACTTATGTCCCTAGATTGCACTTGTATTAGTCCATTTTCATACTGCGATGAAGAAATACCAGAGGCTGGGTAATTTATAAAGAAAAAGAGGTTTAATGAGCTCACAGTTTCACGTGGCTAGGGAGGCCTCACAATCATGGTAGAAGGTGAAGGAAGAGCAAAGGCACATCTTACATGGCAACAGGCAAGACAGCGTGTTCAGGGGAACTGCCCTTTATAAAACCATCAGATCTTGTGGGACTTATTCACTATCACATGATTCAGTTACCTCCCACCAGCCCCCTTCCACAACATGTGAGGATTATGGGAGCTACAGTTCAGAATGAGATTTAGGTGGAGACACAGCCAAACCATATAATTCCACCACTGACCCCTTCCAAATCTCATGTTGTCATAATTCAAAACACAATTGTGCCCTTCCAACAGTCCCCTAAAATCTTAACTCATTTCAGCATTAATCAAAAGTCCAAGTTCAAAGTCTCATCTGAGACAAGGTAAGTCTCGTTAGCCTATGAGCCTGTAAAATAAAAAGCAAGTTCCTTCCTTCCTAGACACAAATGGGGGTACAGGCATTGGGTAAATACACCCATTCCAAATGACAGAAATTGGCAAAAACAAGGGTCTACAGATCACATGTGCGTTTGAAATCCAGTAGGGCAGCCATTCAACCTTATATTTCCAAAATGATCTTCTTTGACTCTGTGTCACTCATTCGGTCACACAAATGCAAGAGGTGGGCCCCCATGGCCTTGGGCATCTCCACCTCTGTTGCTTTGCAGAACACAGCCCCCCTCCTAGCTGCTTTCATGTGCTAGTGTTGAATGTCTGTGGCTTTTCCAGGCTCACAGTGGAAGTCGTCAGTGGATCTACCATTCTGGGATCTGGAGAATGGTGGTCCTTCTCACAGCTCCACTATGCAGTGACCCACATTTCCCTTCTGCATGGCCCTAGCAGAGGTTCTCCATGAGGGCTTCACTCCTGCAGCACACTTCTGCCTGGACATTCAGGGATTTCCATGCATCCTCTGAAATCTAGGCAGAGGTTCCCAAATCTAAATTCTTGACTTCTGTGCAACTGCTGGCCCAACACCATGTGTAAGCTGCCAAGGTTTGGGGCTTGCATCCTCTGAAGCAATAGCCTGAACTGTATATTAATGCTTTTCAGCCATGGCTGAGACACAGGCATCATGTCCTGAGACTGCACAAAACAGCAAGTGCTTGAGCCCTGCCCATGAAACCATTTTTCCCTCCTAGGTCTCCAGGCCTGTGATGGCTGTGATGGGAGGGGCTGCCTTGAAGACTTCTGAAATGTCCTGGAGACATTTTCCCCATTGTCTTGGCAATGAACATTTGGCTCCTTGTTATCTATGCAAATTTTTGTAAGTGGCTTGAATTTCTTCCCAGAAAATGGGTTTTTCTTATCTAATGCATTGCCAGGCTGCAAATTTTCCAAACTTTCATGCTCTACATCCCTTTTAGATATGAATTCCAAATCTAAACAATATCTTTGAGAATGAATGATACTGAATGCTTTCAAGAGCACCCTAGTTACCTCTTGAATGCTTTGCTGCTTAGAAATTTCTTCCACCAGATACCTTAAATTATCTCTCTCGAGTTCTAAGTTCCACAGATCTCTAGGGCAGGAGCAAAATGCTGCCAATCTCTTTAGTAAAGCATAGAAAGAATCACCTTTATTTCACATCCCAACAAGTTTCTCATTACCATTGGGTATTACCTCAGCCTAGACTTCATTGTCCATATCACTGTCACCATTTCAATCAAAGCCACTTGAGCCTCTATGAATTTCCAAACTTTCCCACATCTTCTATCATCTGAGACCTCCAAGTATCTAGGAAGTTCCAAACTTTCTCACTTTTTTCTATCTTCTTTTGAGCCCTTCAAACTGTTTCAACCTCTGTCTTTTGGCCAGGTCCAAAGTCGCTTCCACATTTTCATGTATCCTTATAAGCAGCACCCCAGTCTACCAGTACCAATTTATTGTATTAGTCAATTTTCATACTGCTATGAAGAAATATCCAAGACTGGATAATTTATAAAGAAAAAGAGGTTTAATGGACTCACAGTTTCACATGGCTGGGGAGGCCTCACTATCATGGCAGAAAGTGAGGGAGCAAAGGCACATCTTACATGGTGGCAGGCAAGAGACTGTGTGCAGGGGAACTGGCCTTTATGAAATCAGCAGATCTTGTGAGATTTATTCACTGTCATGAGGACAGCATGGGAAAAACACGCCCCCATAATTCAATTACCTCCCACTAGGTCCCTACATGACAGGCGGGGATTATGGGAGCTAAATTCAAGATGATATTTCAGCCGAGGACACAGCCAAACCATATCAGCACTTATAATTATGATTAAATTCAGTTTTGTCTAATGTTTTGACTTCACTTTCTGGTCTGTCATGTAAGGAGCATAGAAATCACCACTCTCACTCCATTCTAACACATATAAAGCTGAAAAAACTGAAAAATCAGCAACTATTTTTAGACTCATAAGTGATGTCACAGAGCAAACCCTTGACCCCAAAACTGGAGAGACAGGTAGGCAAATACAGAGAATCACAACTTAGTAGAGCAGAATCCCATGAGCAGAAACTTCTGTAGGAAACAGTGGCAAGGTAGAAAAACCCAAACTGTAATTGATGAATGGCTGGAGGCTCATTGTAGACAAGTCTGAAAGCAATAAATCTCAGAATGGCAGTAATATGAGGAGGTCCCTACACTTCTGTTTTACCTCTAGGAGCTTAACCAGGTTTCTCACAGTAAATTTTAGAGAAAAATCACCTTGTGTTCTGTCAAGGGGAAAGTAAAATAAACCATTTTGAAATACACTACAGCATTATGTTTTTCTTTAAAAAGTGTGCCCCAGAAACTATTTAACCAGAATCTAACATGCTGGAGTTTCATCAAAACCTAACTGCACTGGGGAAAGAGAAATATCCAACTCCACTGTAATCATCCTGTTTCACCTAATTGGGAGCAAATAGAAAAACAAAGAAAAAGAAAAGGAAAATGAGGCCTTCTATGTTGCCCAGTCTGGTCTTGAACTCCTGATCTCAAGTGATCCTGCTACTTTAGCCTCCAAAAGTGCTGGGATTAGAAGTGTGAGCCACAGTGACCAACCCTGAAAATTCCTATTTCAGTCTTAAGTTTTTTGTCATGCAAACCTCATAGAGCTAAATATTCTATATCATATCACATCTTGAACATCATTTACTCATTTTACATTTTTCATGTAGCTATTTAAAGAAATTATTCATTAACTTCACAAATATTTATTGAGTACATACTTTATGCTGAACTCTGTTTTATGTGCTTGGAATGAGTTAACAAGAATAATGTAAATCTCTGCCTCATGGGATTATAGGCTGTTAGGAAGGTTAGTGTTATAAATTTTTAAAAAGAAAAAATCAGAATAGGTTATTTTCCTGGGATGTTAACAGAAAAGCAGTACATTTGGATTATTTTGGGCAGTGCTATTGAAAGTGTGTTCCATAAACCAAAGCCAATTCCTGAATTATTTAATATATATTTGTAATAATTATCTGTCCCAACATTAAGGCTGTGTGGCAGATCATGCAAAAAGCAAATGGTTAAAGACAACAAGAAGTCAGTTGTATAGTCTGATGATCTGATCCGGGTTTGATTGATCTTATCTGAACTTGCTCATGAATTTGCTAGCAGTTTGATGTGGTTTGTCTGTGTCCCCACACAAATCTCATCTTGAATTGTAGTTCCCATAATCGCCACATGTTGTGGGAAGGACCCAGTGGGAGGTTATTGAATCAAGGGGCCGGTTACCCTGATGCTATTCTCATGATAGTGAGTGAGTTCTCACAAGATCTGATGCTTTCATAAGGGGCTTTTCCCCCTTTGCTCAGCACTTCTCTTTCCTGCTACCCTGTGAAGAAGGTGCCTTTCTTCCTCTTTGACTTCTGCCAGAGCTGTAAGTTTCTGGATGCCTTCCCAGCCATTCAGAACTATGAGTCAATTAAACCTCTTTTCTCTATAAATTACCTAGTCTCAGGTATTTCTTCATAGCAGCCTGGGAACAGACTAATACAGTAAATTGGTACTGCTAAAGTGGGATGCTGCTATAAGGATACCCAAAAATGTGGAAGTGACTTTGGACCTGGGTAACAGGGAGAGGTTGGAATATTTTGGAGAGCTCAGAAGAAGACAGGAAAGTGTGCAAAAATTTCAAACTTCCTAGACACTTGTTGTAAGGTTTTGACCAAAATACTGATAGGGATATGGACAATGAATCTAGACTGAGGTGGTGTCAGGTGGAGTAAAGGAACTTATTGGGGACTGAAATAAAGTTGATGCTTGCTATGCTTTAGCAAAGAGACTGGCAGCATTTTGCCCCTGCCCTGGAGATCTGTGGAACTTTGAACTTGAGAGAAATGATTTAGCGTATCTGATAAAAAAATTTCTAAGGGGAAAAGCACTCAAGATGAAGCAGGGCATAGATGTTCAGAAAATTTGCAGCCTGATGATGCAGTAGAAAAGAAAAACCCATTTTCTAGAGAGAAGTTCAAGCCAGCTACAGAAATATGCATGTATAATGAGGATGTGAATGTTAATTTCCAAAACAATGGGGTAAATGTCTCCAGAGCATGACAGAGAACTTTGTGGCTGCCCCTCCCATCACAAGCCTCGAGGCCTAGGAAGAAAAATTACTTTCCTGGGCCAGGGTCAGAGTACCTCTGCTTTGTGCAGCCTAAGAAGTTGGTGCCTTGTTTCCCAGCCATGGCTAAAAGGCACCAAGGTACTGCTCAGTCCATGGCTTCAGACAGTGCAAGCCCCAAGCCTTAGCAGCTTTCATGTGATGTTGAGCCTACAGGTACATGGCAGTCAAGAACTGAGGTTTAGGAACCACTGCCTAGATTTCAGGTGTTGTATGGAAATGTCTGGATGTCCAGGCAGGAGTTTGCTGCAGGGGCAGAGCACTCATATAGAACCTATGCTAGGGCAGTGCAGATGGGAAATGTGGGACACTGCTTAGTGGAGCTATGAGAACAGGGCCACCATCTTCCAGACCCCAGAATGATAGATCCACTGACAGCTTGCACCATGCACCTGGAAAAGTCATAGACACTGACATAGACACTGGACCTCAGCCCATGAAAGCAGCTACCATCGAGGCTATACCCTGTGAAGTCATGGAGTGGAGCTACCCAAAGCCATGGGAACCCATCTCTTGCATCAGCGTGACTAGAATGTGAGTCATGGAGCCCAAGGAAATTATTGCAGAGCTTTAGGATTTAATTACTGCCTCACTGGATTTTTGACTTGCATGGTGCCTGTAGCCCCTTTGTTTTGGCCAATTTCTCCCATTTGGAATGGGTATATCCACCCAATGCCTGTACCTCCATTGTATCTAGGAAGTAAATAACTTGCTTTTGATTTTACAGGCTTATAAGCAGACGGGACTTTCCTTGTCTCAGATAAGACTTTGGACTTGGACTTTTGGATTGATGCTGGAATGAGCTAATAATTTAGGAGACTGTTGGAAAGGCATGATTGTGTTTTGAAATGTGAGCACATGAGATCTGGGGAGAGACCAGGGGCAGAATGAGATGATTTGGCTGTGTCTCCACCCAAATCTCATCTTGAATTAGTCCCCATAATCCCCATGTTGTGGGAGGGACCTAGTAGGAGGTAATTAAATCATGGGGGGAGTTACCCCCATGCTATTCTAGTGATGGTGAATGGGTTCTCACAAGATCTATTGCTTTTATAAGGGGCTTTTTCCCCCTTTGCTCAGAACTTCTCCTTCCTGTCACCCTGTGAAGAAGGTTCCTTTCTTACCCTTTATCTTCCACCATGATTGCAAGTTTCTGGAGGCCTTCCCAGCCATGCAGAACTGTGAGTCAGTGAAACCTCTTTTCTTTATGAATTATCCAGTCTCAGGTATTTCTTCATAACAGTGTGAGAACAAACTATACACAGTTGGAAGGTTGGCTAGGGTCTGACAGATCTAAATCAACTGGGGAAACTAAACTCTTATAATGTTTTTTATATATCTGCAGGAGTCTACCACAGAGTGTTCTGATAACAAAGACAGAAGAACAAGAGAGAAAATTAAAATGTGAAAGTGCTTATAAAGCCTCTACTTGAATTATTTTACTCTTGTCCCCCATCAAATAAGTCACTTGTCCAAGCCCAGAGTTGATATGGGAAGGCATTACCAAATAGCATAAATAAAGTCATGGTAATCTAGTTAGGAAATCCACCTTTTAAATTAAAAATATAGGTCATAAAGTACCTGAAAGTAGGGTCACTACTAGGATGCTATCGTGTCAATGCAAGTTAATAAAGAGTAAATAATTCACATGAGCCACATGCTTAAAATAATTATAATATAGTGGTACTAATATTGATAGACATAAGAATCTAATTTAATTTCACATTTATTTATAAATATTTATTAAGTGATAAACATAGATGTACAAATTGACATATTTATTATAATAAGATAACATTTTTTGAAACAGAGCTAGCAAAATTTTTTTTTTCAGAAATAAAATTATGGTGCTATGATAGAGTCTTAGGATTTGGTGAGTGATGGAAAATTAATCCCAATGGGTGGTCTTAGAAAGAAAGTAGGAATTGAGAATTTCCTTGAGAAATAGTATATACTCCTTGAAAGTCATCTATTTAGTGCACATTAATGTTATATTGCTTAGAAAAAAAATCATATTTTTGTTCAGAGCAAAAACAAAAATAATAAAACAAAAAGTATTCCTGTCTGTACAGAAGGCAATGTGTGACATAGCCTTACCAAAGAGGTGGAAGTGGACCTCTACAGCTCTGGGGCTTCAAGTTAGCTATTGATTTTCAGTTCAAAAGGAACCAACAATTTCATTTACAACAGCACCAAACCCAGTTAGGATTAAATTTAACAAAAAACATGCCTAGATGAGTTCACGTAACTCCATAAATACAAAGGCTTGTTGGCCCTAACCTTTTTATTGGCTTTCAGTAAGATTACATATGCAACCATCCCTATTCCAGGGAGAATGATCTCCAGATCACCTAATATCAAAAGGAGCAGATATCAAGCACACAACAGGTGCTTTTAATGCCTGGCTCAACCATACTCCCATGGGAAAAAGCAGTGATACAAATTAAGCAATAAACTGAAGTTTGATTAAGCTATACTAAACTATCAAGGTTGGCAAATCTTCCGTCAGCCACTGTGGCCACATAATTTACCCAAACTAATAAAAACCAGAGTTAAGTGCTCTTCACTGAAAAATAGAAAAGTGTGCTAAGATAAATTGAATAATATCTAATTAAAAAGAGAGGCCTGCCAAGTCCATGTATTGGAAGAAAAAAATTAAGATATCCGTGCTCCCAACATTGACCTATAAACTCAATACCAATGTAATAAATCCCTATAATCCATTTATTTATACAGATTAATGTTTGTTATAACATGTATATGGTGCAGTAAATAACCTAGAATACCTAAATAATACTGAAAAAAGAAGAAATTCACAGTTTATAATTTTTGCAGAAAAATTTAATAAGCTAAACAGTACATTATTGGTGAAATACAGAAAAATAAATCAATGGATTATAACAGAATTTCCAGAAAATGTACACATATCCATGGTCAAATTATTTTTGGCAAATTTGCAAAGGAATGTCTTTTCAATTGAATAGCTGAAATAACTGAATACATATATAAAAATAATTAAATATATATAAAAACTGAATAAGTATGTGTGCGTATATATATATATATAAATGTACTGCCACATCTACCTTACATCAGTCCGATAAATTAATTCAAGATATATACAAATATATTGAAACTATAAGATTTCTAAAGGAAAATGTATGATAATATCTTCACAATTTGAAAAAGTCAAAAATTTTATGAAGACAAAACTATTAATATAATATATCACACATACATCTATACTATATAATTAACCTTTAGACTCTTCAGTAAAATAACATGGACAATAATATGAAGAATGGCAAAAAGACACTTCACAATGAAGATGTACAAATGGTCAATATGCACATGAAAATTTGTGCAGCCTCATTAGTCATCATAGAAATATGAATAAAAGCCACAATGGCACACTGTTACATTCACAAAAGAATGACTAAAATTACAAAAGCCAAAATAGTAAATGTTAGTGAGAATGTGGAAAACTGAAATTCATGTATTTCTGATTTGACTTAGGGAAGATTGATACTTTCATTAAAAGGACAGTAAATAGAAGGACCACAGAGTTGCCATTATGGGAAAATTTAGAGAACTATAAATTTATTTCCTAAAAGTGAGCACTTTCAAAACATAAGTTATAAAATTATCCAATAAATTTCCTAATAGTCAAAATAAAATTCTAAGTAGTAACAATGGCCCATAATGTCTTATGCATGTGAATCCCCTTTTAGTACCCTTATCTGCTATCACTCTCCTCTTCACTTGCTGTATTTGAGCCACACTGATCACTATTTTCTCACACACACTCATCTTTGTCCTGACTCAGGGCCTTTGAATGTGCTGTATTCTCTGCCTGTTTAATACTTTTTCCTCAGCTCTCCAAATGGCTCAGCCTCTGATTGGATTCATCTGTCTCTGTAATTCTCACTTTTAGAACAAGTACTTCTCTGACTTTTTTTACACTATTTTGTAGTTATTCTATATACATATGATCAGTGCTGCTATCTATTATAAAATTTGTTTTGTGTCGTCTGCTTCAACTCATTAGAATATGAGCTCTCTAAGAGATTTTGAGTCTTTGGTTCACTGTTGTATTCCTAATGACTAGAGTGATGCTTGGCACATAGTAGTCACTCAATAGGTGATTTTTGAACAAAGGGATGGGTGAAAATTTAGATGGCACATCTGAGAAAATTTGTCTTTTAAGACGTATGGTTAGGGTTCTGTAACTATAAATACCTTCTATTTTTAAAAATTATTTTACATCTTTGATTAAAAAAAGATTTGTCTTTCTATGTAATTAACAATATGGCAAAAGCAAATTATTATGAGGTGGCATATGGACCAATTGTTATATTTTAAAAATCATGAATATGCAGCTATCTTACAAGGTCCTTAGTTATTCTTAACAAGTGTTCACAAAACAGAGTTAAACTTTTCATGTCATAAATTTGGAATTTTATGGCGACCCAAACACTATTGAACATTAAGAGAATATTGAATACTCATATGAATGGCTGTAGCACTTAGAGCTATATCTACATGTATTCAGAATAGTCAAAACATCAATTACTACTGACTAAATTTAGGCTAATATTCCAGAGACAGACTACTTCTTAGAAAAAGTAGTTTACTCATAAGAAATTATGTTCTGTTTACACATGGAAATAACATTTCCACCTGTAGAACATTTTATAACATTAAGAACATAGCATTTGTAAAAATTATATACACACACACACACACAAACACGTAAATTTTTAGTTCTTAGTAGTAAAAGTTAGGTGATTTGTGCTGATAAAACAGTAAAGAACTTATTAAAAGGATACTGAGTAGCTGCAGAAATGTTGGGAGAAATGAAGCACCAGGCTCATAACTAAGCTTCAGTTACAATGTCCCAAATTCTGCTGCAGATTCAGCCTGACAAGAAACCTGGGAGGTGATGGATATGTCTATTGCCTTGATGGTGGTAGTAGTTTCGTGGATGTATACCTACTCCCAAACTCATAGAGATGTACACATTAAATATGTATAGCTCTTTACATGTCAACCATACTTCAACAAGATAGATTAAAGACAAACCACTAATGCTGCTATAGAAAAAAACCTCTCCTTCAGCCCCACTACTGGACCTCCGGGACTTCTGAAAACTTCTACCATTGCTAAAAGCTAGAGGCTTCCACTTCAACCTCTGTCAATTAAATGGCTTCTGATGGAAGCTTCCTTCTTTTTCAAGTTTACTTCAAATGCAAATCTTTGCACAGGTAAATACAAATGGTGGACTCAGGACTCCATTAGGTGACTTGCCTACCAAAAAGATTGGTGAACCATGTTTTCTAAATTTTGTTTTTGAGAGCAAAGGCGTATGGTTCTAGAAAATACTCCAAATAAAGCAAAAGTCATAGGAAGGTAGAAAACCACTATGATGGTATCCTTTTTTCTTTATTACAGCATCTGTACAAAGTCTTTAAAATATGTGTATGTTAGAATAAAGTACACATGCTATTCTGATAAAAGTTTATTAATAATAACCTCCTCAAATTTTTGGTAGTCATTATGGCATAGTCACTGTGCTGGAAACAAACTGTGAGATGGGAAATTGCATGCTCTCAGGAGATATATCCCAAGGAAATGAAGAAACCAGATCAGGCAGAAAGACACTCTAATCCATAGTGAGGTAACAGTTGAAGACTCCGATGATCTTACAGGGAACTCTGAAGATTGAGTTTGGAACCTTCAGAATGTTCCAAATTGAGCCCAGAAGACTGGGCCTTTGTATTCATTCATTATTAATAATTAGTAGCCAGCTGCTTTCTAAAAGATGACATACTTTTGTGCAAGGGAATTTCCAGCAGCAGAGAGCAGTATCCTGGAGAGACACAGCTGTGGGGCTTCAGCCAGGGGTAATCTGGACCAAGCCCCAGAATGTACTACACTCATTCTTAATAATAAATTTTCTTCATAAAAATAGATGATGCAAAAAATTTAAATCCCATATGTACAAAGGCTCAACTTATATTTAAAGAATCTCACCCCTCTACCTTTCCTTTACTGAAAAAATGTAATGGTAAGATTTTTGAGACCATGAAAATATATTTAGAATCCAAACAAATTGCCATGTTTCTATTTCTAAATTACAGTGGAGAATTAATATGCAGAAAATACATGGCTACATAGCAGAATCTCTGTGCAGCTAGTTAGGACAACACTAAAAGTGCAGCTAAGTGTCAATGAGAAGACCATCCAGTATATGTGAGCTCCAGTAGCACTTTTTCAGTAGCTCCCTGGCGCACAATAAGTATGCTTTCCAAATGAATGTTGTAGTGGATTTCCAGGTGCTGAAGCATTTTACTAACCTATCTCAAGGCAACACAGCATTCAACATGCTTGGCATTAGTGGTGCAACCAGGGATTATAGCCAGACCCTGTCCCACTATAGCTGTTCTGCAAGGAGCCCAGGAGAAAGCTGGTAATGCCTTATCTGTTGGTTGTTCTTTACTGTAGTATTGATGATGTAGTATACTTATTATAAAAATAAATCTTTGTGTTTACTAACATTTTATATCATAACCTCAGGCCATTACTTAATTTCAAATTATAAAATGCCATATGACTTTCATCTTTACTTTTAAAGACAGAAATATAGGTAATCGCCTTTTCACAGATATTTTGTATTTAATAGGTGTTGTACACAATAAATCAATTACAAGAGTAAAGAAAATCTCCTCTTAAAAACTGTGGTGATTTCATACCACACATAGATATATAATTTATTGAAAGTCTTATTTTCAATTTTTCAAATGATTATATCATTAAACTTAAGTGTTTCTAATCATTGCTTTGGAGTATTTATTTAATGTTTCCATATTGATATCTGTGAAATAATGGACAAAATGTTTAGAGAAAGACTTGCTAGGAAGAGGAGGTTGAGGCTTACCAAGATGAAACACAAATATAAAGAGTTTTCAGCCCTGCAACGTACTCTAATAAAGCACTCTGGAAGTGATTACCTATGGGAAACACACTCAGTCACCTCCTCACCTCATCTAGCTTTACCACTGTTCAAAATTTTACTGGAATAAGTATGTTTGAAGCTAGTATTTATCAGAGTGAAAGTAGATTTATTTCTAGCCATTCAGGGTCCTTTCTCAATACCTTTGAAGATAAAAATTTAGATGACAAAGGGCCTACTACGAGATGAGATATCAGAAAACATATAGGCTTCTGAAAGCAAAATGGGACAAGCCAAATATTTAAAGTAATGCTGAATGCTTTACAAGCATAAATAAGTCCATGAGGTATATACATATTTTCTTTCTGTTTAAAATCACCAGAGTGATACTGTCAGGTAAGATTGTAAAAAATAAACCTGGAACATGTAGAGTTTAGAAAAACATCTCATAAGGTTAAAAGCTTGTATTGAGATGGCAGGCATTCTATTCAATAACACTTATTACAGTTAAAGTGATTATTTTATTTTATATTTTATTTTTTACTAAAATAACCATTTTAAACCATTCAACTTTTGAAAAATAATATGATGTGATCCCTCATAATCTGTGCTTGCTTGCTCCTAACAGAATGCAACTAAAATAAAGCTATTAATCAAAGGGAAATAGTTTCAAGATTGACTTTATTTCTATTCCTGATACAACAATGCACCACTTAATGATAGGAATGCTTTGAGAAATGTGTCATTAGGCAACTTTGTCATTATGTGAATATTATGCAGTGTACTTGCACAAACCTAGGTGGATAGCCTACTACATCCCTGGGCTATGAGGTACGGTATGTTGCTCCTTATATTGTAGCCAGTGTAGGCTACAAACTTGTGCCTAATTTTACTGTACTGAACACTATAAGCAACTGTAACACAATGGTAAGTATTTATATACATAAACATTATCTAAGCATAGAAAAGGAACAGTAAGAATGTGGTATAGGTGACTTAAAAATGTTATGCCAACATAGTGCACTTATAAGGAATGGAATTTGCAGGACCGAAAGTTGCTCTGGGTGAGTCAGTGAGTGAGTGGTGAGTAAATGTGAAGGCTTAGGAGATCACTGTACACTACTGTAGACTATAAACATTGCACATTCAGGCCTTACAACATTTATTTTAAACTTTTATTTAATAATAAATTAACCTCACCTCACTGTGCTTTTCACTTAATAAACTTTTTTTTAACTTTTAGAGTCTTTTACAATACTGCTTAGCTTAAAACACAAACATTACACTGCTGTTTAAGAATATTTTATTTCATTATATTCTTATTCTATAAGATCCTTTCTATTTAATTTTTACATTTTGAAAATATTTTTGTTAAAACCAAAGACACAAACACACATAGCCCATGCCTACACACGATCAGGATCTTCACTATCACTGTCTTCCACATTGACATCTTGTTCCACTGGATGGTCTTCAGGGACAGTAAAATACATGGAGGTGTCCTCTTCTATGATGACAATGACTTCTGAAATACCTCAGGACCTAGTTGAATCTGTTTTACAATACACTTTTTTAAGTATAAGGAAAATATTGCAAAATAATAGTAAAAGGTACAGTAAATACATAAACTAATAATATAGTCATTTATCATTATCAGGTATTATGTAGTGCACACAATTCCATGATACAACTCACAGTGAGCAAGTAGGGTGGTTTACACCAGTGTCACCAGCATCAGAATAACAGTTTGGAAGCCATTTATTTATTTCTCTTGCCTAATTGCTCTAGCTAGAATTTCCAATACTATATTGAATTAAAGAGGTGAAAATGGGCAACCTTGTCTTGTTCAAGATCTTAGAGGAAAAACTTTAAACTTATCCTTGTTTGGTATGATGTTAGCTGTGGGTTTGTCATTTGGTGTTGTGTTCATTGTATTGTGTTTATACACAAATTTTTGATCATTTTAATCTTGAATTGATATTGATTTTACTGAATGCTTTTAAAGCATCTATTGAAAAATTGTATGTTTTTCCCTTGATTTTGCATTTATTGTTTTATAAATATTGAACCATTATTTCATCCCTGGAATAAATCCCACTTGATCAGGGTAAATAATATTTTAATTTGCCATTGAATTAGGTTCACTAGTATTTTGTTGAGGACTTTTGCACTTATATACGTTCATCAGGAATATTGACCTGTGGTTTTCTTTTTCTGTTGTCCCTTGTCTGGTTTTGGTATAAGAATAATTTGGCCTTCTAAATTAGAAAAGGAATATTCATTCCTTTTCAAATTTTTGGAATAGTTTGAAGAAGAATTGATATTAGTTTGTCAAATGTGTAGTCAAATTCAGCAGAGAAGCTATAAGGTCCTGGGCTTTTCTTTGATAAGAAACTTTTCAATACTACTTCAATCTCACTGCTTATTATTAGTCTGCTTAGGTTTTCTATTTTTTTATGAATCAATCTTGATAGGTTGTATGTGCCCAGAAATTTGTCTGTTTCTTCTAGCACTTTTAATTCATTCACACATAGTTATTCATAATAGTCTCTTCAGATCCTTTGTATTTTTGTGACTATCAGTTTTAATGTCTCATTTTTCCTCCCTGAGTTTATTTATTTCAGTCTTCTCTCATTTTTTCTTAGGCTAGTTATGGCTTGACAATTTTATCTTTTCACAAACCAACTCTGTTTTGCTGATCTTTTATATTGTTCAATTAGTCTACATTTTGTTTGTTTCTGCTCTGGTCTTTATTATTTCTTTCCTTCTACTGATTTTAGGCTTAGTTTGTTCTTATTTTTCTTGTTCCTTGAGGTATAATATTAGGTTGTTTATTTAAGATTTTTGTAATTTTTGCTGTAGGAATTTATGACTTTAAGCTATTGCTATATCTCACAGCTTTGGGTATGTTGTGTTTCCATTTTCATTTGTCTCAGGAAATTTTTTAATTTTCTTTTTAATTTTCCATTCACCTAAGGTTGTTTCTGACCTTGTCATTTAATTTTCAAGTTTTTGTACAGTTTCCAATGTTCCTTCTATTATTTATTTCTAGTTTTATTTCATTGTGGTGAGAAAATATAATATAACTTACATTTTTAAAAAATTGTTAAGACTTGCTTTGTGGTCTAACATGTGGTCTATCCTGGAAAATATTTCACGTGTATTCTGCTGCTGTTGGATCAAATTTTTAATAAATGTCTATTAGAGCCATTTAGTTTGGAGCACAATTTAACTCCCAAGTTTATTTATTGATTTTCAGTCTGGAAGACCTGTCTATTGTTGAAAGTGGGGTGTTGAATTCTCCTATTATTATTGTATTGCAGTTGCTCTCCTTTAAGTCTATTAATGTCTATTAATATTTTCTTTATACATTTAAGTGCTCTGTTATTGGCTGCATACATATTTATAATTGTTATATCCCCCTGCTATAGTGACCACTTTATTATTATATGATAGCTTTCTTTGTCCTTTTTAAAATCATTTTTGATTTAAAGTTTATTTTACCTGATGTTAAGAATAGCTACTCCTGCTCTTTTTTGGCTTACTTTTATGTGGAGTATTTATACTATGCTTTCACTTTTAGTGTATACATGTCTTTTTAGGTGAAGTCAGTTTCTCCTAGGCAGAATTTAATTGGAATGTGATTTTTGTATTCCATTTATCCACTCTGTCTTTTAATTGGAGAATTTAATCCATTTACATGCAAGATAATTTTTGATAGGTAAGAACTTACTAATGCCATTTTCTTATCTGTTTTGTGGTTGTTTTGTAAGTCCTTTCTTCCTGCCTTACTGTTTTTCTTTGTGGTTATGTGATTTTCTCCAGTAGTATGTTTTGATTCTTTGCTTTTTCACTTGTATGTATTATAGCTGCCTGCCACTGAAATTTTTGGGGGCGCGAGGACACTGTAGTTGTTCAATCAAGATTCAGGGTAGGACTTCGATCTGTCCCACCAGAGAAGCAAATTCTCACCTGGTGCCCGGTTAAGTCTAGAAGCTCCATCTATTGCACCAGACTGTAATCAGGGGCCACAGCATTCTGACTACCCTTGTGTTTTTCTGTGACAGGACTGTTAATGGTTTTCAAGGCAAAGTTTCATGCACACATCCCTTTTCTCCTCCCAAGCAGAGAGTGTGTCTGTGCTGATTGGGGTTCAGGGAGGTGTGGTGCAGGCAACATGAAATTTTCTGTTCTCATCAATGCATCTTTTCTTGTTATTAGGCTGTAACCAGGTACTGTGGTCACTCTCCTTGTTCCCTTAGCTCTTGTGAAGGTATTTTGTTGTGTGAATGGCTGTTCAAATTCACATTTCTTTTGGGGGATGATGACTGGATGATCCTAGTCTGCCATCTTGCTCTGCCTCCAAATGGAATCACTTCATTTTATGTTTTATACATCTGTTACAGGAGATTGCATTGTGGTAACCATGAGGCTTATGATAAAATGTCTATTCTAACAGGCTATTTTAAGCTGTTAACAACTTAACTTTTTAAGCAGTGAACAACTTAACTTTGATCACATAAAAATAACCTACACTTTTACCTTCCCTCTCATTTTTTTTCTGATTTCCATGTCAAAATTACATTTTTGCAATTTATATTCTTTAACAAATTATTGTAGCTACAGCAGTTCTAAATACTTTTGTGTTTTAGCCCTCATAGTAGAGAAAAAATTGCTTTACACACCACAATTATAGTACTAGAGTATTTTTGAAAATGACTATGTATTACGTATGTTGTTGAGCTTTACACTTTCATAGGTTTTATTTCATTAATTAGTGCCCTATTATTTGAGCTTAATGAACCCTTATAGCAATAATTGTAAGGCAGGCCTAGTGGTGATGAACTTCCTTAGCTTTTGTTTGTCCATGAAACTTCTTATTTCTCCTTCAGAAAGGAGAAATAAGCTTTTCCAAGTAAAGTATTCGATAGTTTTGTTTGTTTGTTTTTCAGCACTTTGAATATAACATCCTTCTCTCCTGGCCTGTAGGGTTTCTGCTGAGACATTTTCTGCTGGTCATTGGATTATCTTGTATATGATGTTTCTTATCTTGTGAAGCTTTCAGAATTTTTTTTGTCTTTAATTCTTGATAGGTTGATTATGATATGTCTTGAACAAACTCTTCTTTAAGTTGAATTTGATTGGAGACCCAGGATGTTGGCATCTTTCACCAGATTTGGAACATTTTCAGCCATTATTTCATTAAATATGCTAATTGCCCTTGTTCTTCTCCTTATGAAACTCCTGTTATAAGAAAGTCTGTTCTTTTAATGGTGTACCATAATTCCCACAGGCTTTCTTTTCTCTCTTTAAGTCTTTTTCATTTTTGCTCTTCTGACTGAATAATTCCAAATGTTTTGTCCTTGAGTCCACTGATGCCTTTTTCTACTTAATTGTGTCTGTTATTGAAGCCTTCTATTACATTTTCAGTTCAGTCATTGTACTTTTCATCTGTAGGATGTCATTTGGGGTTTTTTATTATTTCTATTTCTTTGTCAAAATTCTCATTTATTACTGTACTGTTTTCCAAGTTTCATTTAATATTTTATCTTTATTTTGTTGTAGCTTGCTAAACTTTAAGAAGATTGTTTTATGAATTCTTTATCAGTCCTTTCACAGATCTC
Organism: Homo sapiens; assembly: GCF_000001405.40. Lineage (NCBI taxonomy): Eukaryota > Metazoa > Chordata > Mammalia > Primates > Hominidae > Homo > Homo sapiens. Next base: position 190,899,707 of record NC_000001.11, on the reverse strand, counting down.
TACTTCTTTGAGGTCTATCATTAAGGATTCATTGTTTTCATACAGTATTGTCATAATTTTCTGCTTCTTCATTGCTTGTGTTCTTGTGTTGGTGTCTGTGCATTTGGGGATACAACCACTGCTTCTGGACTTTACATGTGTTTTTTGGCAGGGGTAGAACTTCACTATTTAGTCTAGCCTGGCTTTCTGGTTAGGACAGCTGATACCAACCACAGGCAGGCAGTTTTCTGTCAGGTTCTTTAGTTGGGTTGGGCCACTGCCTTTGCTCTCATGTCCAGGGGAGTTGATGGCTGGGCACTGTGATCATCTCTAGTCAGACAGTGTTGCAGGCTATATCCCCTTCCTGGTAGTAAAGCTATTTTAATTCTTCAGTTAGGCTAGGCTGGGTGCTAGGCTCTGAGGTTAGGTGGAATTGCTGCTTGAGATGGGTGGGTCCAGAGGCTATATTCCATAGAAATGCATTATTGAGGATTGCCTCTCTTCTTAGGCAAAGCTTTGGGGTGGACTTTAAGGCTGGGCAGGGTGGCTTCTTTGTTAGGGATTCAAGCCAATGTAGCTTCCCACGAATTTCTGGGTGTGACCAGAGTGGCTTTGTGGATAGGCTGTGCTATTGGTGCATCTCTGATTGGACACTACTGCCACCAGGAACACTGAGCTACCACCAAGATCCATGTGCTGGTCCCTGTGAGCCCCACCCCTTTCTTTGTTTCTACCTGACTCCAGGCAGTCTAGTTTTACAGTTTCTACCAGTGTTCCCTGTGAAGTGAAGCAGTATTGGGCCTCTTAAGAAGTGCCCCAAAGTGCTGGGAAAGCTGAATGTACCATATTGGGTTCTTTTTTCTAATGATGGAAACTGTGATCTTAGGGGAATTCTCTCCGTGTGGTGCATTGTTGACGCAGAAGTGGAGCAATGAAGTGGAGCAATGGGCTCAAACTGAGATAATTTCTCTTACTCTTTTAATGCACTGTTTTGGGTTCTGTGGTCCACGTGCGTGACTCAGTTTCATTCCCAAGTTTTAGAATTTTCACAAAGGTACTTTTATCTGTTAAGAGTTACTACTTGGACTTTCTGTGGTGAACACTGCAGCCTGCGACCTCCTATTCTGCCATTTTGATGATGTCCAAAGCTGAGATCTTATTAGACTTTCTTCTAAAAATACCCTGAATTGTTCTATAATAAAAGTTATAAAATCTAAGAATAATAATTTTAAATCTTCTTGTGTGCCCTTTGATTCTCTACCCCATCCTGCTGAATACAAGATTCTGTGAAGATAGAAATGTCTATAAATTTGTCCTCTCCAATATAATAGCCACTAGCCATATTTCACTATTAAGCAATTGAAATGGAGATAGTGTGATTAAGTAACTCAAGTTTTAATTAAATTTAATGTTAATTAATTTATGTTTATATTTAATAGCCAATTGTGGCTGGTCATTACCTAAGTTGCCTGGTAAGGGCACAGTGTGAGTTACATCATCCATGTAGCCTAACCTGAGTCACTTCACATATGGAAACTAGGTATTGATTATAAAATATATTTAGAAAGAGAAAGATAGTGAATGTAACCTGTTTTACTTTGTTTTCATAATGAGTACCATAAACTGCGTAGTTTAAACAACAGAAATATATTTGCTTATAGTTCTGGAGTCTATAAGTTCAAATTAAACCATGGCAGGTTTGGTTTTATTCTGAGGTCTCTCTTATTGCCTTTCAGACGGCCCTATGTCTTCACATTGTCCTTCCTCTGTGGTAATTGTGTCCTAGTCAACTTGCCTTATAAAGACATCAGTAACCTTAGAATAGAGCCCACCCTAATGATGTCATTTTACATTAATTACCACTTTAAAGGTCCTATCTCCAAATACAGTCACATACTGAGGTACTTGTGTTAAGGCTTCAACATAAAAATAGTGAGGGGGCACAATTCAGCTCATTAAACAACCTGCATCACATAGCTATTGCCGGATAGCAAGGCACCACAAAAAAACAAGCACTTATCAGGCAAGTATCTACAGTTTGCTTTATTGAGGATGGGTTTAGCTTGACATTTCTGACTGCGAATATGTAGGCACTTCTGTGTTTGGCTGCAGAAGTTGGAATGAGTTTGGTTCCAGATTTCTGTCACCCTCGTCTTGGGGCAATGGGTCTAGAAGAAAAATACTCTTCTGGCTGTGGAATATACATGAGAAGGGTAGTGGGAAAACAGGAGGACTCCTCAAGCTTAAGATGAACTGGCACATTGTCACTTCCATCCAATTGTCATTGGCCAAAGCAAGTCACATGACATAGCCCCAAAACTAGGGGAAGTGTACTTCGTCTATGATGGAGAGACAGGTTAAAGAATTGGAAGCACTATTGCAACTTAACCAAAAGCCTTTATATTTTGTGAATCTTGTGTGGTCAAAGACAAAAAAGCTGAATTCCATCATTAAATAAAAAGACAAGATGATATGCATAAAGAAAGGCAAAATACAAAGATCACGGTGGAAATAAATATGGAGGGAAATTAAGCAGGCACTAGGACAATTGCTGTGAAGGGATTCACACAGCAGAGATGCAAGTCAGACATTTACATATTCAAGAGGGATTCGTATAATTAATGATACTGGATTTGGGGAGGATGGGAAAGCACTTGATTAGGAGCTATCTGTGGGTTCTGGTTCAGTTTTATCACTGATACAAACAAGAAATAATTCAATGCTGCTTTATTGACCGATTGTTTTAGATGATTTCATTTTAGATCATTTTACAAAATTAAAAACACAGAGGGCATTTTTACTTTACACTGGAGAAAAGTGGCCATGATTAAGATCTTTTGGAATCATGCATATCCCTAATTTTCATGAATTAGGTGGCATAGAATATTTACATAATACTATATTTATGATGCTTCTTTATGCCTGTGTTTGTTTTTCACTAATTATGTAAGATCTCCGAAAACCAGCTAAATCCCAATGTGCTGCAGGCTGCATTCCAAAATTTTATTTTTATGTGTAAGGTGCACAATGGGAAAGCCTGATCCTGAGGAAAGTATTTAATTCAGTTGTTACTGAATCAGAGAACACTATTCCTCCAAGTCTCTCTGTCTTTACTATTGCTGAAATCTCATTATCATTGTCTCAAAATCCAGTGTTATTTATACTTTATTTGTATGCAGAAATATATTAGTATTTATTAGAGCCAAAAACAACTTCGAGAACAAAGTGGACTAAGTTTTTAAGATCAATTTTTTTCTTTTCCAAGACAATTTTTTGCATGTTTTAAGAAAAGTTATGGGCAATATCTAAAGTATCCTAATTTTACTTAGATTACCAGTAATTTTAGTACTACTAATTTTACTACTAATTTTAGTAGACTACCAGTCAGTTGATAGGGACACTTTAAATTGGAAGGATGCTTTGAAATATATTGTAAAGCGGCAGTGGCAGCAAGAGCTACACATAAAAAGGCACTTATGAACAATTAAACATTATAAGCTAACAGGAGCCATGAAGCAAAAAGACTACAGAGAATGGAAGTAATAGGTGATTGCAAAAGAACAAAAAGATGAGATAGAGCTAGAGACAGAGAGAGAGAGAGAGACAGACAGAGACAGAGAGAGAGAGAGAGAGAGAGAAAGGTTGAGATAGGGAATTTAAGACATCATGATGATAGTAGATTAACAATATCTAAGATAATAACAATATCTAAGATAATAACAATAACTAAGAAGACAACAAAATAGAGACTGAAGCTAAGTTCCTATAATTTTTCCAATACTTGAACTGTTGCAGTTGTTGAAAGAGGTGACTGAATGACTATTCCAGGGTATGTGAGAAATTTAAGATACCTTTCTTTTAATAAAACTCATTGTTTTAAGTAGTCTGAGTGGATATAACTCAAAGAGTTCACAGAATCATGACAAAGGATCTGCCTTACTTAGAGGGCATAAGGTCTGTATCTCCGCTTTGGGAAGTGTCAGGAAAGCATGGAAATGAATTAAATAATTGAAATCTATAAGGGTTTAAAAAACCATTATATCAGCACCATCTGTGATATAGGGATTATTACTTGCACTTTAAAAGTGAGTTTCTCTCATATTCATTGTTATGACTAGCATAAAAAATAAATAACAAGTGTTGGTGAGGATGTGGAATAATGTGAAAGCTTGTATACAGTTAGTGGGAATGTGAAATGATAAACCCGCTATGGAAAATAGTATAGCATTTCCTGAAAAAATCAAAGTAGGATCATTATATGTCCCAACAATTTAACTTCTGGATATGTACCCAAAAGAATTAAAAGCAGGGACTTAAGGAGATATTTGAATGCCATTATATGTGATAACATTATTCACAAGAGCCAATTCACAAGCAACTCAAATGTGCACCAAGAGATGAATGCATAAACAAAACAGGCTGTACATACAAAATAGAATATCATTCAATTTTTAAAAAAATTATGACACATGTTACAAATTGGATGAACTTTAAGGACATGTCTTAAGTGAAATAAGGCAATCACAAAAGGACAAATACAGTATGATTCTATTTACATGAGATAACTGGAGTCAAAGTAATAGAGACAGAAAAGTAGAATGCTGGTTTCCAGAGGCAAGGGGAAGGAGGAAATGAAGAGCTATTGTTAATGAGTATGGAGTTTCAGTTTTTCAAGAAGTTCTGGAGATGGATGGTGATGATAGTTGCACAACTATGTAAACGAACTTAATGTCACTGAGCTGTACACTTAAAATGGTTAAGATGTATTTTATATGTATTTTACTGCAATATTTTTAAAAAGTGAGCTTCAGCCAGGCGCGGTGGTGCATGCCTGTAATCCCAGCACTTTGGGAGGCCAAGGCGGGTGAATCACCAGAAGTCAGGAGTTCGAGACCAGCCTGACCAACACAGGGAAACCCTGTCTCTACTAAAAATACAAAAATTAGCTGGGTGTGGTGGCGGGTGCCTGTAATGCCACCTACTTGGAAGGCTAAGGTGAGAGAATTGCTTGAACCCGTGAGTCAGAGGTTGCAGTGAGCCTAGATCAGGCCATTGCACTCCAACCTGGGCAACAAGAGTGAAACTCTGTCTCAAAACAAATTAAAATAAAGTGAGTTTCAGAGTGGTTAAATAAAGTTCTTGAGCTTATAGAACTTTGAAATGCTACAGTGTGGCTACACATCCACTTTCTCTACTTGTAATTACTAGGTTCTTACCAAATCTTAATAAGTATGCAGGCCCCGCAGTGAAGAATAACTGTGCTGTGAAACTGAATGATACTTTATTAGATGGAATGATACTGTATTATCCATGATTATAAGTTATTTTGAAATGATAAAATGTTAAATGGCTTTAAGAACAGTCAAAGCAAATTTAGGTACAGCAACATTTACCAACACAGAGACTCATCTCATTATCTATTTTTGGGCAATTTTCTTTTTAGTGTAAATAATGTGCAGATGTTAAGGATCATCACCTACCTATAGTCTGCAAATCCAGATGAAAGGATAGAGTTGTCACTTTGATCTTAACAGAAGGCAGAAATGTCATGCTGTTCAGTGTCCAACCCCTCACTGGTTAAAATGTCACTTTGTCTAGGGAGGCAATCTATTTACTGCCTCTCTAATCCACATATTATATGAAACCTAAAATTTTCCTTGAGCTGATATAATTAAATGCTTACTTAGAAATACATCATATACATTTATGATGCTAATAATCATTTTCTTTTTAATGTGTACCTGAAGCATTTAAAAGAACAGTCATTTCTTTAAAAATCCTACAAGCATTTTCAGGTTTTTCACTATTTTTAAAATGTTGGCATTTTCATATATATTTTTTTTTCCCCAAGAAGGAGATGAAAAAGCATATGTTTGGGTGCCTTACTTAGTAGACAGATAAATCTAATTAGCATTGAATTAGACTACAATATCAGGGTTAGCCATATGTGTGTTTCAATTTAATTGGAGAAAAATACAGAGTTCATTCATCAAATTTGCTATGCAATGTATGCAAAAGTTTGCAAATGGCAAAGCCTTGCAAATACCAATACCAGAAATCATGGGTCTACCCTCACACCCAGAAATTGCTTTTATTCAACATATTTTTCCCTAGTTCCAGTGTCCATAACTTATCGTGAATTGTATTTAGTGACACAGGGCTACTAACATTTTGAACATGATTAACTTAATAAACAAGACATTTTGAATGTAATTTTAATGTATGATTTATAGAGAAAGATACAGATACACCAGCAAATTAATCTGTATTTCTTCATTAGTTTAACAAGACTTTTACAAATGGACTTAATATGCGGTGTTGGGGTCTTAAGGAGAATAAGAAAGATGTTCTTTGTTGTTTCTATATGTTACTCCTCCTTCCCTCTCCACTACCCTCTGACTTTGCTCAGTGTATGACCCCAGGCATGAATCATGATTTTTTTAAACTAACCATGACACTCTTATCCCTTCTGTCATATTGGTAACATTCCCAACCTCTTCTGCAGCCATAGATGTCCAATTGAGCATGCTCTAACCAATGCAGTGTAAAAGCTTCAATGCTTGTGTGCCTCAGGGGATGAAAAATGCTTCCTAAAAAAAATGTGAGAGGCAATCAGAGAATGGAAAAGCTCTTACTCATGTGCCTCTTTTCCTGCTTGAGACGTTTGATTGTGAGAAGTTGAAGTTATTCTATAACTTTCATGAGACTGTATTTCCTGGACATTGGAATCCAAAGCAAGGGACTACAGAGTAATTCGACAGAGCATACTTGAGAATCAAATAAAAAACGTGGCATGGGCCGGGCGCGGTGGCTCACGCCTGTAATCCCAGCACTTTGGGAGGCCGAGGCGGGTGGATCATGAGGTCAGGAGATCGAGACCATCCTGGCTAACAAGGTGAAACCCCGTCTCTACTAAAAATACAAAAAATTAGCTGGGCACGGTGGCGGGCGCCTGTAGTCCCAGCTACTCAGGAGGCTGAGGCAGGAGAATGGCGTGAACCCAGGAAGCGGAGCTTGCAGTGAGCCAAGATTGCGCCACTGCAGTCCGCAGTCCGGCCTGGGCGACAGAGCGAGACTCCGTCTCAAAAAAAAAAAAAAACGTGGCATGTAACACCAGCCAAGATTTGAATTTGAACAGGTTATTTTACCTGATTTTGTCATCTGTAATTAAATAAACCTAAAAGAGTGAATACTTTGAGAACAAATCAAATAGATGTGCCACTATATGTTAAAAAATACAAAGATTACTAGTTAACAGTTCATCATATGGAATTTAACGCAAATATCTTGTGGCTACTTTAATTTGAAATATGTATAATTTGAACTGGATATATTTGTATGAAAAATATACAATGTACTTTCAGAAGACGCACTACACTTGTTCAAACATTATAAACACTATATGTGTGTGTGTATATATATATATTTGTTTCTAAATGTATGAGAAAGTTTAAAGAACATCGTAACAAAATAAACAAAAAAGCTTAAATGAGTCAAAATGCATTAATGACCAGAGTTACAATTTCACTGCAAACTATCTTTAGCTTTTCAGTTTATTAATGATAGAATATTAAGCATTATTTTCAGTTTAACTTTATTTAGATATGATAACCCTAAGCATGAAAAGATCTGCCTTCCTCTAACCTAAAGAAACCTCACAGTTTTTTGTTTGTTTGTTCATTTTGTAATATTATCCTGAGAAAGAAAAATAAAAACTCAGGACCCCAATTCACTACTCCAAAAAGAAAAAAAAATAGCTGAAAACTGAATCTTACAAGAAACTGCAACTTTCCTTTTGTTCCTAAGCAGATACCTACAGATAAAATGTTCCGTATCTCCACAGGTAGCTACTCTCTGTTCATCTTATCTTATGTAAAGTGCTGATTTACTGAGTGAGCATAAGCTGACTATCTCCTTACCTGCTCCTTTGATCTTGAAACTCCTGGATTACCATACCCTCACTCTTTTCCCTCCTGTCCATTTTTCCCTTTTAAATATTGAAGCCCTCAAGTTCATCTTTAGAGAAAGGCACAGACCACAGACTGTTTCTGTGATTCTTTTTTTTTTTTTTTTCCTTCTGGACATGCCCTTAACCTTGGCAAAATAAATTTCTAAATTGATTGAGACTTGTCTCAGATACTTTTTGGCTTACAATCCTAATGTAACATGTCCTGATCCATGGTTCTTTCTACAGTGTAGTCATTTGTTATTTGAACAATATGATTCTAAAGAGCAATCTATTTTTTTTCCCTAGAATCTCTTGATTATTTCCACAACAATATTTGCCTTTATTGAGTTAAGCTTGATATTTTTTGAGGGTCATGTCTCATTTAACTTTGTCCTATGTTTGTACTGTATCTTTTAATAGTATTGAAAAATTAAATTGCCTTTATATAATGGATAATTTTCTTTACTATGTGAAGTGTGTTGAATAAGATGATTCAGATTTTAAAAATAAAACAACAAGAAAACAGCTACTAAATTATTGTTCTAATAGAAAATTTGCAAAACAATAAGGGTATTCAGTTATGAAATTAATTAAATCAAAAGCAATTTGCTGAACACTTATTTTATTTTGTCCTAAGTGTATGGCCAGAATTTGAATTTATACCTATTACCCCAGATTCTTTTACTAAATCACAGAAGAAGGTAAATAAGAAGGTCATGAATGAAGAATTACTAGAATTGCTTCCAAATCCCTATCTAGACTCTTTTCCCAGCAAGTAGAGTTAGGCTGCCAAAGAGCCTAAAGGGTTTCTTTTGGTCTTTCTATCTTAGTGCCAGTTTGAAAGAATACATCTTTTCCCTGAGGAACTCTTTTCCATATACCAGGACATTTTTACCCTTTTTCCATATAACAGAGAAATGTATTGACTACATTTAATTGTTCTGCATTGTTTTACTATAAAAGCCTCACCTCCTAGTATTTGGAAAAATGATGATTCTAAGAATTCCAGTATATAATCATTCACTGTGTTATCTCCCATCCAGCAGGTAACACTGGGAATCCTGAGAACAGTGAAAGTACAGATGTGCCACGGTTTGTAAGGTGTAAGCTGGGGTATTTATCTGGGAAATTAATAAAATAAATTATTTTTTCAAGAATTAAAGATAATCTAGAAGATACTGTAGTAAAATGGTTAAAACAATTATTTTTTTAAAACTACATACAAGATTTCACAATGTAAAATAAGCAAGTGCAGATCTTATCCTACCAGTAACTTCTTATTTTCTTAGTTCTTTATTTTGAACCATTTATCTATGCTGGAATGTTGTGTGTGTGTGTGTATGTGTGTGCAATTTAGAAGAATTCAGAAGAATTAATAGATACAATATTCCAGATTCCTTATAGCTTTCATGAAATCTTCCCTTTGTCTTTCTAATCAAAGTCAATTTAGCTTCAAAGAAAATTTTAGGGTCATATTCTTTTGGCTGAAAATGTCAACTGTCCATTAAGTCTTTCACTGAAGTTTGGTGGTCAGTCTATATGCACATTTGTTTAGTGAAGAAATTGTTTTTTTCCCTCTAATTTCTATGAATTTTCTTCCTAAATGCCTGTGAAATAATTTATTTTACTTTGGCTTTGGCACTCTGATTAATACTTATTTCAAACTCTAGCCTTCACTGATGATTTTGCATCCTAGAAGACATTATGTCACTTTAATTACAGATTCAGTTTATTTTCCATGGGAGGAATCACAAATATTTATTTTTAATTTAGAGAATCTCAAAATGACAAATCATTTTCTATTAGATTTTGGATGTAATTTCTATTCAATTTTATTCTCTTCTCTAATTTTTTGATATGGCATATCCAAATGTTATAACTTATTTATTTACATATATTATTATATTGGCTATATTATAGAATTGGTTAAATCACAGATGTTTACAAGCACCTGAAACTTTTATGCCTTAAATCTTCACTGTAAGAAAACAAATTTAAGATTTATTTCAAACAATTTAAGAATATTTTAAGTATCAAATAGTTTTTAGTGTTTTGTATTAATTTTTATTCTTTTTTTCATTTATTAATTATTACCCATGACTGTCCAATGATCAATGAATTGTTAGCTCTTAGTGACCGTGGCACTTTCGTGTTATGATGTAATTTTTAAAAATAATTTCAATTATGAATTTTAATGCACTCAAGATTTTAGTCAAAGGATGGAACCAAATTCTACTTTAAATTTTACAGATGGCTTGGATAATTTACCTTTAAATAATAGATCGTGATATTTTTCCAATCCTAGAAAATTCACTTACCCCCAGTAAGAGTTATGATTTTTATTACAACTTTACTTGAAAGGTAAAATAAGAATTCCACACAAAAAAAGACAAAATAAACAGTCATATCTCGATATAAGTGCACAAAATCCAAAGCATGTAGCAGTCACAATAACTGAGACACCTTAAGCCTATGTATTGATTTTTTTTCTACAAATTCAGTGTATCCCGGCTAATGATAAAGCTCAGTTTCCGTGAAGCTATATGAAGAGATTTCTCTGATAATACTCTGCCAACTTCCTGGAGAGAAACAAGCTGGAGGTGACAAGTGCCAATACACTATGGCATAAGTAGAGCTTACCTCAGATATTGGCATTTCAGCTTTCAACAGTAAGAGAAGCAGTCAGTCATTTCAACATCAGTCAGGTGGTTATAGAGTGACTTAATGGAAAGTAACAAATTCATTAAATATCTCGATAGCTCTTCTAGAAGCTTTTTCTGAAACAAGTGCGATAAAAGGCCTTTTAACAATAAAATCACAAATAAATTGGACATGTTAAAATGAAGAAAACATGTTGGGGGCATGATTGATGAGATTGCTCAGAATATTATCCTTGGGAAACTAAGTGTAGATTGGACAAGTCACCAGAGCCTGAAGTTGCCAACTAAGGTAGCTAAATCCTCTGCCTTTAGAAAGGATTGCATATAAGACAAACTTTATAATGCTGCAAAATTCAAAGTTGATTTTGAATTTTCTTTTGCTCAATAGCAGGGATATCTATCTATCTGTCTATCTATCTATCTATCTATCTATCTATCTATCTATCTATCTATCTATCATCTATCTATCTATATCTATCTATCTATCTATCTATCTATTTATCTATCTATAATATAAAATAACAAGGCCTTAGGTACATTGCTGAGTAAAGTAACAAAATTATTCTGTATTCTATAATGTATTTGCTGCAAAGTATAACCTTCAAATGTTTTGTTTTCATTTTTCGTTAATGCTTTGCTTTATTTTGTAATTTTAAAGAATGGATAAACTATGTAATAGGTTGAAAGAGGAGAAGAATATTGAATTGTGTTATTGTTCCACAGAGTCAAATTTTTTTTTGCAAATATATTTTCCAGATTGTAGAATTGTAAAAGTTAGAATAATAGAAAGTAAAGAGATATACCATTGAATTTTTCAACTGTTTCATGATCCAAAGTATATTTGTGTGCAGGATGAAAGCAATGGAAAGATGGAACATTACATTTTGATTACATTACATTTTCATTAAATAAGATTCAGTGACTTAAATGTGTGTGAATGTGTGCATGTGGAGTATTTGACCTTCCCTCTCCTATAGGCTACTAAGACTCTTCCAGAATGATGGTGTTCCTTTGTTATAAGTGATAAATTCTACTTTTTCAACAGTGTGTTTGGGTGGTATTTCTGAATCAGCAATTAACAGAAGGCATAAAGAGTGCCATGAAAATGAAACTTTTATTTATTATGTCTTCAACAAATACTCATTAAGGGTACTTGTATTTTCAATTTTAAAAAATGGTTAATAAATTTAAACATTTATATTTAGTAGGAATCTTCAATACTGTTTCTTGGCAAATATCCACTATGAGTTGCCAAGTGGGAGCAAGAATATGAAATGATCCACCTTTTTCAAAGATCTCTAGCAAATAGTGTCTTTTATAGGAAAGATATGCCAAGGATTTTAGATTAATGAATTCTTACAATAAGTCTAAGAAGAAAGGTAGTATCACTATCCCATTATTTTGATGCAGTAATTTATTTTAGAGAGGATAACTTGTCCAAGTTCACTCATCCATTAGTAGGTAACAGATTTGGGACTTGCACCCTGGTCCTCCAACCCCACATATGATGTACATCTCATTAAACAACAATGGTATACAAACTTAGAAATTAAAGTACCTACTACATTGAGATAGCTATGAAAGTGGAGACTGACTAAATTTAGCTTGAAGTAGCTATAACTGTCATAGCCAGATTGCTATTGATTCTAAACATCTGAATGTTTATGGAAGTATTTTAGTGCTTTTAACTCTTTAAGACAAATTTACCCCTGGCCTTCAGAATTGACATGGCAAGTATACGTGTATTCAATTCAGTCGAGAGTAGGATCTTACACAACTGGCATCATACAGTCTTTAACTCATTTTTATATTGTTTTCTATTTCTTTCCACTTAATTTATGCTACATTAGTCATGTTGTTCTCTTTGGATGTATGCTGTTAACTAAAGGTTTGAATATAAATCCTCACAGTTTGGTAACCAAGAAATGAAAAGACAAAGATATTCACTTTAGCCACCCACTGCCCTCATGCATAGGGAAAGTGAAATATCAACTCAATTGTCAAAAGAGGAGGAAGGGTACATAATGCAGTCATAGATCACTTATAAAATCTGCCTGGATAGATACTATGAGGCCTACTTTTCTCAATGTTGGAATAACTTCTTTATAGGAACCTGGCTCTACTCTATGACAGGATCTCTCTTGTCCACTATTTCCACATCTAAAATAAACTATGCAGAACATTTCTTCCTTGTGGTAGAGTTTAATTGCCAATCCCCTATTGGTTTGGGTTTTTAGGCTTAGGTTTGTCTGAGGATTCAATCATCAGTCTTGGAAGCTAAGGTGTTTGGGGCAATACAATTTCATCAAAAACCCAAGAAGTTTCTGATGTATTTGCTTACATTCAGTTACATGTGAAGAAACTATGATGCAATCAAACATCTACCTAGAGTAGTTCTTCAGCCTGGATGACTCTTTTATTTACTGACATCTATACTCATTTAAGGGCAGCTTCCTCAAGGCTTTCTGAAATAATAGGCTGCCTGAACAGATAATATGCATAATCTGATCTTTGCAGCTGGGTTAGCGAGCATTTTATGTCCGAGTACATTGATATGTAGGCTCCATAATCTCATTGACGGTTGTTCAGAGAACAGAAGGAGTCGGCATTTACAACCCCGCAAGGCTCCAAGTTCGTTTATTCTAAGTAAATTTAGGTTGCAGCGTACTCTGAGAAAGCCTTTTCAGTAGAGTATTATGACTTCCATTTCTGCTCTGGCCTACTAATCTCACCTGTATTACTTTGCTAAAGCAACCAAGAGCTAAAAAGAAAAGCCAATATTTGGATTTGTATGCAGGCTTTGTAGTTATGTTATCTGCCACCCTTGTTACCTCAGTGAAAGTGATTGCCACGGCAACAAAATGTGTGCCAAAATCTTTTAGTTCACTTCAGTAACTCCATTCTGATTATTAGTTAAGGTATGGTGTTGTAACAAAGTTATTCACTGGGTTCAAACAAGATAGAGATTAATCTTTTCTGGAAAACTTTCACAATATCAATGGCTAGTTTGAGGAACGAAGACTTTTCTGTTCCATGAAGTCATCCATGGATCCTGGCATTATTTTTTACTTGTGACTCCATCATCTCATAGAGATTTTTCTTGAACATAGTTGACGGTGGATCTCCAGCATGACATCTTAATTTCAGTTCTAGGGAAAGGTAAAATAAAAACAACAACAACAACAACAACAAATACAAAGAACTTCTCTTTCAAGGAATTGACTCATAAATTGCTTGTGCTACTTCTATTCACATCCCCTTGCAAGATTCTTTGTTTTTTGTTTTTTTTTTCTTTTATTATTATACTTTAGTTTTAGGATACATGTGCACATTGTGCAGGTTAGTCACTTTGGTTTTATGACTATAAATTAATACAATAATGAATAGGGGCTCCAGATGAATAATCATGATTTTGCTAAGACTCTGACTTTGGTGATTCCATTGCAAAAAGTACAAAGGGTAGAATTGATACAGAGGTGAAGTGGGAGCACAGTTGGCAATTTCTATCATAAGCAGGTAAGAATTATGATCTGCTCATGTTTCCTCTCCTAAACAACTATCTATAAATTCTACTCTTTTTCACGACAGGTATTTATTTTTACTTAATTTGTAGAAGTTCTTTAGATAAAGATTGTTATAGATAGCTAAATAGAGAGATGAATAATAAATATAGGTATCTTAATTTCTATTTGTTATACAGCTTCAAATATTGTCCCTCCATTTCAAAGGAATGTGATAATTATATGTAGTCATTTGGAAAATAAATGTTTTTATTTTAATGTAACTGACTATTTCAAATTATCCTTACAGTTACTTTTAAAATGTTTCATTTAAGAAATCACTTATTTCTCTGAGTTATAAGATATATACAACCATTAAAGTTTCAGGATTTTGCTTTTCAAAGTTGTCTTTAATCTATCTGGGCAGTATTTTGTATTCAATTCCATTTTTAATAGTTTTATTGAGGAATAATTAATATACAAAAACATTGCACATGCTAATATGTAAAATTTGGTGAGCCTAGCCTTATTCACCCACCCACAATACCATTACCATGATCAAGGTAATAAGCCTATTCACCATGTCCAAAAGTTGTTTCCTTGTGTCTCTTTATGTGTGTGTGTGTGTATTCATCATAATAACACTTCACAAGAGATATATTCTCTTTACAAATCTTTAAATGCATGATACCATACTGTGAACTATATAGGCAAGATGTTTTTCAGTAAATCTCTTGAACTTATTCATCTTACATAACTGAAACTTTATACCCACTGAGTGACAACTATTTATTGGCCCCCTCCTCCAAACCCTGGCAACCACCTTTTTGCTTTTACGAGCTAGATTATTTTAGATATCTTACATAAGAGAGATCATGCAGTATTTGTCCTTCTGTGACTGGCTTATTTCCTTTAACATGGAGTCTTCTGGGTTCATCCATGTTGTCACAAATGGTACGAGTCCATTCTTTTTAAAGAATAAGTACTATTCCATTGCATGTATATAACATATCTGCTTTATCCATTCATCTTTTGATGAATATTTGGATTATTTCTATATGTTGGGATAGCCAAGATTTTCATATGCCAAGATAGAGAAAACATCCAAATACCCAACTGCTACAATGAACATAAGGGTGCAGATATTTCTATGAGGTATTGATTTCAATTATTTCAGATAAATAATTGCTATATCATACTTCAGATTTATTTTAATTTTTGGGGGAACTTCCCTAATATTTTCCACAGTGCCTGCACCATCTTACATTTTTATCAGTAGAGTACAAGATTTCAACTTCCTCCACATCCTAGTCAACACTTGTTATATTTTGTTAATACACGAGTATAAAAGTATATACATAAATACATATATATAGTACTAAAAGAGTTAGAAATCCTTTTTAAAGATTTTCCTATGAATACATGATTTCCCCAGCAGTATTCTTTCAACTTATGTGTCATACCCTCTTTCTAAATTAAGATTACTTCTTTAATGAGTTTCTTATAGATCTGCTTATTTATCTTACTTGTCTGTTTTAATTCTAATAGATTTATAATAATTCTTAATAACTAGTAAGCTAAATCCTACCAGTTGGCCTTCTATTTCAGCCACTGACTGTTCATGATATTTGTTTGTTCATAGATATTTTGAAATAGGCTATAAATCTTCATAAAACTTGGGGATTTTTAAGAGAATATATTAAAAGTATAAAATATTTGGAGATACATTTATATATTAATTCATAGAGGCTCCTATTTACTAGCAATGGTATATCTGCACATTTATTTTGGAATATTTTTAATATCATGCAGTAAACTTTTGTTAATTTATTTACGTTTTAAATGTATTTGTAAAATTTATTCATTTATTTATGTATTTATTTTGAGATAGAGTTTCACTCTTGTTGCCCAAGCTGGAGTGCAATGGCGTGATCTCAGCTCACTGCAACCTCCGCCTCCCAGGTTCAAGCGATTCTCGTACCTCAGCCTCCCAAGTAGATGGTATTACAGGCATGTGCCACCATGCCTGGCTAATTTTTTGTATTTTTAGTAGAAACGGGGTTTCACCATGTTAGTCAGGTTGGTCTCGCACTCCTGACCTCAGGTGATCTGCCCACCTTGGCCACCCAAAATGCTGGGATTACAGGCATGAGCCACCACGCCCGGCCATAGAATTTATTTTTATATGTATTATATACTTATTACTGTATTTTTAATTTTTACCAGACAACAATTATACATATTCAATATTTATATTAATAATAGTATGCTTTACTTTTAGAAATTACATATCTCTAGCTATTTTAGTGATATATTAATGTATTTAATTTTAAAATCAGTAAAAAATCAAATTTATGTTATTAGGAGAATCTGTCACAGTACTTGTTCTCTTATACTATGGAATGTCTTCTATATTATTGATGAGTCTCATTCTAAAGCAAAATGCACCTAGAGCCTACAATATAAATTTCCCACTAATTTGGAACAACATGTACCCACTTTTATATTCTCAATTCCTTTAGATTTCTGTTGACTCTTAAAATTGAAAGTGAATAAAATGCATACTTTTACTTTCTTTCCCTGAAACATTATGGTCATTCTAGTTTTCAAAATTCTATTTTGGATTTTCTCACTTACTTTTTTAATGTGGTGAAATAACTTGATTTGTTTTCAAATGTTGAATCAGAATTGCTTCCATATTTATTAAAAAAATAAAATTTTGGAGAGAAGAACAAATCAAACATAACTTGAACAGAATGAAATAAAAATGTTAATAATCAAAACAGAAATAAGTGAAACTAAAAAAGAAGTAGAAAGAGCAAGGAAACAAAAAGCTGGTCCCTTCAAAGTTCAATTAAATTAATAAGTCTCTAGTCAATCTAACAAAGAAAAAAAAAAGGGGACACAAATTACCTACATTAGGAATGAAAGAGGGACTTTAACTACTGATCCCAAACTATTACAAGGGTAAAAAGGGGATTCTGGCCGGGCGTGGTGGCGTCTCATGCCGGTAATCAAGGCACTTTGGGAGGCCGAGGCAGGCGGAACACAAGGTCAGGAATTTGAGACCAGCCTGACCAACATGGTGAAACCCCATCTCTACTAAAAATACAAAAATTAGCCAGGCATGATGGCGCATGCCTGTAATCCCAGCTACTTGGGAGGCTGAGGCGGGAGAATTGCTTGAACCCAGGAGGTGGAGGTTGCAGTGAGCCAAGATCGTGCCACTGCACTCTAGCCTGAGTGACAGAGCAAGACTCCATCTCAACAAAAAAAAAAGGGGGGGGGGATTCTATAAGAAATATGATTGTCATAATTTGATAGCTTAGATTAAGTAAACTAATTCCTTGGAATAAGCTACCTAACCAGTTATCTCAATAATATATAGATAACTTGACTAGTCCCTTAAAGTTGAATTTGTGGTTTAAAACTTTTTTCTTTTTTAAGAAAGGAAACACACATCTAGAAGATTCAGTTGTGTATTCTAACAAAAGTTTAAGAAAAAAATATTTTAATTCTACCCAATGTCTTCCAGAAAACAGAACGAAGAGAACACTTTCCAGCTCATTTTCTGGAGCCAGTATTACTCTAATAAAGCAAAGGCATTACAAAAATACCAAAACCTCTAGACTCGTAACTCATGATCAAAGATACAAAAATCATCCACAAAATATGACCACCTGAAACTAGTAGTATAATAATGATAATAAATCATGATAAATGGAGCTTATCCAGGAACTGTCTGGTGAGTTCAACATTCAAAACTGCACTTATTTCTCTTTTACAAATAATGATACTGATATGGTACTTAAAATACTCATGCATATTATACTTATTTATAAAATTTATCTTCCCTATAATCTGTGACATTCTCTTTAATAGAGTCAATGCTTAATAAATATTTTTGGACCAATAAGATATGTCCTTTAAAAATTATAGTATATAGTTCATTAATGTGTCTTAAATAATAGTAATATTTATGCAGTGGCCAATTTGTTGTTTTACAACAAAGTTTCATAAATTATTTCAGATACATTAAGTAAATCAGAGTCCCTAGATTTTTCTAAACCTAAAGCCTGTAACTTCTGCTGAAACCTCAATGCACTGAAATACATTAACAACAAGTAGATGCATCTAGAAATATTAGGTAGTTGTGCTCTGTATGAAAAACATATTAATGGCTATTCAACATTGTGAGATTCTTTTTTGCAGTGTGAATATCTTAGCTGCATAGAGTCAATGCTAATGATAATACTTGAAACATCGTACACATCTTACTTTTCATTGTTTAAAGCTGTCTTTCAATAATGGGTGTTTCCAGATTACTTGTTTTACATCTTAGTCTATGCCGTGACTAATTTCAGCATATTCAATCTACAGCACAGCTTTTCTCCAGCTTATACAGTTGGAGGAAATTAAAATGGAATTTTATGGGTTCATTTTGTGTTTAAAACAGATTTGAATACTCAGCAGGAAGCATATTATTTTATTTCTCATATCTCACATTCTCCAGGATTTTATATTACATCCAAATTGTGATACCACGATATAATCTAGTTGTCATTTCTTTTTTTTTTTTTTTTTGTAGGAAAGTTCATGAACTGGGTATTAGTAAAGAATTTTCTTTCTAGCACACACTCAAGAAGTCTCCAAGTGTTCAAACAGTCTGCTTGGCAATAATATTTTATTGTCATTTTTAATGCCAAGCTCATATACATTTTTTACTATGTTGCTAAATTACATATTCCAGTTCAGTCACATTTAAACATTATATATTCCAGATTGTGATCCACACTGTGTTGCAAACAGCATTATGCCTAGTGCAGTTGTCATAATGGAAGTATTATAAAGTGCTGCACAAATATAAAATGTAAACTTAAATTGCAAATTTCACAGAAATTGAAGATGAGCAGGGATAAAATTAACATCAAAAGTCTTGCTAGAAGATCGTTACAGATATGTTAGATATACTAACACATATTTATAGAAATTCTATATTCATTTATCAGCTTATTGCATGCTTCATTCGTTAATTTTTTAAATGTCAATCAGATACTTTTTAAAATGCTGAGCATGCAATAGTGAATAAAGCAGTGAAATTCCTTCCTACATGCTGCTTACATGCTAATGGAAAGAGACAAACCTTAAATAAATAAACATAAAAGTATATGATATATCAAATACTTATACATTTTAAGAAGAATAGTAAAACTGAGCATGAATGAGGAGTATTCCTGAGAGACAATGGAGGACCGTGCTTATTTTGTATATGATGGTCATGGAAGTTGTCTCTTGTGAGGAAAGTTTTTAGCAGAGACCTGAAGAATTAAGGATATTAGCTAAGCTCATATGTAGAAAGAGTGTTCCAGGTAGAAGTCACAGTGGGTACTTCTGAGATGTGAGTGGGTATAGCGGCCTCGAGGACCAGTGTGGAAGCCAGTGTGGCTGGGGCAGACTGAGAGATGGGCAGGAAGTAAAAGATGCCAGTGGAAAAGGTAGCATTGAATCTATATCAAGAGAATTTTGTCAACCATTTCAAGGACATTTTTAACAGATTTATAGTTTAGAAAAGTTTTAGATTAATAGAACAATTGAGATGATATTAGAGAGTTCCTGTATACCTAATACACAGTTTCCACTTGTATTATCTTCTTACATAGTAGAATATATTTATTACAATTATTAAACAGGTGTTTATATATTGTTCTTAATTAAAGTCCCTCATTTATTCAGATTTTCTTAGTTTTTACCTAATGTCCTTTTTCTGTTTCAGGAGTCTATTCAAAATGCCACATTACATTTGGATGCCATGTCTCCTTAGGTTCCTGTGGGCTGTGTCAATTTCTGTGACATTTTTGATGATGTTGACACTTTGGAAGACTATTGGTAAAGTACTTTGTCGTATGCACCTTTATCCTCTAATGGAATTTAAATTTATCTAATGTTTATCTCATGATTAGACTGAGGTTATCTGTTTTAGGGACACAGGTCACAGAGATGAGGTGTCATTTTTATCACATCACATAAAGGAAACACTATCAAGTGATTAATGACTGTTGATGTGGACCTCGATTCCCTGGCAGAGCGGGAGTTTGCCAGGTTTCTCCACTCTAAACTTACTCTTCTCCACTCTCTTACTATACTAGACTCTGGAAGGAAGACATTACATGTATCACACACTTAAGAAATGGGGACTAATACTCCCTCTCCTTGGTAATGGAGAATCTACAAAAATCATTTGGAAATATTCTTCATGGGAGATTTGTCTCATCTCTTCTTCTTATATATTTATTTGTTCTTATAATTATTTATTTATATCATGATGTTCTCATCAACATATATTTTGTATTTTGTATTACATTAATACAACTTTCATTTTCTTGCTCAAATTGTTTCAGGATTGGCCATTGAGAGGTCTTTCAGTTGGCTCTTGTGTTCTGTCGATATATCTCCATAGGCATTTTTTGTTTGTTTGTTTTTGCTTTTGGACACCTCCTCATTTTCCAGCATGACAAGATGAGCTGTGTTCATCTTGTGTATTTCTAGGCCCATCTCTAGAATGAGCCATTTATCCAAAGAGCTTTGGTTTCTTTTATTGGAATATATTAGAAAACAAGATCTGGATGCAAACTGTGCAAGTTCTACTGGGGTGTCATTTCTTTTAGGACCTCTTAGCACCTTTCAAATATATGTCTATATATTTGTCTTTATATATTTACATATAAATAAACATTTCCATATTTGACAATCTATATCTATATTACACTAATAGCCTGAGATCTTCACCTCTATGTTTTATTGATTGATGTGTCTTACTGATTTTTCCAAACCTCATCTATCACTATATAAATTATTCTGGCCTCTTGCCCTTACTTTTACATAAATACTCACTTCAACAAATAGAAACTTCACTCTCATGATTTACCATCTATTTACTTTATTGTTCAATTCCAGTGTACGTGTATAGAAGTATCAAGATTGTCCACCAGTATCCCAATGGGAAAAACTTCATTAGCCGGTATAGTGCTTTTGTGATGTTTCTTTCGCCTTTAGACTTACATACATCTCTCATTTCCAAAATTACTTAGTTCATCAGCTACCCACCCCCCTCGCCCACCTTCTCACTGAGGTTGTTTCATGTATTTATAAATAGCATTACATTCTATTGTCAAAGTCTGCATTGCTTCCTAGGATTCTCCAATCTCCTAAATGATATTTTTGTTTGCATACATTAAGGCTCACGCTGTGCTATAAGTTTATGGATTTAAACAACTGGATAATGTCATGTTTTCCACCATGACAGTATCATATAGAATAATTTCCCTCCCCTACATATTCCCTGTTATTCACCTGTTCATCCCTGTCCTTGTCCCCCAACATCTCAACCTACCACTGCTATTTTCACTCTCTCTAGTTCTGCCTTTTTCAAAGTATCATCTAATGGGAATGATACAGTATTTACCCTTTTCTGACTGCCATCTTTCATTCATCAATATGCATTTTAGGTTTACCCGGTTTTTGTTGCTTGATAGTACATGTTTTATTGCTAAATAATATTCTATTGTATAGATTTATCACAGGATTTAAAAATTTATTCACCTATTGAAGACTGTTTCAGTTGCGTCTAGTTTTGCAATTATGAATAAAGCTGTTAAAAACTTTTCTTGCAGGTTTTTATGAGGACATAAGTATTAAAATCAATTGCATAAATGCTTAGAAACAAGATTGTTATGGCTATATTTGGCTTTCTAACACACTAAAAAAAAGTCTTTCATTCTGGCTGTACAATTTTGCATTTTCTTTATGAGGGAATGAAAACTTCTGTTGCTTCCAACCCTCTCCAGCATTCGATTTTCCAGATTTTATGGCTTTTAGTCATTCAAATACATGTACAGTGGTAATTTCTTGTTGTTTTAATTTGAAATTATTTAATGACAAATAATGCTGAATATCTTCTTACATGCTTGTTTGTCATTTACATAAATTTGGTGTGGATTCTTTTCAGATCTTGCCCATTTTTAATTGAATCACGTTATTATTGAGATTTAAATATTTCTGTGAATTTGGATACAATCACTTATCAGATAGATGTTAAGCAAATATTTTCTTTAGTCTGTGGCTTCTCTTTTGATTCGCTTCACTATGTCTTTACAGAACCAAAGAACTTACTTTTAATACAGTTCAGTTCATCAATTTTTAATAGATTGTTCTTTTGATGTTGTATTAATATCTAAAAACACACCACAAACACAGAGTCACATAAATTTTCTTCTATGTTTTCCTCTGCTAGTTTTATAGTGCTGTTTTATATTTGGGTATATGAACTATTTTGAGTTACTTTTTGTGAAAGGTGTAAGGTTTGTGCCTACATTCATTTTTTTTAATATGAACATCCAATCTTTTTAGTACCATTTGTTGTAAAGACTATACTTTATCCTAAAGACTATACTTTATCCTAAAGACTATACTTTATCCATTGAACTGCCTTTGCTCTTTTTTCAATGATTAGTTAACTATATTTTTGTAGATCTATTTCTGGGTTCTCTATTCTTTTCCACTCATTTATATAACCTTTTGATAAATATATCAATAACATGGTGTACAGATTATAATAGCTTAATTATAACCAAACCATGCATTTGGTTATATCAGTCCTCTTACTTTTCTCTTCTTCAGTATTGTGCAGAAAATTTTAGGGTGTTCTTTTGTTTCCATATAAACCTTCCAGTTAATTTGTTGATACAAAAAAGCTTGTTGGAACTGCTGCTATGATTGTTTTGAATATATGAATCAAGTTGGAAAGAACTGACATTTTAACACTATTGAGTTCTCCAGTCTATGAACATGAAATCTCTCTCCATTAATTGAGTTTTTTTCCTGATGTCTCTCACCAGAGTTTTGTAGTTTCCCGTGTGGATTTTTTTTACTCATTTTATTATATTCATACTAAATATTTCATTTTGGTGTTATCATAAATCACATTTTGTTTTTAATATCAAACCTAAATTATTTATTGCTGGTATATAAGACAGCAACTGACTTTTGTATAGTAATCTTGTATCCTATGACCTTGCTGCTGATCAGCTCTTGGATTTTTTTTTCCCAGTTATTTGCAATTTTCTACTTAGTAAAATCATATCGTCTGCAAATAAAGGTAGTTTTACTCCTTCCTTTACAATCTCGTACTTTCTGTTTTATTTTGCCTTAAAATAACTAGGACTTTCAATCAGGGGATATTAAGAGTGATGAGAGAGGGTATCCTTACCGTTAGTCTGAGATATGGTGGATTACATTGGCCATTTTTCATATGTTGAAGCAGCATTGGATACTTGGAATAAATTCCACTTTGTCATGGTGTATCATTCATTTTCATACATTGTTAAATTTGATTTGCTAATATTTTGTTAAGGATTTTTGAATCTATGTTGTTTATGAAAGATATTGTCTGTCATTTTCTTTTTTAAAATCATGTTCCCAGCACTTTGGGAGGCCGAGGTAGGCAGATCATTTGAGATCAGGTGTTCAAGACCAGCCTGGCCAACATAGAGTAACCCTGTCCCTACTAAAAAATGCAAAAATCAGCTGGGCATGGTGGTGTGCACCTATAATACCAGCTACTTGGGAGGCTGAGGCAGGAGAATCATGGAAGTTGCAGTGAGGCGGATGTTGCAATGAGCCGAGATCTTGCCACTGCACTCCAGCCTGGGCCACAGAAAGAGACTCCGTCTCAAAAAAACAAATAAACAAAAAACCCAAAAACCCCTGTGTTTACCTGATTTTAGTATTAGAGTAGTGCTGGCCTAATAAAATAAGTTAGAAATTGTTCCTCATATATTCTGGACGATATTGTGAAGTATTGGTATAATTTCTTCCATAAATGTTTGGCATAATTTAATAGCAAAAGTATTTAGACTGAGCACTTTCTTTTTGGCAAGGTATTAATTATTGAATCTATTTAATATGTGTTGACTTAATCAGTTTATCGATTTTGCATGGTGTGAGTTTTAGTAGTTTGTGTCTTTCAAGTAATTGGTCCACTTAATCCAAGATATTAAATTTGTGGGCATAAAAGGACTGAATTATCAGCCCCCATGCCCAGCCAAATATGTGTGTTGTAGTCCTAATCCATAGTATCTAGAATGAAATGTATTTGTAGTTAAGGTCTTTAAATAGTTGATTAAGATAGTGTGAATTTTAATCTATATGACTGGTGTCCTTCTAAGAAGAATAAATGTGAACAAACGAAGAAATACCAGGAATGAGCTTGCATAGAGGAAAAACCATGTGAAGACACAGCAAAATGGGAACAATTCACAAGCCAAGGAGAAAGTTTTCAGAAGAAACCAAACCTGCCAACATCTCAGTCTTGTACTTCTAGCTTCCGAGAATGAAAAAAAATAAATTTCTATTGTTTAAGACACCGAATGGTATTTTGTTATGAAAGTTCTAGCACACTAATACAGAAAGTTTGTAATATTTACTTATTATCCTTTTACTATTCATGGGATCAGTAGCAACAACATGCTAGTCCACATTCAGTCTCCAGCAATTCATGAAACTTACTACTTAACTGTTCCTACATTTGGGACTCCAGTGGAGCTGGCCTTGAAATTTCAGAATGTTAATTTACATACACAAGTGAGATGAAGTGCCTTTATAATATTATTATCAGAAGATTGCGATGATCCAAGTTTCATTTGAAAAGAGCATAAATAAATTTAAATTTATGTTTATTTGTTTTTTATCAAATTAGTAGAGGTATAAATTTTTTACATGATAGGATGTGTTAGAGATATATATGTATAATCAATAACAGCATTATACAATTCCATAGGGCAATGACTTTTTTTCAGAATAGATTTTTCCCTGTTTGAAATCAAAAAAGCAAAATAGTCATATAGTTCATCATATGACATAAATATCACCTACATACTGGGTTTTGTCCACAAGAGAATATTTTATCAGATAAATTAATTAATATCTTCAGAAGTATCATACAGTGACCTTGCTGAAGACCTACCTTTGAAATTTTCATTGACTGTTTTTGTTCATTTCCCCATTCATTTTTAAGTGAAATTCTGGAAATCTGTTTCTCAAATGAGATAGTACAACTAATTAAAAATGCAAATAAAAACTAATTCATATTTTTATGTGCATTTTGCTGGATTAATCAGAACTGAATATGAGACTTTATTATCCTTATAATAAAATATATAATAACATGATTATAACAACAACTGGGTCATAGAGTAAAAGTATTAATGAAATAATTCATAATGAATAATTATAGTGAATAATAAATATATATTACTTCACAGGCATCAATATTAGAACATTAGAGGAATAAAAGCTTAAGTTCTGTAATATTTGAGGAATTATATTTATATATGTATTTATTCCATAAAAACACAATTAATGTGTAAACCTCAAAATTCCATGAGAAAGATCAAAAGCAAAAAATAAATGTTGCTATGAAACTGCACACATAAAAATTACAGATGGAAAATATATAATGAAAATTGAGGTAGATAGGAACACAACCATGAATATTCTACAAGTACAGAAGCATCTCTTTTCTTGCATTTCACACTTTTAGAAAAGTTTCTTTCCTCAAAATAATCTGTCTCCTAAAATGCCAAGATAGCAGGAAAATATAAATTGCAGCATATATAGATGATATATCAAGAATCAACGACCAACTAGCACTACTACTTTTGACCTTCATAAAGTGAAAAATCTCCCTGAAGTTCAGTTTGCTCATTTGTAAAACAGATTAATTTCTGCTTTCCTTCTGTTAAAACATGTTTTAGAGATCAAATAAGATCGTTGTGATAATTACTTCATAAATATTTTAAAAGCATATCATTTTTAAGGAATACTCATTTAAAATGCATTTTAAAATTAGGTTTTCTTATTGTTTGCTAACATTTAAAGCACAAGAAAAGAAGGAAAAGATACTTTACATCTCTTAATAGCACTGGCAAGATAGCTTATATTGTGTAATAAACTTTTAACTTTGAGATTTTTTTTTTTTTTTTTTTTTTGAGATAGAGTCTCACTCTGTCACTCTGTCACCTAGGACTTAGGCTGGAGTGCTGGAGTACAGTGGTGCAATCTCAGCTCCCTGTAACCTCCATTTCCCTAGTTCAAATGATTCTGCTTTCTCAGCCACCTAAGTAACTGGTATTACAGGCATACACTACCACACCCACCTAATTTTTATAATTTTAGTGGAGACAGGGTTTCACCATGTTGGCCAGGCTGGTCTCAATCTCCTGAATTCAGGTGATCCACCCAACTCTGCCTTTCAAAGTGCAGGGATTACAGGTGTGAGCCACAGCACCCAGCCTGTTTTTATTTTCAAATTTCACATATAACCCACATTTTCTACAAACAAATTTGTAATAAACATCTTTGAAAATACTAAAGAAAAACCCCGGTTTTTGTCATCTGAGTCATTGTAGTCCTAACCTCTTTCATTTTCCTGTGCGCGTACTCAGTTATCACAGCCTCAGTTCGAGAATTTTGACCAGAGTTAATCACGTATCTGTAGGCTTATTGCAATGGGACAATTCAATTCTACAAAATCAGGTATTTGTATTTTGTTATTATAATTACTTTTCATTGAAATTTAAACAGAAGCAAAGATATTTTCTCTTTGCTACTATTTTCCAGGATACACAGATCCACTCTTTAAAGGTTATCTGAAAATCACTGGGTAAGATATTTAGATCAGGCCAGAGCAGCATTATTAATAACTGCCAGAATGAACAAAACTTAAATGTTAGATGGTTGAACTTTGGGCCATATAACTTTTTTTGGTCAGCTTATCTCTAGGACAAAAGAATAAAATCTCCCTGCCAAAAGTTTATTGATAGAATAAAGGAAAAGCAACTGTCGTTGATCCTTCATTTATCTGCTCAGAGGCTCTCGCTTGAGTCCAACACATTCTCCTGAGCCACATTATTATCTTATTTTCATGCCTGAATGGCAGACTTCAGTTGAGAGCCATAGGGACAATTCATGCCTAGGCTAGTCAGAGGCATGGGCAAACACATAGGAGGATCTTATTCCTAAAGAAGCCAAGAAAAGCTATGGCCTTTCCCAAGCCAAAAGTATCGGTCTAGTGAGAAGCTCTGAGCAAGCCTCAGTAACAATCACTGAAGTGAATGGAAAAACAAAAGTGGAAAATTAAGTAAATGTAAATACACTTTATAAAATAGTCCTCATAAGAAAAGTCAGTGGCAAAATACAAAGATAACTTGAGCTCTATTTCCGAGTTCCACAAAGCTTTAATTAAAAGCAGGGTACTGAAAAGTTGGTTGGGTAATAACACCCTTCCAGCTTCCAAAAGTGATAGACCCCAGACCAACACTGGATCATTATAATATGGTTACATATAACTTACAAAGATGTTTACAGTTCTCCAGATGTCTTCTTATTTGGTTTTCTTTGTGCAAAATAATCAACATGTAGCAGCACTGGAAAATTCAACAGGTCTTAAAAACCTGGCTTCCTTGAATACAAAACAGGCTTCATTTTGACTATGAAGCATTTCAATATAAGCTTTTCCAGTGATTGAATATTCTTCTTGGCCCTCTAGAATAGACTTTTCAAACAAACCTGGGACATAGTCTAGAAGTAAGTAAAGACATATAACTTAAGTTGGTTGCCTGGGGTAACAAAAACAAATTGATGTAGATTGAGAGTCATTTTCAAAAAATTATTTTTGCAAATACGTTTTTTATGTTCTGTGGAGGAAAGCCTTTAGGAACTGAGCCCCACATGGGGGTTCCTGTTGGTACCCAGGTCTGTATCAGACTCTGCGATATGGAATTTCAAGAGCCTCCTGACTCTTTCCATAAGTTTTGGAATAGATTTCCCAATTATGGCAGGTTCAAGAGATGTCATATCTGACACTACACTTGTCCATTTCCTTAGGGACTTCAATTTAGAAGCACAAAAAAAGGAAAAGTACAGATAGAGAAATAACCATTAGTGGTAATAAGGAGTACAACTTCATATTTTGATCTTTAACTGCTGACAGCTTTTAAGCCTCACTCCTCTCTTTCTCTTCTCCCTGTGTGTGCCCATCTTAGGCACCATTGGGAGATTTAAGCCCCACAAGCCGTTACCTATCCCTCAACCCCATATCTATCCACATTAAAAAATCCAAGCCAGTCTCCTTTCTCTGATCCCTCAAGCAACTTATGGAGCAGCCTGGGAGACCTGACATTTTCTTTCTGGAAATTCTCATTAAGTAATACACCTTTGATATCACCTTGTGTGTGTCATATTCAATCTCAACATCTTAACCAAATTTTGCATGGGGGTCCATCCTGCCCTTCTGGTGTGATCACAGCAGTAGTTTTAGTAATGAAGTAGCCCTTCATCAAAGATATATCTTTTCAAATCTAATCAGGCAATAATGAATTCCTAAAGGAGGTTTCTAATTTGTGGGAAACAAAACATACTCAACATTTGGGAGCTTAATGTAAAGAAATCAGAGTTCAGATCTATTGTTTGAGAGTATCCTCAACACTGCAATCCAAGTTCTTGAGGGGACTAATCTGTTTCTGAGTGATGGCAAAGATTTTATTATTGGATCTCACTGAAACCACCAAAATTGTTGACTGCCTGTTCTCTCATATATTACCAGTGCAACCTACCAATCAACAAAAGGAAACTAATTAAATCTATTACAATATGGAAGAACACTATCTTGACCGGCATGGATATATAGATAATCTATATGTGAAGTTAAAAAATATACTGATATATAATATAGATAAAACATGACACAGATATAGATGTCAGTGTAGGTATAGACATAGATATAGATAGAAAGATATGTATAGAGATGCCAAAAACACATGTTGAAAATAAATTAACTGAAAGTTTTTGTTTTAAATTTATTTGAGTAGTAAGATCTTGTTCTATAATGCCTTCTTTATAATTGTATATTTCCTAATTAACTAGCTTTACTTTTCTTCTTTTACCTTTTTTTCTGGATATCAAGTTAGCAAAAATCAAATTAGTCATTTTCTTCAGTTCAAAGCACATTTTTGTTATTGATTTCTAAAAACCACTCTTAGTTGATGTACATGAATGATTCTAAATATCAATATCCTTAGAAATACCTAGTCAGCTTTTGAATTGTTGATAGCCCAACAAAGATAAAATAAAACCTCAGTATTTGTTTCCATTTTCTCCTGATTACTAATAATTTTGAGTATCTCATTATATAATTATTTTGAGTTTCTTCTCTAAGTTTTCTGTTCTTATTTTTTGCCCATTTCTTTTATATTCAGTATTTGATAATGGACATAGATTATTAGGTTATTAAGTTCATTATTAAATAAAACAATTAAATAAAGTGTGTTACATTAAATTGAAGAGTTTTATGATTTAATGCTATTTTCACATATTTTGGAAAGTTAAAAAATGTCTTATAAGATGGAAGTGCTTCTCTGTTTTCCTCTCAAAATAAATTCTAACCTTTAAATGGCAAAGTTTCAACTGCCAAAATATACACTGAGATGCTGGTGCCCTATAAACTTAAAATGAAATAATTGCCATTGGCTCAAGTGTAACAGCAGGAAGTGTGGGTCACCCTTCTAGCACCTTTGACTTTCTACAGTAAAGTCAGGGGCAAAAAGTCCATGTGAATCTTAAATGTGAAAATGACCATATTATTGATGTTTCACTTAAAACAAAACCAGAAAGGAACCTTAAAAGTGCATTTGTAAAACAAGTTTTTTAAAACTTTTAACAAAGTGTTCCTTAGTATTTTATCTCACAGCAAAAAATGTGTTAGCATTTTTATCACAAATTTATTTAAAATAACAAAACCATAGGCTACTACTAATAGAAATCATACACGCCACATACTAAATGAAATTAACCTTACCTTTTGTAGATCATGTACCTACATTTAAATCTGATTAAAAATGTATTAATTGTTTAATTAATATAAAGATTTTTATATTCTCTGTGACTTTATAAGCAAACAATATATCAGTAGAGGCCTGCAAATACTTTCAATCATTCATACCTTATTTATACAACAGTAGATTGTGATTTAATTGACTTGTTATCTAGAATTAACTAGGTCAGTGGTTTTAAACACAAATATTCACTCTTTTTTTACCAGTAATAATTATTTTACTACCATTAGATAGTCCAAGCTTTGGAACATAAAAATGAGTATTTATGCTTGCAATAATTCTTACAATTATAAATTATGTCTGATCTATATATGAATCTTGAATTTTAATGGTTATAAATTTAGTAATTTTTTGTTAAGTTGAAAAATTTTGGTAAATGTAAATGCACAGAGGCCTGGGGTATGTTTTTTACCTAATTATATGGTTATCTTACATTTAAATGCAAAAGATTTTTCACAAAACTATAAACTGTCAGAAGTAGCTTTTATGATTTTATATTTCTGGCACCTAGCATAAACCCTAAGAATAGTAGGTTTTAAATAAAGAGTTGCTTTAATTAAAAACAGTAAAAGCATACGGAAAATGTTCAGCTTCGTCTATAATGTAATTGCATATTAAAATAAAAACAATAATATTTGTGTTTTTTTAACCAATCAATTTTCAGTAAAGGTAAAACCAGCTCGGAATGAACGATTGCACTTCAAATTATACCACCGAGCTACAGTAACTACAATTTAACAAATTGTAGTTAAAACTATTGGTGGGGAATATAAATCAATTTAGTACCAGAGGGAATGCCAGCCACATGGGAGGATGCAATAATACTCTGGTTAAAAATTCCGTGAAGAGACCAGGTGCGGTGGTTCATGCCTCTAATCCTAGAAATTTGGGAGGCCAAGGCAGGTGGATCACCTGAAGTCAGGAGTTCAAGACCAGCCTGGGCAACATGGTGAAACCCCATCTCTACTAAAACTACAATATTATCTGGGCATGATGGCGGCTGCCTGTAATCACAGCTACTCCGGAGGCTGAGGAGGGAGAATTGTTTGAACCTGGGAGGAGGAGGTTGCAGTGAGCCGAGATCACGCCACTGCACTCCAACCTGGGCAACAGAGCGAGACTCTGTCTCAAAAAAAAAAAAAAAAATTCAGTGGAGTGAATGGATAAATAAAATATGATATGGTAAGAAAATATACCAGACTTTTTATCCCCTCATACATACCAACACTGCATACACAATGCAAAATTGAAGGAAGGAAATCCTGGAGTGTGCAAACATCGATGAACCTAGATGACATTATGCTAAGTGAAATAAGCCAGACACAGACACAAATAGTGCATGATCTAACTTATATGTGAAATCTAAACATGCAGAGAGTAGAATAGGGGTTACCACAATATAGGGGGCTGGAGGAAATGGAGAGATTTGATCAAAGGGCACAAAGTCTTAGTTATACGAGATGAATAAATTCTCGAGATCTAATGTACAGCATGGTGAGTATATTTAACAACACTGCCTGGCATACTTTCATCACACAGTAAAGTTTGTTCTCACCACACAGTAAAAAAAAAAAAAAGTAATCATGTGAGGTGATGGATATGTTAATTAGCTTGATTGTGGTACTTATAGCACAGTGTATACATATAATATATACATCAAAATATTATATTGTACAACTTAAATATATATAATTTTAACTTTTCAATTATACCTCTATAAAGCTAAGGGAAAATATTCAATAAACTGAAGTTTAGAGCAGAAATAAAAGATCATGCAGTGTGGAAAATAACTGAGGATTTTATTTTCTTTTGGTCTATTCTCATTTAAGATCAAAGTGTTAAACATGGCAGTACATAATTTTGGAAAACCCAATGAGCAAAATACATCTAGGGATGAAGTTTCTAAGAATAACGGGAGAGGAAAACAGTCTGAATTCCTGCATGTTCCTGTTTATCCTTTGTTTTAATCAAGAGAAGCTAACCTGTGTGAATCCTTTAAGTAAATTTAGAGTGTTCCCTTAAATATTCTTAAGAGACTATGGCACAATACATTCTCATGTCACAGTCTTAAGATTGCCACTTCCTGAAATCTCTGACTGGCAAAGATTTAAAGGCATGGGATGGGGTCTGATTAATTTGCATGGAAATTCAGTCTTAGCTAGAAAGAATATATAGGTACTATACAAAATCCTGTGTCCTGGGATTGAATGTTGGCTTAGAACTGGATGGTCTCCATTTAGACACAATGTTAAAGGTGGACAACAAATCTCTTAATATAAAATTACCAAACAAAGAAAGAAATGTATAAGCTTGTGATTCTAAGCTAAGGTAAGAAGTCAATGATCTGAGGAGAATCACATTTGGACACAGAAAATAACTGATACAGAAAACTTACTCCAACCTTGTCACAGGGCAGAAATCTTGTACTTAGAAGTGTAATGGTTAACATGAAAGAGTATCGAAACATGGATCATTTTGGTGTGACTTTGGTGTAGAGGACTGAAATGGTTCTTACTCAACTATAGTTCTCTGTGCAGGGGACATGCAATTGTGAGGTATTGCTATGGGATAAATTGGCAATGACTGTGGAGCTATAGATGAAAATATCATGCAGTGTTGACTAGGCAAGTCAGAAATACATTATAGAAAATTTGATATTAGTTACATTGTAAATAACAAAAACTGATTTTGCATAGCAAAATAAAAAAAATAATTTATTTGAGTAATAAAAAAATTGCAAAAAAAATGAATTACCAAGATTCTAGAATTTAAGTAGTCATGGAATTTTAAGAAGCCTCAGAAGCCATGTTACTGAAGTTTATTCTATAATGTTAGAGGATATAATTTTCTCATGTTATTATATTTTGTCTAACAGATTATAACTTAGTAATACTATAATTATGCATATCAAAATGGGATAAGGATTTATATTCATGAATTGATTTTCTGGATACATATAAATACAGATCTAATTTGGCTTTCAGATTTGAACATTTAATTTTATAAAATATTTATTGTGATATAATTAATGTATCATAAAATACACTCTTTTAGAGCATACAATTCAGTGGTTTTTAAGATAGTCACAGAGGTGTACAACTCTGGCAACTCTAAAATTTTAGAATATTTTATCTTCCAGAATAGAAATCCTGTACCCATTACAGGCAGTTTCTGTTCTCTTCAAATTTCAAACCCCTGGCAACCAGTAGTCAACTGTTGGTCTGTATGAATATGCTTATTTTAAAAATTTCATAGAAATGTGATCATACAATATGTGGTCTTGTGTCTTTTTTCAATTAGTATACTTTCAAGGTTTATCTGTGTTGTTTCTTGTATACCACTTCATTCTTTTCATTGATTAATGATAATATATAGATATATAATATTTTGTTAATTCATTAATCATTTCATGAAAGTTTTCATTGTTTCCACCTTTTGGCTATTACAAAAAATACTACTAAAATCATTAGCATACAAGCTGCACACAAGGACATTATGAGTTTCTCTTGGGTATACGCCTAAGAGTGGGATAGCTGAATCACAGAAAAGTCAATCCATTGCAGTGAGTATGTTAACCAACTCTAACTATCATGTAGTTCTGATGACCATAACATTATACATATACTTGGAAAATCATTTTGGTAGATTCTTACAAAGTTGAATATATAACCACATATGAACCAACAATTTCACTCTTAGGTATTTAAGATAAATAAAAATATATGTTCACAGATTTTTACACAAATGTTCACAGCAGCATGATTTATAATGGCCCCAAGTAGAAATGCAGTGAATTGAATATTCATGTCCCCTAAAGTTCATACATGGAAATCCTAACCCCTAAGTGGTATTGGGAGGTGGGGCCTTTGGAAAGTGATGAGATCATGAGGATGGAGCCTTTATAAAAGGTCATGAGAGTGATGCTTTTATAAAAGATCCCAGAGAGATCCCTTTCCCCTTCTGCCATGTAACATTATAACAAAAACACTGCTGTCTAGGAAATGGGTTCTCACCAGACAATAAATCTATCTTGATCTTGTACTTCCCAGCCTCCAGAACTGTGAGAAATAAATTTCTGTTGTTTATAAGCCACCCAGTTTATGATGTTTTTGTTATAGCATCTCAAACAAAGAAAGACAAGAAGCAAACTAAATGTAAATTAATAGTGAATGGAGAGGACACCCCAGAAGCTGGGAAATGACGGCTGACTAGAGACATCAGAGGTCAGTTCTTCTAAGAAAGACCCAACTTCCAAGTGAACAATCATGGTCCAAGTAGACTACTGAGGGAAGAATTCCAGAACCTATCAGAGAATCTGCGGGAAGAAGCTGGGGCACAAAATACAAGGAAGCAAGAGTTTTGCAGAGATTGAATCCCAGGGAGCTTGAAGCCTTGTGAAAGGGGGGTGGGAGTGATTTTTGCTCCCCTTGCCCCTGTGGCAGACTACCGACTGCAGAACTGTTGGAGAGGCCCTCTTCCCTTGTAAGCTAAAGCACTTTTGTGGGAGGTGATGTGGGAAATTCTGGAGGACAAAGCACCATGTGTCCAGTTTACACAGGTTCACTCACAAAATACCCAGGCCCGAGCCAAGGCCACAAGTGCCATACTGGGTGTGCAAGCATTGTGGAACTTTATCCTGCCCAGGGAGTCTCAGCCCTTGTGTCTGCATCACTAGATCCCTGCAAACATTCCCCAGAACCTGCTCAGACTGCAGCAACCACAAATCACTGGGACTCTGAGGAGCCACAGGATTCCCAGATATCTGATTCTCAGGATGGGCTCCTTTTAGGTGAAGGGAGAGTGCAGTGCACTGAAGTGTCCCATGGGACAAAGGAAAGCAGATCACATACTCTTCTCTGCCCAAGAGCTCCCTGCTAGTGAGCAGAAGTTTACTGTGCCTTTCCTCGAGAAGATGCAGGTGTGGTGCTAGGTTCTGTAGGGAAGGAATGTGGTTATGTCCCAGCAGACAGGTGGCACTGGTGCCTGGGAGCATATCTGGAGAGAGGAGTACATATCTACAACAGTGGAGGCAGCTACCCCTGTTCCTGCTGGAGCTTGGAACTGGTGTGCCTAGAGACAACCTTTCCAGGACTATTGGGAGCAGCTGCACCTCCACTGACAGTGGGCCCACTGGCCTGGGCTTGCATGAAGGGTGGGGCCAATAACTCTCCCTGCATGGAGAAGCAGCATTCCTGAGTAGAATACAGGCAAACCACAGAGCTGTCTGTTTTGAGCTGAGGAAAGGGGTCCTGCCTCAAGGCCAGTTTGGTGGTAGCCACAGGGCAGGTGTTTTCCATGGCCCTCAATGCATTGCAGCCTAAAGATAAAAGACAGTTTCTATCTAAACTGAATAAGTCATGAGGCCTGGGACAGGGGTGCGATAATAAAGCAAATAATGTTCCCGCCTGCCCAGAACATGCAGCTGGTACAGCCCCATGCACTGAGAAGGGTTATTTTTACAAGTTCATAGGCTTGTTTGGGACCTAGGCATGTCTCTTTCCAAAGAGCTGGTCCAGAAATGCTGTGACCTATCTCCCTAATTGGACCTCCTCCCAAGGGAGTCCCACGGCATGAAACACCTAGCAACAACAACAACAACAACAATAACAACAACAACAACAACAATAACAACAACAAAATTGTTGGCACAGTGCTAGTGATCACAAGTAGCTTGCCCAATGCCCGGAAATGGACTTGACGAGGAGTCTTCTGTCTCCCCCTTGCACCATGGAACACAGCTGCAAACACCAGGAGACACAAAAGAGCCAAGCAGCTAAGGGCCTAGCTATCGCCTATTGTTTTCAAATGCCATCTACTGGATCACAGTTCAAATGACAACACTCAAAAACACTTGACTAATTCCACCTTCTGCAAAACCAAGGTCAAGAATTCAACAATGAATAAAGACCCTGTACAGAGGCTTAGCTATCTGAAAACTTTCAGAAGTGAAGCCAACTGATTATATTCAATTTACACCACAGTTAAAGCAATACAAACCCTCCCAGATGGAAAAGAATAAGCACAAGAACTCTGGAAATTCAAAAAACCAAAGTGTCTCCTTACCTCCAAACAAGCCCACTAGCTCCCCAGCAATGGTTTTTAGCCAGTCTGAAATGAAGGACATAAAATTCAGATTCTGGATGGCAAGGAAGTTCTTTAAGATTCAGGAGAAAGTTGGAACTCAATTTAAGGAAGCAAGGCAATTCAGTAAAATGATTCAAGAGTTGAAACATGAATAGCCATTTTTAAAAAAGATACAAACTGAAATATCTGAGCTAAAAAATTCACTCTGGAATGTCATGATTCAATCCCAAGTATTAATAGCAGAATAGACCAAGCTGAGAAAAGAATCTTTAAGACCAGGTCTTTGAATCAACTTAGATAAAAATAAAGAAAAAAAACAACTTAAGAAAAAGGAACATAACCTCTAAGAAATATGGGATTATGTAAAGTGACCAAATCTATGACTTATTGACATTCCTGAGAGAGTAGGAGAAAGAGTAACTTTGAAAATATATTTGAGGATATAACCCATGAAATTTTCTCTAGTCTCTCTAGTGAGATTGGCATGCAAATCAAAGAAATACAGAGAACCCCAGCCAAATTATATACAGCACAACCATCCTCAAAGCACAGTCATCACATGCACCAAGATCAATGAAGAAGAAAAATTCTTAAAGGCAGCTAAATAGAAGGTACCGTATGAGGCTACCAGCAGAACTCTGAGCGGAAATTTTAAAAGTTAGAGGAGATTGGGGACATACTTTTAGCATCCTTAAAGAAAAGAAATTGCAAAAAAGCATTTCATATCCTGCCAAAATAAGCTTCATAAGTGAAGGAGAAATATTAATAAAATCTTTCTCAAACAAGCAAATGCTGAGGGTATACGTTTCCACTAGACAAGCCTCACAAAAGGACCTTAAGGGAGTGCTAAACACAGAATCAAAAGAATGACACCTTCTACTACAAAAGCACACTAAAACACATAGCCCACAGGCACTATAAAGCAACCACATGATCAATCCTACATAACATCCAGCTAACAACACGATGACAGGATCAAATTCACACATGCCAATATTAACTTTGAATGTAAATGGGCTAAACCCCTCACTTAAAAGACAGAGAGTGGCAGGATAGAAAAAAAGACCCAATCATATGTTGTGTTCAAGACACCCCTCTCACATGCAATTACACCCACAGGCTCACACGAAAATGGTGGAGTAAGATCTATTATTGCAAATAGAAAACAAAAAAGAGCGGGAGTTGCTATTCTTATAACTAATAAAGCAGACTTTAAGACAATAAAATTAAGAAGGACAATGAAGGGCACCGCATAATAATAAAGGGTATAATCCAACAAGTCTTAACTATCCTAAATATATATGCCCCTAACACTAGAGCACCCAGATTCATAAAACAAGTTTCTCTTGGCATACAGAAAGACTTAGACAACTATACAGTAACAGTGTGATACGTCAACACCCCACAGAGAGTGTTAGACAGATCATGGAGGCAGAAAACTAATAAAGAATCCCTCAACTTAAACTTGACACTTGACCAGTTGGACCTAATAGACATCTAGGGAACACTCCACCCAACAACCACAGAATATACATTCTACTTATCTACACATGAAACATATTCTAATATGTATCACATTCTCAGTGTGTTAGTCTGTTCTCACAATACTATAGAGTAAAACCTGAGACTGGGTAATTTGTAGGGCAAATAGGTTTAATTGGCTCACAGTTCTCCAGGCTATACAGGGAGAATAATGCTGGCATCTTCTCAGCTTCTGGGGATCCCTCAGAGAATTTACAATCTTGGCAGAAAGTGAAGGAGAAGCAGGAATATCACATGGCCAGAGCAGGAGCTTGAGAGTGAATGGGAGGTGCTATATACTTTTAAATGACTAGACATCATGAGAACTCACTAACTTTCTGATATGGCTTGACTGTGTCCCCACCCAAATATCATCTGGAATTCCCAGGTGTTGTGGGAGTGACCCGGTGGGAGGTAATTGAATCACGGGGGCAGGTCTTTCCCGTACTGTTCTCATGATGGTGAATAAGTCTCACGAGATCTGATGGTTTTAAAAATGGAAATCTCCCCTCTCTTCTCTTTTCTGCCACCATGTGAGGCATGTCTTTCACCTTCTGACATGACTGTGATTCTCCCCAGCCATGTGGACTGAGTGGCTTAAACCTCTTTCTTTTGTAAATTCCCCAGTCTTGGGTATGTCTTTATCAGCATGTGAAAATGGACTCACAGAGTAAATTGGTACCACAAGTGGGGTGCTCCTGAAAAGATACCTGAAAATGTGGAAGCAACTTTGGAACTGGGTAAGAGGCAGAGGTTGGAACAATTTGGGGGGCTCATAAGACAGGGAAATGTAAGAAAGTTTGGAACTCCCTAAAGACTTATTGAATGGCTTTGATCAAAATGCTGGTAATTATATAGACAATGAAATTCAGGCTGAGGTGTTCTCAGATGGAGATGAAAAACTTGTTGGAAACTGGAGCAAATGTGACTCGTTATGTTTTAGCATAGAGACTGGTGGCATTTTGCCTTTGATCTACGAATTTGTGGAAGTTTGAACTTGAGAGAGATGTTTTAGGTTATCTGGCAGATGAAATTTCCAAGAAGCAAAGCATTCAATATGTGACTTGGTGCTGTTAAAGGCATTTAGATTTAAAAAAGAAATAGAGCATAAAAGTTTGGAAAATGTGCATCTTGACAATGTGATAGAAAATAAAATCCCATTTTCTGAGGAGAAATTCAAGCTGGCTGAAGAAATTTGCATAAGTAACAAGAAGCTGAATGTTAATCATCGAGATAATGGGGAAAATGTTTCCAGGGCATGTCAGAAACCTTTGCAGCAGCCCCTCTCATCACAGGCCTGGAGGTTTAGGAGGAAAAAAATATAGTTTCCTGGGCCAGGTCCAGGGTCCTTCTGCTGTGTGCAGTCTAGGGACTTGGTGCCTTAAGTCCCAGCTGCTCCAGATGTTACTAAAAGGGGCCAAGGTCCAGCTTGGGCTGTTGCTTCAGAGGGTGGAAGCCACAAGCCTTGGCAGCTTCCCTGTGATGTTGAGCTTGTAGGTGCACAGAAGTCAAGAACTGAGGTTTTGGAACCTTGGCCTAGATTTCAGAGGATGTATGGAAATGCCTGGATTCACAGGCAGAAGTTTGCTGCAGGGGTGGGACCCTCATGGAGTACCTCTGCTAGTGCAGTGCAGAAAGAAAATGTTGGTTTGGAGCCCCAACACAAAGTCCCTACTGGGGCACCACCTACTGGAGCTGTAAGAAGAAGACCAAAGTTCCCCAGACACCAGAATGGTAGATACACTGTCCGCTTGCACTGTGAACCTGGAAAAGCTGCAGACACTCAACACCAGCCTGTGAAAGCAACTAGGAGAGGGTGCTGTACCCTGCAAAGCCACAGGGGTGGAGCTGCCCAAGGCCATGGAACCACCTCTTGCATCAGCATGACCTGGATGTGAGACATAGAGTCAAAGGAAATCATTTTGGAGCTTTAATATTTGACTGCCCTGCTGGGTTTCAGACTTGCATGGGGCCGGTAGCCCCTTTGTTTTGGCCAATATCTCCCATTTGGAATGGCTGTATTTGCCCAATGCCTTTATCCTCATTGTATCTAGGAAGTAACTAACTTGCTTTTGATTTTACAGGCTGTTAGGCAGAAGGGACTTGCCTTGTCTCAGATGACACATTGGACTGTAGATTTTGAGTTAATGTTGAAATGAGTTAAGGCTTTGGGGGACTGTTGGGAAGGTATGATTGGTTTTGAAATGTGACGACATGAGATTTGGGAGGGGCCAGAGTTAGAATGATATGGTTTGGCTGTGTCCTCACTCAAATCTCCTCTTGAATTCCCACATATTGTGGGAGGGACCCAGTGGTAGGTAATTGAATCATGGGGGCAGGTCTTTCCCATGCTGTTCTCCTAATAGTGAATAAGTCTCATGAGATCTGATGATTCTGTAAGGGGATGCTTCTCTGCACAAGCTTTCTCTTTGCCTACTGCCACCCACGTAAGATGTGACTTGCTCCTCCTTGCCTTCTACCATGATTGTGAGGCCTCCCCAGCCATGTGGAATTGTAAGACCATTAAACCTCTTTCTTTTATAAATTGCCCAGCCTTGGGTATGTCTTTATCAACAGCATGAAAATGGATTAATACACTATCATGAAGACAGTACAAGGAGGGATTGTGGTAAACCATTCATGAGAAATCTGCTTCCATGAATCAATCACCTCCCACCAGGTCCCACCTCCAACACTGGGGATTACATTTCAATATGAGATCTAGGGAGGGACACACATTCTAACTATATCATTCTGCCCCTTGACCCTCCCAAATATCATGTCCTTCCCACACTTCAAAATACAATCATGCCTTGCCAAATAATCCCCAACATCTTAATGCATTCCAGCCCTAACTGACAAGTTCAAAGTCTCATCTGAGGCAATGCAAGTCCCTTCCACCTATGAGCCTATAAAATAAAAAAGAAGTTAGTTACTTCCAAAATACCACGGGAGTTCAAGCACTGTGTAAATATTCCCCTTCCAAAAAGGAGAAGTTGGCCAAAGGAAAGGGGCTACAGGTCCCACACAAGTCCAAAACCCAGCAGGGCTGTCAATAAATCTTCTTTATAACTCTATAGTAATATCTTTTGATTCCATGTCCCAAATCCCAGGCACATTGACATGAGAGGTAGGCTCCCAGGGCCTTGGACGGCTCCACTCCTGTGGCTTTTCAGGGTTCAGCCCTAGAGGCTGCCTTCACAGATTGTGGAATGCCTGCAGCTCTTTCATGCAAAGAGTGCAAGCTGTCAGCAGATCTGCCATTCTGGGCTCTGGAGTGAGGTGGCCCTTGTCTCATAGCTCAACCAGACAATGCCCCAGTGGGAACTCAGTGCGGGTAGGGGTTCTGGCCCCACATTTTCCTTTGGATTGCCTTAGTAGAGGTTCTATATGAGGGATCTGCCCCTAGAGCACACTTCTTCCTAGACATACAAGCTTTTACATACATCTTCTGTAATCTAGGCAGCGATTCCCAAGCCTAATTCGCTCTTGCACTCTGTGTACCCAGAGGCTTAACACCATGTGGAAGCTTCTAAGGATTATGGTTTGCACCCTTTGGAGCTGTGGCCCCAGCTGTACTTGGGTCCTTTTGATCTATGGCTGGAGGTGGAGTGGCCAGGATACAGAAAGCCATGTACAAGGCCGTGGAGGGGTGAGGGGTCCTGGGACTGGCCATGAAACCATTCTATCCTCCTATGCCTCAGGGTCTGTGATGAGAAAGGATGCACCTTAGATCTCTGAAATGCCTTTGAGGCCTTTTCCCTGTTGTCTTGACTATTAGCACTTTGCTCCTTTTTCTTATGCAAAT
The DNA here is from genome assembly GCF_000001405.40 of Homo sapiens. NCBI lineage: Eukaryota > Metazoa > Chordata > Mammalia > Primates > Hominidae > Homo > Homo sapiens. Next base: position 190,858,260 of record NC_000001.11, on the reverse strand, counting down.
TTTCACAGCCTGCTTGAATCCCTCCCCTGAAAATGTGCTTTTCTTTTCTACTACATGACCAGGCTGCAAATTTTCCAAACTTTTATTCCTTGCGTCTCTTTTAAATGTAAATTCCACACTGCTCAGAGAAATAAGCAATGACACAAACAAATGGAAAAATATTCCACACTCATATATAGGGAGAATCAATGTTATTAAAATGGCCACACTGCCCAAAGCAATTCATAGATTCGATGATATTGCTATCAAACTACCAATGGTATTCTTTACAGAATTGCAGAAAACTATTTTAAAATTTATATAAAAACAAAAAGAGCCTTAATGATCAAAGCAATACTAAGCAAAAATAACAAAGCTAGAGGCATCACACTACCCAACTTCAAATTATACTACAGGGCTACAGTAACCAACACAGCATGGTAATCGTACAAAAACAGATACATAGACCAATGGGACAGAAGAGAGAGCCCAGAAATCAGGTCACACATCTGCAAGTATCTGATCTTTGACAAAGCTGAAAAAAAAAAAAGCAATCAGAAAAGATTTCCCTGTTCAGTAAATGCTGCTGGGATAACTGACTAGCCATACACAGAAGATTGAAACTGGACTCCTTGCTTACACCATATACAAAAATCAAATCAAAATGGATTAAAAACTTAAATGTAAAACCCAAAACTATAAGAATCCTGGAAGACAACCTAGACAATGTCATTCAGTACATAGTAATGAGCAAAGATTTCATTATAAAGACATAAAAAGGAATAGCAACAAAAGTAAAAATGGACAAATGGGATCAAATTAAGCTAAAGAGCTTCTGTACAGCAAAAGAAACTATCCACAGAATAAATAGACATCCTACAGTATGGGAGAAAATATTTGCCAACCATGGATCTGACAAAGGTCTAATATCCAGCATCTGTAAGGAAATTAAACAAATTTCCAAAAACAAAAAATTAAAAAGTGGGCAAAGGACATGACATGAACAGACACTTCTCAAAAGAAGATATACATGTGGCAAAGAAATGTATAAAAAACTCTCAATATCACTGATCAATAGAAAAATACAAATCAAAATGACAATGTACAATCTCATACCAGTCAGAATGACTATTATTAAAAAGTTAAAAAATAACAGGTGCTGGCAAGTTTGTAGAAAAAAAGGAATGTTTATACACTATTAGTGGGAGTGTAAATTAGTTCAACCATTGTGGAAAACTGTGGTGATTCCTCAAAGACCTATAAATAGAACTACCATTTGACCCAGCAATCCCATTACTTGGTATATACCCAGAGGAATATAAATAATTATATCATAAAGACACATGCACACATATGTTCATTGCGGCACTATTCACAATAGCAAAGATATGAAATCAACCTAAATGCCCATTAATGGTAGACTGGATAAAGAAAATGTGGTACTTATACACCATGGAATACCACATTGCTATGAAAAATAAGATCATGGCCTCTGCAGGAACATGTATGGAGCTGGAAGCCATTATTCTTTGCAAACTAACAGAGAAACATAAAACAAAATATTGCATGTTCTTACTTATAAGTGGGAGCTAAAAGATGAGAACACATGAACACATAGAAGGGAACAACAGACACTGGGGCCTACCAAAGGGCAGAGGTTTGTGGGAGGGAGAGGATCGGGGAAAATAACAAATGAGTATTAGGCTTAATACTGAATGATGAAATAATCTGTACAACAAAACCCCCATGACATGAGTTTACTCATATAGTAAATGTGCACATGTACTCCTGAACTTAAAATAGAAGTTAAAATAACCAACTAACTAATCAACTAAATAAATAAATATGAGTACCAGCTTTAAGTCATTTCTTTGACGCTGCTTTGAGCATAGGTTGTCAGAAGCATCCAGGCCACATTTTGAATGTCTTGCTGCTTAGAAATTTATTCTTCCAGATACCTAAATCATCACTGAAAGTTCAAAGTTCCACATATTCCTAGGACAGGTGCACAATGCAGTAAAATTCCTTGCTAAGATGTAACAAAAATTACCTTTGCTCCAGTTTCCAATAAGTTCTTTATTTATATCTGAGACCTCATCATCCTGGCCCTCACTGTCCATATCACTATCAACATTTTGGTCACAACCATTTAATCAGTCTCTAGGAAGTTCTAAACTTTCCCTTATTTTCCTGTCTTTTTCTGAGCCTTTCAACGACTTCCAACTTCTGCCTGTTACCTAGTTCCAAAGCTGCTTCCACGTTTTCAGGTATCTTTATAGAAATTTCCCACTCCTTAATTCAAATTTTCTATGTTAGTGCATTCTCATATTTCTATGAAGACATAGCTGATATTAGGTAATTTATAAAAACAAAGAGGTTTAATTGGCTCGCAGTTCTGCAGGCTGTACAGGAAGAATAAAGCTGGTGTCCACTCAGCTTTGAGGAGCCCTCAGGAAACTTACAATCATGGCAGAAGGTGACGGGTGGGCAGGAACATCACATGGCTAGAACATGAGCAAAAGAGTGAGGTGCTACACACTTTTAAATGACCAGACCTTAGGAGAATTCATTCACTATCATGGGGACTGTGTAAAAAGGGATTGTAGTAAACTATTCATGAGAAATCTGCTCCTGCCCCCCATGATTCAGTCACCTTCTACAATGCCCCACTTCCAGTTTGGGAATTACATTTTAATATGAGATTTGGGCAGGGACACACATCCAAGATATATCACTTGGTCATAAAGCAAGTCTCAATAAATTCCAAAAAAATAAAATCATAGCAAGCACACTCTCAGACCACAGTAAAAGAAAAATAGAAATCAATATCAAGAAGAAGATCTCTCAAAACTACACAAACACATGAAAATTAAACAACGTGGCCTGAAAAACTCCTGGATGAACATAAAAATTAAGGCAGAAAGTTAAAAAAAATTAAATTAGTAAATATAAGGAACAAACTTGCCAAAATCTCTGGAATGCAGCCAAAGCAGTATTAAGAGAAAAGACGATAGCCCTAAAATGCCTTCATCAAGAAGTTAGAAAGATCACAAGTTAGTAATCTAACTGCATCTAAAGGAACTAGAAAAAAATAACAAACCAATTCCAATGCTAGCAGAAGAAAACAAATAACTAAAATTAGATAAGAACCTAATAAAATTGAGATGCAAAAACCTATACAAAAGACCAATGAAACTAAGAGTTGATTCTTTGGTATAATAAATAAGACTAATAGACCCCTAGCTCGATGAACAAAAATAAAGAAAGAGAGGATCCAAATAAGCACAGTCAGAAAGAACAAAGGCAATATTTCAACTGATCCCATAGAAATACAGAAGATCCCTAGAGACTACTACTGTGAACAACTCTATGCATATAAATTAGAATACCTAGAGGAAATGCCTAAATTCCCTAGAAGCACACAATCTCCCAAGATTCCAAAGATTAAATCAGGAAGAGGTGGAAACCATGAATAGACCAATATCAACGTGTGACATTGAATTAATAGCAAAGAACCTAGCAACTAATAAAAAAGCCCTGGACCAGATGTATTCAGAGCCAAATTTTACAAGATATACAGAGAAGAACGGATACCAATCCTTTGAAACTCTTTTAGAAAATAAAGGAAGAGGGGCTCCTCTCTAAGTCATTCTATGAAGCTGGCATCAGTCTGATACCAAAATCAGACTGATTTTGTGTTTATTGGCAGAAACACAATAAAAACTGTGAATCTAAGACCAATAACATTAATAAATATAGATGCAAAAATCCTCATCAAGACATTACCAAACCAAATTCAGCAACACATCAAAATTTAATTTACCACAATGGAGTAGGCTTTCTTTCTTTGATATAAGGTTGGTTGAACATATGCAAATGAATAAATGTGATTCACCACATAAACAGAATTAAATCAAAACCATATGATCATCTCAATATATGCAGAAAAAGCTTTCAATAAAATTCAATATTCTTTCATTGTTAAAACATACTTCAAAGTAAGCACCATCAATGACAAGCCCACAGTCAACAGCATACTAAATGAGCAAAAGCTCAAACCATTCCCACTGAGAGCTGGAACAAGACAAGGATGCCCACTCTTACCACTCTTATTCAACATAGTACTTGAAGTCCTAGCAGAAGCAACCAGGCTATAGAAAGAAATAAAAGACATCTAAATAGGAAAAGAAAAAGTCACACTATCTCTGTTTGCTGATGATATGATTCTCCATATGGAAAATCCTAAACATGCTCCCAAAAGACTTCTATAACTTGTAAATGACTTTGGTAGAATTTCAGTATACAAAATCAATGCACAAAAATCAGTAGCATTTCTATACACCAACAATATCTAGGCTGAAAGTGAAATCAAGAACACAGTTACCCATAGAATAGCCATACAGAAAATGAAACACCTAGGAATAAAGCTAAACAAAGAGATAAAAGATCTCTGCAAGGAGGATTATATAGCACTGCTGAAAGAAATCAGAGAAAATACAAATAAATGAAAAAATATTCCATGCTCAAGGATTTTAAGAATCAATATTGTGAAAATGACCATACTACCCAAAACAATTTACAGATTCAATGCTATCCCTATCAAACTACCAATGACATTCTTCACAGAATTGGGATAAACTATTCTAAAACTCATGTAGAGCCCAAAATAAGCCTACATAGCTTAAGCAATCCTAAGCAAAAAGAAGAAAGCCAGAGGCATCACATTACCTGACTTCAAACTATACTACAAGACCACAGTAACTAAAACAGTTGGTATGCGTGTAAGACAGAAACAAAGACCAAGAGAACAGAAGAATATCCAGAATAAAGCCATGCACCTACAACCATCTGATCTTCGACAAGTCCAACAAAAACAAGCAATGGGAAAAGGACCCCCTATTGAATAAATGGTGCTGTGGAAACTGGCTAGCCATATGCAAAAGATTGAAGCTGGACCCCTACCTCTCCTCCTCCACAAATTAACTCAGAGTGGATCAGAATTTAAATGTAGTACCTTATACCATAAAAATCCTGGAAGACAATCCAGGAAATACTTTTCTCAACATTGGCTTTAGCAAAAAGAATTTTATTAAGTCCCCAAAGGCAATTACAACAAAAATAAAAATTGACAAGTGGGAACTAATTCAACAAACGAGCTTCTGAACAGCATAAGAAACTATCAACAGAGTAGATAGACAACCTAAAGAATGGGAGAAGATATTTGCAAATAATACATCAAACAAAGCCCTAATTTCTAGAATCTGTAGGTAAGTTAAACAAATCAACAAGCAAAAAAAGAAATAACCCCCCCAAAAGAAAATGCGCAAAGAACATGAAAAGACACTTCTCAAAAGAAATCATACAAGTGACCAACACGCACATTGAAAAAAATGTTCAGCATCACTAATCATCAGAGAAATGAAAATCAAAACCACAATGAGATGCCATTTCACACTAGTCAGAATAGCAATTATTAAAAAGTTAAAAAATAACAGATGCTGAGAAAAGGAAAAGGAAAAGGTAAAGAAAACACTGATACCCTGTTAGGGGGAATGCAGATTAGTTCAGCCACTTTGGAAAGCAGTCTGGAGATTTCTCAAGAAACTTAAAACAGCACTACAATTTGACCCAGCAATATTATTACTGGGTATACACTCAAAGGGAAATAAATCATTCTCATTTGTGCATTACTGCACCATTCCCAGTAGCATACATGGAATCAACCCAGGTGCCCATGAATAGCAGATTGGATAAAGGAAATGTGGTACATATACACCACGAAATACTATGCTGCCATAAAAAGAGTGAAATCATGTTCTTTGCAGCAATATGGATGGAGCTGAAGAACATAATCTTAAGAAGATTAATACAGAAACAGAAAAGCAAATACTACGTATTCTCACTTATATGTGACAGCTAAACATTAAGCACACATGGACATACATATAGAAACAATAGACATTGTATACTACTAGAATAAGGAGAGGAGGTAGTAGGTTAAAAAACCACCTACCAGGTACTATTCTCACTTCTTGTGTGATTCATACACCAAACCTCAGAATCACACAATAGTCTTGTGCGAGGAAACCTGTGCATGCACCCCTGTATCTAAAATAAAAGTTAATTAAAAAAAGAAAAAAAATGTGGCATATATATCCCATGGAATAATAGTCATTAAAATACCATGAAAGCCTGTCTTTTGTAGCAACATTGATTGAACTGAAGGTCGTTATCTTAACTGAAATAGCTCAGAAACAGAAAGTCAAATACGGCATGTTTTCACTTAAAGATGTGAGCTAAACCGTGGGCACAAATGAATATAAGGTGGGGAATAATAGACACCGGAGACTCCAAAAGGTGGTAGGGTGGGAGAATAATAAGCAATAAAAAATTACCTATTAGGTACAATGTACACCATTCACATGAAGGATTTATTAATAGCCCAGACTTCACCACTACACAATATATCCATGTAATAAAACTGCACTTGTACCCCCTAAATATATAAAAAAAAAATTGAAAGCATGCATCAATTCCATCCAAAAAATATATGGTGAATGGATAAGCAAATTGTGGTATATGCATAAATTAGAATATTACTAATAAAAATGTCCAAAAAAGAATAAATGTAAAAACACAGATGAATCTCAAAAGTAGTATGCTGAATCAAAGAAAGTAGAAACAAAGAATCCACACATTCTGATTCCATGTATATTTGAAATTCTACATAATGCATAATAATCTAAGGTCACAAAAAATTAATGAATCAATATTGTATGAGGTTGGGGTGCGGGAAAATTTGCAACTAAACAATCATCTATCATCATTTTGGGAAGGTAGAAACATTCTAAATTTGATTGTCTTTGTGGTTAGAAGGGAGTATATATTGGCAAAATTATTTAAAACACCCATTATACATGTGTGCAGAATATTTTATTAAATTGTACTTCAACAAAGTTGATTAAAATCAGCCAACTAATATCAAAATAACATAAAAAAAACTAATAGTTTGAATACATACAGGGAAGGCATTTGTAAAATTTAAGATAATTTTAACAAATTAGTGGATAGTGTTTGTTGATAAAAACTAGAAGAAACATATTATTTGGTAATATTTAATATAATTTTAACGTAAAAACTACCAGTGAACTATAAATATAAAGACATATCATAAATAAATGACAATTATGCAGAAAAAAGACAAAATACTACACTTATTAAATATTGAAAATATTTTTCCTGAGATTAAATAAAACAGGCAAGAAGGTTTTACTTTGATTGCAATACCTCTACTTCTATTCAAGGCCAAAATAGTTTATGTAAGTAAAAAGATGGAGCATGAAGAAGGTATAAAGTGTCCTTCTCAGTGATAGAATTATGTTTGTAAGAAATGTCAATGAAATCTATGAAAACTCCATGAGAATTAATAAATAAATTAAGCAAGGTATATGAATGTAAGATCAATACACAATAATTAGTGTGCTTCTATATACCAGCAATGAACGATTACAAAATCTACTGTGAAAGTCCCATAGTTATAAAAATTATAATTTTCAAAATTTAGGAATAAATATAAATATATGCAAGTTCACTAGATAGGGTCACAAGATATCATTAAAAGAAAATTTTTAAAGGCAAATGAAAAGAGCTATAACATGTTTGAAGTTTAGGGCGACTGATCATTTTTATATTAGGAAATATCCTTAAATTGATATATTAGATGCAATGCAATTTTAATCATCATCCAAGTAGGGTTTCATTTATGGTGTGTGTGTGTGTGTGTGTATTGCAAACTGACAAAGAAAATTAAAAATAAAGTTGAAGATGAGAACAAGGTTAGAGGACTTATATTTGCCAATCTCTAAAACTTATAATATTGCTACAGTAATTAAAATTATATAGTATTGGTAGAAATATATCTAAATGGACCCATGGAAAAGAATGTTGTACAGGAATATATATATATATTTACCTGATTTGTGCCAAAAAGAGCCATTGGAATCCAGAAAAAAAGGAATCATATTTTCAATAAAAGCAGTTTGACAATTTGACTATCTGTATGCAAAGAAGGAAAAATTAATCTCATTTCCTAGGATCTTATGCTGTATATGAAAATCAATTCCAGATGAATTGTAGACTTCATGTGAGACATAAAATAACAAGTTTTCTAGAAGACAGTATAGAAAAATATGATCGTGAACTTTACATAGGCAAACTTTTCTTAAACAGGAGGAAGCAAACGTTAACGCTGAACTAAACATTGATGAATTTTACTTCATTAAAATTAATGACCTCTGCTCCTCAGAAAGCATTATTAAAAGAAAGAAAATGAAAGCCAGAAAATGGTAGATGATCGTCTCATTGCATAAGGCAAAAAAGACTAGTATCCAGAATATACAATGAAGAGTAAAAACCTGTCTAGAACTAAAGGAGTGAAAATCAACTTGAACTGAAAACAGAAAAAGCAACTTTACCATTAATCACAACAGAAGGGCAGACCCAGATAAAGCCAGCACAAAATTAACTGCAAGTGCTGTTTGTCCCAAAGTCCTGCAGCAGCTGTGAAATACTGCAATAATCCTTTCTTTAATGCCTAATGCTTTTTTTTTTTTCTCAATGACATCCTAGAGCCACTTTGCCAGTCCCGTCTAATACTGGTAATACCTAATCACTAAGCTGTCCTTGCCTCATGACAGTACCCAATCCGTAGTTAATCTCTGCTTCTAAACCCACCTCAGGTACAGAGACGAATCAGAATTGACTCTTACTTTCCTTAGATCCTCCTAAGAATTATTTGGTGAGAAGCCAAACCTTACAAAAGAGGTTTCCCTAATCCCTCTTATGGAGTGGGATTTTGTAGTTCCTCTGGAATTCCTGTCTTGCTTTATCGGATCAGTAAATCTAACTTTGTCAGACTGTGTTCTTTTCTCTGGTGGACTTTGATTTATTAGGCTTTTGCAAATAATAATCACAGAAAAAAATCAATGATAAAAAGTGCAGACAACAAGAGATATATTCATTACTCATTAGGAAAGGGGAAATAAAATCCACAATAAGATACAGCTATGTACTCCCTAGGATAGCTAACGTTTAAAAGCTGAAAATACCAAAAGTTGGAGGGCGTGTGGAATAACTGTATCTTTCACACTGTTTTGTGGAGTGTGAATTGTTGCAACCTCTTTGGAATGTTGATTATTATTATCTTCCCAGGTTGAATATAGGTATGCCCTATGATCAAGTGATTCCAGTCCCAGCTATACCTCTAATAAAATTCTCTCTCTCTATATATATATATATATGCAAAAACTACATTCATGTAAAACAATACTTATGACAGCAATAGTTATAATAGCCTCACACCAGAACAACCAAAATGTCCATCAACAGTAAAATGCATAACTACATTATAGGATATACATAAAACTGGACAATAAAGATCAATGAACTTCTGTTACTTGCAGCAACATTAATGGATATCTCACATATTTTAATGAGTAAAAGAAGACCAAAGTAAAGGTCTACTTTATTCCTAACAACACAGGAATAAATGTTTTAATTCCAGAACAGGATACCATGGAGAATGTATAGTTCCATTTATATGAAAGTTGATAGCATATAAATCATATTTATGTTGATATATGTTTGGTTCAATAGTGATTATGAAGACAAGCATGACTTGTGAGGTGCTGATTATCTATAACAATCTAGGAAGTTGTAATAATGATGTCTGTACTTAGTGACAATTCTCTGAATTTGACATTAATAATTTGACAATTATCTGAAGTTTGAGCATGTAAAAATACTTGTGTTACATATTAAATAATAAAATGAGAAAGATTTAAAAATTGTTAGATGGTAGCTACATGATGAATAAATAATACAATGTTTTGGAGTTTCATAAATGATGGCAACTTTATTGTTTTCTTTTTATTCAAATGACTCATCTATTCAATATATTATAGCAGGTATTTAACTTTAATAAGTATAATGCATTAAGAAATAAAACTCAGCATGAAGTTTTCATAACTTTCATCCATGAGGCAAATTGAAGTTATTTTTTAAAGGCTCTTACAATAAATTATATAATAGTGTTAAAGGAAAGCATACACTTAGCGAAATTTGTTATAATTCACTGCATCAGGAAATTACAAGGCAGAATTTTAAAACATGTCACTCTACTCTTTATCATTATAGCCATTAAATATTTGTGAATCTGAAATTCAACTTTATTTATTTATTTTCTTTCCAACTTTTATTTTAGATTCAGGAGGTACAAGTGCAGGTTTGTTACATAGGTAAATTGTGTGTCAGGGGCTTTTGATGTACAAATAATTTTATCCCGCGGGTAATCAGTGTAATACCCAAGGGGTAGTTTTCCAATCCTACCTCTCTTTGCACCCTCCACCTTCAAATAGGCCCCAGTGTCTATTGTTGGGTTCTTGGCATCCATATGTACTCAGCGTTTAGCTCCCACTTTAAGTGAGAACATGTGGTATTTGGTTTTCTGTTCCTCAAAGGCCATCATCTATTTTTTTCTAATACTTGTGTAGTATTCTGTGGTGTATATGTACATTTTCTTTATCGAGGCCACCACTGATGAACATCTAGGTTGATTCCATGTAAAATGCTGAATAGTGCTGTGATGAACACACACGTGCATGTGTCTTTATGGTAGAACGATGTATATTCCTTTGGTTATATACCCAGTATTGGGATTGCTAAATGAAATGGTATTTCTTTTGTAAGTTCTTTGAGAAATCTCCAGACTGCTTTCAACAGTGGCTAAATGAATTAACATTCCCTCCAACAGTGTATGTTTCCCTTTTGTCCACAAGCTGTCCAGCATCTCTTATTTTTTTACTTTTTAGTAATAGCCATTCTGACCGGTGTGAGACGGTGTCTCATTGTGGTTTTGACTTGCATTTTCCTACTGACTAGTGATACTGAGCATTTTTTAGTATGCTGTTGGCCACGCTGTGTTTTCTTTTGAGAAGTGTCTGTTAATTTCATTTCCCCTTTTTCTTTTCCTTCCTTCCTTCCCTCCTTCCTTCCTTTTTCTTTTTCTTTTTTTTTTTTTTTTTGACGGGGTTTCACTCTTGTTGCCCAAGCTGGAGTGCAATGACGTGATCTCGGCTCACTGCAACCTCTGCCTCCTTGGTTCAAGCGATTCTCCTGCCTCAGCCTCCCGAGTAGCTGGGATTATAGGTGTGTGCCACCATGCCTGGCTAACTTTTTGTATTTTTAGTAGAAATGGAGTTTCACCATGTTAGCCAGGCTGGTCTCAAACTCCTGACCTCAGGTAATCTGCCTGCCTCGACCTCCCAAAGTGCTGGGATTACAGGCGTGAGCCACCATGCTCAGCCCATTTGCCCATTTGCCCATTTTCTAATGGTGTTGTTTGTTTTTGCTTTTTAATTTGTTTTGAGTTCCTAATAGATTCTTAATATTCAACCTTTTTTGAATACATAGTTTGCAAGTATCTTCTCCCATTCTGTAGGTTGTCTGTTTACTCTGTTGATAGTCTTTTGTTGTTGTTGTTGTTGTTTGTTTTCGCTGTGCAGAAGCTCTTTAGTTTAATTAGTTCCCACTACTCAATTTTTGTTTCTGTTGCAATTGCTTTGTAGTCTTCCTCATGAAGTCTTTGCCTGGGCTGATATCCAGAATGGTATTTCCTAGGTTATCATCCAGAGTTTTTATAGTTTTAGGCTTTACATTTAAGTGTTTAATCCATCTTGAGTTGATTTTTGTAAATGGTGAAAGGTAGGGGTCCAGCTTCAATCTTCTGCATATGCCTAGTCAGTTATTCCAGCAGCATTTACTCAACAGGGAATCATTTCCCAAATTCCTTGGCTTTGTTAGCTTTGTTGAAGATCAGATGTTTGTAGGTGTGAGGCTTTATTTCTGCATTCTCTAACCTGTTCCATTGGTCTATGAGTCTGTTTTTGTACCAGTACCACGTTGTTTTAGTTACTGTGGTCCTGTAGTATAGTTTTAAGCCGGGTAATGTGATGCCTCTAGCTTTGCTCTTTTTGCTCAGGATTACTTTGGCTATTTGTGTTCTTTTTAAATTCCAAATGAATTTTAAAATGTTTTTTCTGATTATGTTAAAAATATTATTGGTAGTTTGATAGGAATAGCATTGAATCTCTAACTACCTTTGGGCAGTAGGGCCATTTTATTAATATAAAGTTCAACTTTAAAACAATAAAATTTTTGTATATATTTAGTTTTATCTAAGTGAGAGTAACAAAACTTAGAGAGAGAATATATATAATAAGTCAAAATAATGCAATATTTTACTAAACTTCTTGGGGTAATAGGAAAAGGAATTTATTGTCATATTCTACAATTTATATTAAAAGATAATCTCAATGTTATTTTTTCAAAAAAGCTTTTACAATGCTGGCTGACATTTTTTGGGGAAACACATTCTATATTATTCTTATTTAAAAAAAAAACTTTCATTTGCTTTATTCAAGTAAACCATGAATACTACAATATATATTCTTATTTTGCCATTTTAACAGATGAGAGACATTAGGTATGTAAGATAACATGAAAAGCATTTTACCAGATTCTACTTAGAAATTATGGAGCCTGAATTTTTACCTGAGGAGCACAACTTCAAAACCTGTGCTTTTAGTTGCTCTCCTATTCTGTTTTTTTCTGAAATTTTTAATTTTTCAAATGTTCTATAATTTTATCATATAAAAATAACTTATTTTTGGCCGGGCGCGGTGGCTCACGCCTGTAATCCCAGCACTTTGGGAGGCTGAGGTGGGCGGATCACGAGGTCAGGAGATCGAGACCATCCTGGCTAACACGTTGAAACTCCGTCTCTACAAAAAATACAAAAAATTAGCCGGGCGTGGTGGCGGGCGCCTATAGTCCCAGCTACTCTGGAGGCTGAGGCACGAGAATGGCGTGAACCCAGGAGGCGGAGCTTGCAGTGAGCCGAGATCGCACCACTGCACTCTCCGTCTCGAAAAATAAAAAAAAATAACTTATTTTTAAAAATTAGCTATGTAAGAGATGTCATCTACTACCATATCCTTTCTTAAATAATATACAGAAGACTAAAGCTCCTATGCCATTTAACTTATGTGATAAAATTGAACAATAATAAGCATTATTTTAGAAAGGTAATGTTCTTTTTTTTCTGTTTATAATAGCATTAAAAAACATATTTTCAGCACCATTGTTTAATATATAGTAGATATTTCTTGAACTAGTATTTTCTAAAGTTTAGAATTTTCTGTTACATTTAAATGTTTAAAAATAACTTTATATTTAAAAATTTTGAATAATTTAAAAAATCAAATTACATTTTAATTATATTTAGTGTTCTGATTTTGATACTTTTTATATTTTATATATTTTTAAAAATAGTATGAAAACACATTTTATGAAGGAGAAATTTAATAGTTATCAATTAAGTAAAAATTCTTTTTCTATTATATTAAAATTTGTCACTCTTGACATATATATATATAGCCCCAAATATATTTTGCGTGTAGATTTTTAAAAAGGTAGATTTTAGAAAATTAGATATTTATACTTACGTTATCATTTACTTTTGTATGTTCTTGGGCAGTTCACTTATGTTTTTTGAGCCTCCATTTCTTTATTGTCTAATGAAGATAATCTCTGTGTGTGTATGTGTATACACATATATATACAAAACATACTGCATATATTTTTACAATTACAATAATATAAATATATATGCTAATAATTAAAATACTTAAGGTGTATCATTTAAGCTTATTGTGTGTATAACTTTATTTAATCATTGCAAGCAGCTAAAGTAATCAATCTACCCAAATCATAAGTGACCTGCCTAATGAAAAGTAAATGTTAACATGCTTAAAGCCATCATCTTAGAAAAGAAATTGTCATTCTACATATTCAATGGAAGTTGAATTAAGGTCCATTCTTAAAATACCTATTTCTAGACAACTACAAGAATGGGAAAACTGCAAGTGTTGTACTCTCACTTCTCTAATATTTGCTTGTACTAAGGGGATGAGCTGGTGCATCTGGGAATTCCAAAGTAGCCAGTCCTGCCACTAGTCATACCATAAAGGTAACACTGCAATTATAAGGCTTGTGTCCAACAACTATATTTGGAGTGGGCCAGTTTAATCAGCAACCAGTAAGATAAGCTGGTACCCAGGGGTAAGAGCTGGTATTTCCCTAATCATGCAGTTTATATTCCTAACAATTCAAAAGTCAATATTCTAATTCCAGAATAGGATGCCATGAAGAATAAGATTCCTTGGTTTTTATTCTCAGTTTTAGAAAGCTTGGTCAAGAGTAACCAAGGGGTACGACTCTTCTGAGGGGAGATATTAATCTACTTCCTGATCAAATTTTTATGCCCAAGGAACAGAAACATAGGGTACCCTCTCTTCTCCCAACTGAAAAATCTGCCCTATCTTACTGATATCTTAAATAAAAATAGAAAATAATACAGGAGGGCACAAATCAACCAGAAGAGAAAAATTTAAAGAACTTCAAAATTTTATTCCTCATCTTATGTGTTCAGTGTAATGGAAGTGTCATTGGTATAGGTGGTCTGTAGGAGTTTGCTCATTAAAAACTCCTTGAAATGACAGAGTCATCTGGTGACTCAGATAGGATATTTATAATTTATGCAGTCTCATATTGGAACACTCTTAACAGCTCACTAATCAACATACGGCTATCCTACACAAGACGTAATGATAATCCAGTGTCCTATGTCAGCAATTCTGCTGTGTTTCTATGATAATGACAGTAAACAGCCTTACAATCCCTATGGGTTGAAAAGGTACAGTTTACTGAAGGTGTACTGTATGTTGCTGTATTAGTCCATTGTCATAGTGCTATAAAGAGCTGCCCAAAGCTGGGTAATTTATAAAGGAATTAGGTTTAATTGACTCACAATTCAGGATGGCTAAGGAGGTCTCAGGAAACTTACAATCATGGTGGAAAGTGAAGGGGAAGCAAGGCACCTTCTTCACATGGCAGCAGGAAGAAACAGTGCTGAGTGAAAGGAGAAGAGCCCCTTATAAAACCATAAAATCTCATGAGAACTCACTCACTATCATGAGAATAGCATGGGGTAAACCACCCCCATGATTCAATTACCTCTACCTTGTCTCTTTCTTGACAAGCGGGGATTACAATTCAAGACGAGATTTGGATAGGGACACAAAACCTAATCATAACAGATGTTTATTAGTTACACTTGGGAATGAGGTGTGTGAACTGAGAAGTGTCAATTTGTCTAAAACTGATTCCTTGCAATGTAATCTTCCAGAAAAGTCCCTGGACTTCTGTAATGTTCAAAGGAAAATTTCTATGGCCCAGTACTGAAGAGAATAAATTTTGATTTTGATCATCTTTAGGATCTCTATCACAAATCCTCTAAAGTGCAGGAGAATGGCTTGTGCTTCTCCCACCAAAACACTATTTTGGGGAATGTTCCCACTAGCTTGTTATGTGATATGTGCAAGACATAGCCACCAGCTCGCTAATCGTGGCAGGGGACGGTCTAGGAAAAACCCAAACAATAAATATTGAGAAGACAGGATAATTCAAGAGTAATGATTTTGCTTATATCATATTTGTATCTTAACCACAGAATCCTTAATCATTCAGCTTAAGATCTCTGTATTGGATATCAGGCCCTGCTATATGCCTTTGGGCTTCCTTAGAGTGAATGAGTAGTTACAGTCTCAAATGCCTGTGGCTGGTTTTGTCAACATAAGTTATCTGGACAAAACAGCAGGCTTGATGTGAGTATTACATAATCAATTTCTGCTTGTTTTAATTATTCAAAGTTACTTGGAGGGTGATTGTGGCAGAGACTGTGAGTAGCAAGTAGCCTGCAAAATCCACATTTTTCTTTTTTCCTTATTAATAAAGTTCTTATTTTTGGGGGGGGTAGCAACTCATCCCACAGGTAGAGATGGCCAAGTGACATAGGTTTGGCCAGTGAGATATAAAAAGAGAATCACTGGGTAAGATTTTGGGAAGGCAGACTCAGATGGCAACCCATTTTGCCCTTTGCTCTTCTCCTTTCTGGCTGCCTGGAGATGCTCAAAGGAGCTCTGGCAGGCATCTGAGAGCAAAAGATGAGGTCATACTCTAATGTGGAGTGAAAATCTAGGACACTGGGTACATGATGAGAACATATCACCTTATACTTTTGATTTTTTAAATATGAATAGAAAAAAATTTTTGATTCATGATGTTCTTGACTTTCTGGCATAATCAACTGAATTTGATTCTAATATATAGCATAATGAAGGCAAGATTTCAATCTAGGTAATGTGGCTTCTTCATCTATATTCTTAAAGAAGTTATACATCTACAGAGGTTACCCTAACATTAAAATAAATGCATACATATTGAAATTGATAAATACATACATATTGAAATTTATAAATAAATACATGATGAAATTTAAAAATGTTATGTAAATGTGCATTCTTGTTTTTCACATACAAGCTATAAAAATAGAAAATAATACACTAATAGCCACAACTGTAACATTTCCATTTTACCTTTAAATTACACTGTATATTATACTCTTGTATATTATACAAGAGTAATGTACATTATATTAAAATGTTAACAAAGTTCCCTGAAAAATAAATCAGAGCCTTAGTTTTAACAATCTTGCAGATAGATTGGTAGATTTCCTCATGACTTTGTTTCATTTAGTCACTGTACATTTTACCTGTCATGATAGGTAAAGTGATGAAATTTAAAAAAAAACTTTAATAAATATAACATTAGATGCTGTGGTTATATATTTTCATAATATTCTGATTTTATTTTCTCCTTACATATTACAAATATTTATTGACTAAAAAAGCATATTTAATAGATATTAATGGCATAGTTCATATTCTCAAGTATACATTGTGGTAGAGTGCTTAACATTTGAAAAACTTTTGGTAAGTGAATTCTGACAGTCTTTACTATAATAAATATGGTACTATTGGATAAATATATATGAGAATAAATGAATAAAAGTATGAATAGCTTAAGTGATTCATATTTCAACTAAAAATAACACTGAATTAAATGAAGACATTTGAGGTTTCTGACTCCTTCACGATGTTTTAACATAAAAAATTTCTTCTAAAAAACTTCAGTGGCTCACGCCTGTAATCCCAGCACTTTGGGAGGCCGAGGCGGGCGGATCACGAGGTCAGGAGATCGAGACCATCCCGGCTAAAACGGTGAAACCCCGTCTCTACTAAAAATACAAAAAATTAGCCGGGCGTAGTGGCAGGCGCCTGTAGTCCCAGCTACTTGGGAGGCTGAGGCAGGAGAATGGCGTGAACCCGGGAGGCGGAGCTTGCAGTGAGCCGAGATCCCGCCACTGCACTCCAGCCTGGGCGACAGAGCGAGACTCCGTCTCAAAAAAAAAAAAAAAAAACTTCAATATGATGTTTCAGTTGATGTATTACAAAGACATTGTAACACCTAATATCAAATCTAATTTCATATATGAGTTTAAAGTACAATTTATACATTAGAATACCTTATGTAATTGAATTTGAGCAATATCTCAACTCATTTTACTCACACTACACGAGTGATTTAAAAGAAACATTCCTAACATAGGTATTTGGTTTGGAATTAACAATAATTATTACCATCACCACCTACCCCAATTTCCCAGAGCATGTTTTTTGCATCAGATAACTTTACACTTTCTCATTAATAAGCAGATTAGGCACTTGTTATTTCAGACATGAATCCTCAATGTCATGAAACATATTATTTATCATTGTGTTATAATATTTTTGCATTTAATAAACCATTGGTAAGGAGTTGACACCTCATTTGGTTAGAATTTTATAGTGAACACCAATAACTTACTTGATGCCATGTTTTTCTGTGCCTTTATTTCCAAGACAGTGTAAAGAACAGTAAGAAATGCTAACATTGTTATTGATGAAAAAAATAGTGATAAAAACATTAAAATCACATCAATTTTTACTTTTCTCAATAATACCTAATGGGATAGGTTGCTTAATACATGGTTAGGATTGTGTCATTTTTAAAAATTATGTAACACACAATAGTTTATTATCTATATTATCAATAGATTTTTTTAAAAAATAATTAGCCTGAGATTAAATCTGGTCTTCTAATATATATGTATCTGTACTTGGTGGTTAAAAGCACATACTTTATTCAAATCCTTTACTACATACCTTAAGGAAGACCTTAAGGAAGACATCATTTAAGGGGAATAAAATTCCCCTTTACCATTTTTAAATTAACAATAAAATTATATTTTTTTGAGACAGGATCTTGCTCTGTTGCCCAGGCTGCAGTGCACCATGATGGAATCATGGAGGTGCACTGCAGCCTTCATCTCCCAGGTTCCAGTTATCCTCCCTTCTCAGCCTCCTAAGTAGCTGGGACCACAGGTGCACACCGCCATGCTTGGCTACCTTTTTGTACTTTTTTGTATTTTTTTGTTGAGATAGGGTTTTGCCATGTTGCCCAGGCTAGTCTGGAACTCTTGAGCTCAAGCTATCCTTCTGCCTCAACCTCCCAAAGTGCTGGGATTACAAGACTGAGCCACGCATCCAGCCAGAATTGCTTTTTTAAATTAAACTCTTTTTACTGTGTAATATTCTGGATGCACTTACAGTTTTAAGAAGCAATGCAGAGAGAACCCATATACCCTTTAATATTTGGCCTAATTATAGTACAATACCACAATGAGAATATCGACATCGAAAATATAGGACATTTCCATCATCACAAGTATTCCTGTCATTACTCTTTTATAGCCACACTTACTTTCCTCCTACCTCACTCCCTTATTATCCTCTGGCAACCACGAACCTGTTCTCTAGTTCTATAATTTTGTAATTTCAAGAAGGTTATATAAATGGAATTGTCTGATATGTAACCTTTTGGGGTTGACCTTTTTCACTCAGTGTAATTCTCTGGAGATTCATCCAGATTGCTGCAGGAAATAGTTCCTTTATACTGCTGAGTAGTATACTATGGCAAGGATGCATCAGCACAGTCTGCTTAATCATTCACTCATGAAGGAACAACTCAGTGTTTCCAATGTGGGGCTATTACAAATAAAATTACCTTCTTGTGTAGATTTTTGTTTGAACTTAATTCTTCATTACTCTTAAATAAATATCCGGGAGTGTAATGGCTAATTTTGTAAAGCAAAAAGCAATTTTTTAAATGCAACTAGATAGTATTTTACATTATTTTTCTCTGAGAAAAAATAAGTTAATTTTTCTTTTTCGGTGACTGGCATTGTCCTTACTTTTCCCCATATTGAATATGCTGCAAGGGCTTTTCACTTATCTTCTAACAGTTACATAAAGCATGTGTTTGTTTATGCCAGAAATATCATTTATTGTTAGGTCTGAATTTAAGTGAATTATTTTTCCATTTGATTAAATAACACTGTATTTGACACCAAAAACTTGGTTCAGTGCCAGATCATTTCTCAATATACCTATCAGCTAATAGATTTTGACTCTATCCAAAAACTGTCAGTTAAGTGTCATTTTAGGCATAATTTTAAGATTTTATTTTATAATCTACTTGTATCTCAGACAAAAATGTATACCTAATATGTATTTGTAAGTTGAATTTTTGCCATTATCTTTTCTTCAAAGGATCAAACAATTATAGATGGTCTTCTTGTTCTCATACACACAATTTAGTTGAACGTATAGGTGCATCTATCAAAATAAATAAACTTTCTTCAGGTGCAATATTATGAACTGAGAAAGACCTAGAGAGGTTATTAACATCTTGTGTTAAAATGAAGAGAGGAAGATGAAGAGGTAAAACAGGAATAAGAGAAAAAGCTTCTTTTAAATTAAATATGAAATTATGACATCTTACTTTGCTACAGTCTCTTTTGTATACATACCACACTGGTATTCCCTAGTGAGGTCACAGTGTTAGTTTGGTGCAAAAGTAATTGCAGTTTTTGCCATTACTTTTAATGGAAAAAATCGCAGTTACTTTTTCACTAACTAATATAATATGGACTAGGCAATGCAACAAATTTCAAGCATGTAGGTGTTTTGTATAAAAAGGAAGCATGTCCAATGCACTATGACAATGTGGAAAAGGCACTTATTACAGGCTGGACTGTGTAAGAACGGGGGTGTTGCCAAAGGAGACTTCTTAGAACTGGAAGCAGTTGAACTGAGTGTTGAAGGATAAGAATGAGACAGCACAGAAGAGACTAAAAGCTCTCCAGAAAGAGAAAGCAACAGGTACAAACAAACAGGCAAGGAAAAAAACGTGTGTGTTTAAAACTTTAGTAGTTTGGTAACATCAGAGTAAAAATGTGTGTGAGATATGTGAGAAAAATGATGGAGTGATAGAACAGGGCTTTTCATATCATGCTGACAGGCTTGTGCCATGTCTTCCAGGGATTTTTAAAAGAATGATAAGTGTAGATTTATTTTATACATAAATCACTTAGGTCAGAAAAATGGAGGATAAATAGGAGGTAAGCAAAAATAAAGATCAAGAGTTCCATGATGTGTTGATTGTAACAATCAAATTAGAAACTTATGTAAATAATATAAGCCAAAGATCTGAACTAAAACAGACTGAAATTGGTATTAAGTGAAAAACGACGGTTTAGAGACATATTTAAAAGGTGGATTCAGCCAGAGTGATGCTGAGGGAAAGGAAGACATTCTAGATTGCTTATGACTTGAGTTTATGATCTGATTGAATGGATAGATCGTGATGAAGTTTTAAATTTAGGAGAACGAGCCGGTCGCGGTGGCTCACGCCTGTAATCACAGCACTTTGGGTGTCCGAGGGGGGCGGATCACCTGAGGTCAGGAGATCGAGACCAGCCTGGCTAACATGGTGAAACCACGTCTGTACTAAAAATACAAAAAAATTAGCCAGGCGCGGTGGCGGGCGCCTGTAGTCCCAGCTACTCTGGTGGCTAAGGCAGGAGAATCGCTTGAACCCGGGAGGCGGAGCTTGCAGGGAGCCTAGAAAGCGCCACTGCACTCCAGCCTGGACGACAGAGCGAGACTCCGTCTCAAAAAAAAAAAAAAAAAAAAGTAAAAAATAATAACTAAATAAATAATAAAAATTTAGGAGAACAGCAGGACTGAATTAAAAGAAAATGTAGACCCTGTCACTCAAGGTTGGAGTTGTTTTCCTGGTGTTTCTGAACCCCCAGCAAAATAATGCCGTAGAGGACGTTACTGTTGTAGAACTGTTCAGAAGTTGCTTGCATTGTCATGGTGTCGCTGCTTTCAGGAGGCCGTTTCTAACTAAATATTTGCAATAAAGAACCTAGGAGCTCACTACATCAAGAATTTCTGTATATATGAATAACTATGCCAGACCCGCATATATTTTAAATTATGCCTTCAATTTTTCCTAAAAATATTTTTAGAGTATACCTGTTACATCTGCATAGCTATTGACTACCTGGACTCTCTTAAATACGGTCACTAATACAGGTAGTACTTATGTCACAGACGTGTAGTCTGATAACATCTCTTAATTATTGGTGTTAATAAACCACAGATAGAGATTAATGCTTTATTGTGATAAACATGTCTGTTTGAAACTAGGTGAAGTGCCCATTAAAGTAAAGCATAATTCTATTATCACTAGAAACAAGAAAAGTAAAAAGAACCAGTTAAAATATTAAAGTTTATTCAATATATAATATCTGAAAAGATAACCTATGAAAATCTCTGGATGAATAGGTGTAGCACATTCATAATTAGGAAGCAAATACTATAAAAATGTCTATCCTTACAGAAGTAATTTTATTCCTCAAAAAATCACCAAGTAAATTTCCAAACATAAAAAATGAATCTAAATTTTATTTAAAAAATATTATTGTAAGACTGCAGTAATTCTGTGTAAAATATGCAGGTTTTAGAACATTCAAGTAGTTTTGTCTTTTCAGATATTACTGCAAGGCATCATTTGTATGAACGTTTCTTCATATGTGAGATTGTGTCATTAAGTCACACAATATGCGACAAAGATTGTCAGATAAATCAGATAAGAATTTTATGTAGTTATATATACATATATATTAACATGTATCTATATGTTTATATGTGTGTGTGTATACACACACACACATATAAACATATAGAATATTACACAGGCACTTCTGCATGAAATATTTCTTCCCAGTGTTGAATCTGGGCGGACTCTGCTATCTGCTTTAACCAATGAAGTGCGGCAAAAAGTGATGCTGTGCCAGTTTAGGGCAGAAAATTTAAGATTATCTGACAATTTATTAGGAAGTTAGTAGCCATGTTAAGTCAACAACTCTGAGACTACTATACTTAGACAGATAAAGGAAGTCTTAGGTAGCTGAGACAGCCACACGTAGAAACCGCAGGGAGGAGAACTGAAGATCTCTTCTGGACCAGAGAGAACTCTTGCCCCAGCTGAGAGTGCTGTGAGAGCTCCCAATCGATACCCAGCACCAGATTACCAGCACTGTGATTGTGTCATCTTGGAAATGGATCCTGACTAGCTGCAGACATTCAAACCACTCACTCTAATTGATGCACCAAATGTGTGGGAATAATCTTGAACTTTCATGATGTGATGTGGAAAGTATTTATGTTTACAATGCCCTATCCAAATCCCTAACCAAAGAATAATGAGCAAATATGACAGTTGTTTGAGTTCACTATACTGTGAATATTTTCTTAAGCAGATATATTAATTTTCTGGGGCTGACATAAACAAACAAACAAACAAACAAAAATAATCATTTTGAGGCCTTAAACACAGAAGTTTATTTTCTTGAAGTTACAGATGCTGGAAGTTCCAGATCAAGGTGTGGGCATATTTGGTTTCCCCTGAGGCCTTTTTATTGGACTTGCAGACATCTGCCTTCTCACTGCATTCTTGCATTGCTAGTTGCTCTTCCTCTTCTTATAAGGGCTTCAGCCATATTGGATTAGGACCCCACCCTTTTGACATTATTTAATCTTAATTATCTCTCTAAAGGTTCTATATCCCCAGTGCAGCGACATTGGGAGTGAGCATTTCAACATGCAAATTTGGAGATGGGGGAACATAGTTCAGTCTATAACAACAGATACAGATAATTAAAAAAATTAATACCTAGAGGCTGGGCATTTTGGGTCAAACCTGTAATCTCAGAGCTTTGGATAGCTAAGGCAGGAGACTGATTGAGGTCAGTAGTTAGAGACCAGCATGAGCAGTCTCTAAAATGAATAATAATTTAAAAAATGGCCAGGTGTGATGGCACACACCTGTGGTCCTAGCTAGAGGATTGCTTAAGCCAAATGTTTGAGGTTACAGTAAGCTATGAATGTCCCACTGCACTCCAGCCTGGGCAAACAAAGACCCTTTCTCTCAAAAAAAAAAAAAAAAAAAAAAAAAAAAAAAAAAGGTAGGGAGGAAATTGCTATTGAGGCAGAAGAAAATGTTTTCACTGGTGAGACTATCACTTGTAGTAGTATGGAAGATAAAATATACATTTAACAAACTTGTGAACTTATAGAGTTGGCTAAAATAATTTCAATGTAGACATTAAAAGTGCCAATTAGTTTTTTAGTTTTATTCATGTGTTTCTCAGTACATTTTGTTGTAACAGAATATCACAGAGTGGGCCAGGCACGGTGGCTCACGCCTGTAATCCCAGCACTTTGGGAGGCCAAGGTGGGTGGATCACGAGGTCAAGAGTTTGAGACCAGCCTAGCCAACATGGTGAAACCCCATCTCTACTAAAAATACAAAAATTAGCCAGGAGTGGTGGTGTGCACCTATAATCCCAGCTACTCAGAAGGCTGAGGCAGGAGAGTTGCTTGAACCCAGGAGGTGTAGTGAGCCGAGATTGCGCCACTATACTCCAGCCTGGGTGACAGAGCAAGACCCTGTCAAAAAAAAAAAAAAAAAAAAAAAAAAGAATATCACAGTATCACACATGGGTAATTTGTAAACAATAGAAGTTTATTTGGCTCACAGTTCTGGAAGCTGGAAAGTTCAAAATCGACGGGCCTAGCCCAGTGAGGTTCTTCTTGCTGTGTCATTCCATGGTAGAGGGTGGAAGGGCACATGAGCATAAGCATGCAAGAAAGACAGGAAGAGGGTAACCCCTCCTTGTGATAAGGAAACCATTCCCACCATAATAGCATTAATCCATTCAGGAGGCTAGATCCTTCATGACATAATCACCTTTTAAAGGTCTTACCTCTCAACACTGTTGTGTTAGGGATTAGGTTTGCAACACATGAACTTTGGAGGACACATTGAAACCATAGCAGTGTGTATTTTTTTTAAATTACCTAAATGGGATAAGGTATATATTAAAGTGAATGAATTAATGAAAGAACTGATCACTTTCAAGCAGAATTTAAATAAAATATTTTCAAACCACTTTTTATTATTGGAAAATAAAACTGTTTCTCAGTTCTAATTTATTGAGCCAGCTTGAGGTTCTCAAAATGAGAAATGTCTTAGCACAAAGTAAAATCAGGGAACTGCCAGTAAAAGTCATCTTCACAATGAGATTCCTATGTAACCTTTAATCAAAACCTTAGAAAGATCTAAGGAGGGGCATCAGCATCAAGACCCTCTAAACTGTATAATAAAACCTTTCAAAATCTTAAGCCGCCTGACTTTGAGCCTAAAGTAGAGGAGAATCTATCTCAGGGAGGTGTGAGTGTGTGTGCATGCGCGTGTGCGTATTTTGTCTACTGGAGAAGATTATAACTTAGTACGTAGGAAACACACATATTGGTAAAGAAAAACACATTTGCTTGGACAAAAAGGGTTTGAGAAATTTCCAAATGAAAAGAGGTTTTAGGCCTGCAACTCTATCTGAACAGAAAGCAGTTTGAGAAAACTACTCAGCTGCAAGCCTAGGGCAAATTTTTTAAGGGAGGGTCAGGTGGAAAATATGATTCAGAAGGAAGAGTCAATAACCATAGAATCATACAGAATCCAAGTATATCCAAATATATCCAGTGATCATATAGAACTATTCATAGGAATAAAATAGGGCCCTATTAATAACTGTGTTCAGCCCTAATAATTGGGCCCTAATAGTACATGTTGGTTCAGCTGGATTTAAGAATTATTACGGACTAACAGCTGCTATGTGCCTTTCATCAACCAACCTTCATCATGAATAAAAATGTTAAAGTTATGTAGTTCTTATCTCAAATATGTTGGATATGTGGAAAGAAAGTAACTTGTCTGCTAAATTTATAGATTATCACTTTAAAAATTACCATACTTGAGTGGTCTTACCCAAACCTGGACCTGACTTACAAGATGAGATCTGGGACTTCAAACCTGAGCTTCATGCTGTAATAACATGAGATTTTGAATTCCTTTGGTGGGTAGTTGAATGTGTTTTGCATAGGTTAAGTCAAACATTAGTGGGGGGCCAAAGATCAACCTATTGTAAATGTTTATATTGGTGGTCCCAGTGAATAATGCTTCCTGGTATTTACATTAGTGTAGAACTTCCACTGCCCCCCCTCCTGTCCAAGTTGAGCTGGTGATCTGCTTTAATTAAATTATGTGTCATTTCTGGACCTAAACCAGAAGAAACTTTGGCAGCTTCTGCTTTTTGCACTTTTAGAAGCAAGCAACCACATAAGAAGTACAAATATCCTGAACCCATCATGCTGTGAAAAAAACTAATATCACCATGCACCAGAGAACTGAGAAGCCCAGTTGACAATAAGCATACTTTTTTCAGTTGTAAGTCTCTGTTGAGCTTCCAGCAAACAGCCAGAACCATCTTGATAGTCATGTGCATGAGACATCTTGGAACCGAATCATCCTATCCCAGCTGATACATTCTAACTATTCCTCAAACACAGAAGCAATCTTAGCTGAGTACATATGTCAAACAAGAAGTAATCTTGAGCATTTCATCCCCATCAGGCATCAACTGGAGCAAAGATAAACTGCACCTGCAATGTCCTATTGATGTTCCTAATCCATTGAATAGGAAACAAATGAAACGGTTATGCTAACCCACTGTGTTTTGGGATACTGTGCTGTACAGGAATAGGTAATCAAAATATTCTGATGAAGTGCTGATAACAGTAACTCATACAATTCTTATGATTATAAAGGTCAAACTAAGTAAGAGAACTGATGAATAAAATTTCTCATGTCAAGAAATTTGTAAGGCTGCTGTAATAAAGAGGGACCTCTTTTTCAATTTTTTTTTGTAATTCTTCAGTTATAGTTCCATCTGAAATGATTTGGCATGTAGCCATATAGTATTTTCTACTTTTAAAAGATAAGCCTCTATTTAAATAAAAAAGTATAAACCCACTGGTTTTTACTTCAGTCTTTCTAAGATGTACACTATTGGCCTTCTGAATAAACTAAGCTGGGTTACTCTTTTAGGCCTAGCCTTAGAAATAACTTTTCTTCTGTAGATTCTTTATCACTTTATGAATAATTCTGTTGAGAACAACCTACTGCTGTTTGCAGCTCTTAATATTTTTTCTTTGTCTTTCTCGTTTGCGTAAGCTTGGATTAATAATTCAGATTGTCTTTTGGTTATATATGTCCTATGCTAAGGAACTTAACTATTCATTTTTCTACATTTTGATAATATAATTCCCTGGCCTCTGAAATCAACTTCTGAAAAATATTAACAACTAATACAAACATATCTCAGAATCTACCAGATTGAAGACTGGAAATTTACATTTATAAAGCGCTGTGGTAGATTCCAGTATACACCTAGGATAGAGAGCTACTGTCCTAGATATCATAAAGTTTATCCTCATGTCAAGCCATACTTAAGACATATGTATATTTATATTAATAGTAATTCATAATGGTCCTTCACAATGCTAGTTGATTAATACTAATAAGCATCAGTACATAACTAATAATACTAGCCTTTATAATGATATCCAATATTGATAAAAATGTGACACATAAGAGTAATTTTGGAGAAATAATTAGATATTGTCTTGCATTTAAGATTTCATTCTAGTGGGAGGTAGAGAGAAGATACATTTTCTGAAATATAACAATAGAAGACAGTTTAATTCATATGGACAATAAAAAGGATATAACAAATTTTCTAGGGTTTTCAACAAGATAAAAAATTAGGTGAGAATGAGACAAGAGATGTCTGATGTTTAATGGTGCATAGAAAATAGAAAAGAGAAGTCCAATAAGCTATTAAATTTGAATTGAAAAGATAAAATATTGTTACAAATATTTTATACTGTGTGACATATGACATTTTTATTGTCATAGAATCAAAGCACAGGTCAACTTTTAAAAATTTTTTGATATAAGCAAAGAAACACCTGCTTTTGCCATTTTGTTATTTGGACTTGAAATCAAATTAAAGTGTATCCATATAAATATGCAGACATTGATACAGACAGAAATGCACATAGGAAATAGATATTGTAAGAGATTCATTGCATGAATAGTCTATTTTTCATTCCACCTCGTATCTATACCCCTTGACACTATCTACCCACACTCATTCTGGGCTTCATTATTGAATTATTTTGGCCAGTCGGAAGCTTGAGAAAGCACTTTTGCTTTTACATTTTTTTTCTTTTTGGGTTCCTCACAACACTATGAGTACCTACTGAGAGCAGACTAATGGAGCAATGTGAGCAACAAGTGGAGTCATCCCAGCTAGGTCATCCTAGAGCAACCAGCCTACACCAAAGAGTCAACTTCTGCAAATAACTGAATGAGTCTAGCAAAGATTAGCTGAGTCCAACCCATGCCACTGTACCCTCAGAGTCCACCAGGGCTCATGTGTAAAAATAACTTTTGTTGTTGTAAAGCACTAGGTTTTAGGTGGTTTGTACTATGACATTATTGTGAAAATTGATAAAGTACTCCAGAAGTGAGAGCAAAAGTTCAGCAAAAAATGAGCTGGCAGAAGAGTGTGCTAAGGAAAAGAAATAATGTTTTGTAAAGACTCATGTGGAGGAAAGTTTAGTTTGCTGGAGAAAACCAGCCCAAGGTATGTGGACCGTGTTATATGATTTGAGATTGGGAGAGATTCATTACTTTCCTGCATAGGTACCATTAATTTACAGATTTAGAAGCCATTTTTGATTCCTGGAATATCATAACCTGTTAATTGTTTGAACCCCAAGTTGTTAGTAGTCACATGATTTAAATTTTCTACCGAAATTTCAAATGTGTTAGGAATCTCCCCAAAACGTTATATTACTGCCTCAGAAAACTATTCTCTGTAATTGGGTTGCCAAATGTAGGAAGAATAATTATTTATAAAGTCTCTTGGAAGCAACAACACTCCTAAATGAATATTTGAAATTCTCATTTGACTTTGCAAACTTCATACAGTCACAATAAGCTCAGGAGTCCTCATAAGATATTGAATAAAACAAAATGTCCAACAAGATTTGAAACTATATATTCTTTAAGATGAATACACTGAAGTTTCAAAAATAAACACAAATTTATTCGTTCACTAACATAACTTTTAAAAAAATAATATTTTTTATGCCTTTGTTAAATTATTATTCATTCATTCTTACATGCTTAGGTATTATGGTAGGCACTGGAAATATGGTGATGAACATAATAAAACACTGACAAGAATTTACCATGAACAGCATAATTACATGCATATTGTCTCATTAGTCATGACAAGCAAAATGTATCTGTAAGTGGTTGTAAAGTCCTTAAAAATGCAAATGTAAAACTTAGATTTTTAGGAAAAAAGACAATGTAACTATTACCAGATTAAAATATGCATTATCTACTATTACTGTACCCTGGCCACAATAATTATGGAATTGTTGAACTTAAAAAATTATTTTTAAGCAACACATTTAGTATTTAAATTGATAGTGTAGAAATGTAATTGTAATTTCCATTAATATGTTAGAATATAAGACTTTATGTCTGTGCATTCTTTCAACATCAATGCAAATAAAACACACATACCCACAAATGTCAGGACCTCAGCTAAACATCCACTCAGAAAAGAATATATCTACTTTTATTTACATAGAGAATAATCTGTATTGTTATAGGCATAAGTTTTATCCTGTCAAGCATGATTTTGAATGGTGTTCTTCATTGTGAAAAATGACAGGAAACACAAAGTTCAATACGTGTGTCTTATGTGAGAAAAAAGCAGAGAAAGAATTAGAGAAAAAATTTTGCACTACAGCCAAAAACATACTAATAACCCCAAATCAGTGAAAAATTCTGGCAACAATGCTAACAGTATTAATCAATATTATGTGCAAAATATATTAATTCACCTAATGCTATGTGTTGGTGTTTTATCTCATTGTATATTTGAATAAGCATTAATTTTTTAAAAAGTGTGCAAAATTGTATTATAATAAGGTTCAAATAAGATTTTTTTTATGCTGCTCTAGTCTATTTGGAACAATACAGTGTAGAAGAGGCCAGAATAAGGATTTATTACTTATTATCCATTGCTACGTTTTTAAGTTAGCCATTAGTATTTGTTCTTCTCAATATTTTTACAAAAACTAAATGAAATGATAATGAGAAGAAATGTTTTTGTTTTGATGCAATACTACTTACAACTGTAAGATTCAGGATATGTTTTTAGTATTTTTTCATTTCTTTCCTGAGGATAGCTGTTTATAAAAATAGGCATTAAAAATTTAGAACAATTTTATTTACAGATTCAATGCAATCCCTATGAAATTACTAATACTATTCTTCACAGAAATAGAAAAAAGAAAGAGTTCTAAAATTGCATGGAACACAAAAGACTCTTAAATGCCAAAGCAATTCTGGGCAAAATGAATAAAACTGGAATCATCACACTATATGACTCCAAAATATACTACAAAGCTATAGTAACCAAATTGGCATGGCACTGGCATAAAAATAGACATATGTGCTCAACATCACTCCTTGTCAAGGAAATCCAAATCTAAATCCCAAGACAGCATCTTACCCCATTTGAATGTCAATAATCAAAAAGACAAAAAAAGTGATAAGAATGAGAAAAAGAGAAAAAGGAACTTTTATATACTGTGCTTGAAATGTAAACTAATACAGTCATTATAGAACACAGTATGAAGTTTCCTTCAAAATTTTAAAGTAGAACTACCATATTATCCAACAATCCCATTACCCAGTACTGGGTACATATTCAAAAGGAATTAAATTATTATGTCGAAGAAATATCTGCACCCCCATGTTTATTGCAGCAGTATGCATGATAGGCAAGATATGGACTCAATCTATATATCTATCAAGAGATGAATAAAGGAAATGTAATATATATGCACAATGGAATATTACTCAGCCACAAAAAGAACGAAATTCTGTCATTTGAGGCAATGTCAATGAACCTGGAGGACACTATGTTAGGAAAAATAAGTCAGCCATGGAAAAATAGATACCAAATTTTCTCATTCATGTGGAAGTTTAAAAAGTTAATCTCATAGAAGCGGCTACTAGAGGCTGGGAAGAGTAGTAGGAGGAGGAGGGATAGGAACAGATTGGTTAACATACACGAACTACAGCTAGATAAGAGGAATAAGTTCTAGTGTTTTATAGCACTGTAGGATGAGTATACTTAACAATAATTCATTATGCATTTTCAAGTAGCTAGAAGAGAGGATTTTGAATGTTCCCAATACAAAGAAATGATAAATGCTTTAGGTGATATGCTAATTCCCTGACATGATCATTTCACACTGAATATATTAATATGTACCAAAATATCACACTGAATACACAGTTATCATACACACTGCATCCAGTCTCTGCAATATTATCTTACATTACATCTTACTTTAGTATGGTTGATTTGAAACAATTAGTGAAACATCAATGAATTTTTCTCAGCTAAAATTCATACATTATTCAGATTTTTTCAGTTTTATTCCATAGTTTAAAGCTGATGTTCATTTCCTGTTTCAGGGTCCTATCCTAGATACCACATTAAATTTAGTCATCATAACTCCTCAGGCTCTGTTTGGCTGTGACAGGTTCTCCAGGTTTTCTTTCACTTTGATAGCTTTGACAATTTTGAGTACAAGACCGGTATTTTGTAGACATATCAGTGACTTTTCACTGTTGGTATTTTGATTGCCTTGTGGAGGCTGGGTTTGTCAGGTTTCTCCACTGTAGAGTTATTCTTTCTGTTCACATTTACAAATTGTACTTTCTGGAAGAAAGACACTGATTGCAGCCCACACGAAGGAGCATGCAATTATGCACCAGCTCCTTAAGGGTGAAATTTCCTCTTGTTTGGAATTCCTCTACACAGAAGACTTGTGTCTTCCGCATTTATATATTTACTCAATCATTTATTTATATAAGTATGAATTCATGATTATTTATTTTACTCTTTGGGATACAAATCTAATACTATTTTAAAATTATATCTTAATTTGTATAATTTTAGGGGCACAAGTGCAATTTTGTTACATATGTAGTTTGAATAGTGGTGAAGCCAGGGTTTTTAGGCTATCCATTGCCCAAATAATGTACTTCTTACCCATTAGTAATTTCTCTTCATCCACACCACTCTCACTCCCTCACCCTTCTGAATCTCCATAGTCTATTGTTCCACACTCTATATCCAAGCGTACACATTATTTAGCTTTCTCTTATAAGTGAGAACATGCAGTATTAATCTTTCTGACTTTTGTCACATAAGATAACCTCCAGTTCTATCCATGTTGCTGCAAAACACATGATTTCATCCTTTTTTATGGCCAAATACTATTCCCTTGTGCATATGTATCACGTTTCTTCAGCCAACCGTTTGTTGATGGCAATTTAGGGTGATTTTATATCTCCACTATTGTGAATAGTGCTGTGATAAACATATGCGTGCAAATACCGTTTTTATATAGCAGTTTCTTTTCCTTTGAGTAGATACCCAGTAGTGTGATGGCTAGATCAAATGCTAATTCTATTTTTAGTCCTTTGAGAAATCTTCATGCTGTTTACCGTAAAGATTATACTAATTTACATTCTCACCAACAGTGTATGAGAGTTCTCTTTTCTCCACAATTTTAATTTGTTGTTGTCATTGCTCAGATTGTTCTATTGTTAACCATTGGGTGAGTTTTCAATTGGTTCCTGTGTCTTTGTGACATAACCTTATTAATATGGGTATTTTATTTATCATTTTCTTACATTCTGGTACTACAAGGTGCTCTAGTTTCATCTTATATATTTCCAGTGCTGTCTTATAATCAGCCATTTCTCTAAGGAGCCCTATTTCCTTTTATTAGAAAATGGTATTAGAAACCAAGAACTGGGTGCTATTGTGTTCATTGTTTTTGGAGTATTCTTATATCTTCTCAGTCGAAAGAAAAAGGAACTGTTTGTGGGTATATGAACTCGTGCATATGCATATATCAACAAATAGTTTTATATGTAAGCATCTCTATTCATATTAAGCTAAACATAAGTTTATTCTGTGGTCTCCAAGTAATCCATTACTATGTGAATTATTTTAGCTGTTTCACTTGACATTCATTTACTTCATTGTTCCATTCCAGTATGCAGTTTTGGCAGCCTCAGAATTGTTAGGCTGAAATCTCCTGGGAAGCAACTTGATTACCTAGAGTATCATACTTCTGTTCAGGTTTCCTTTTATCCTAAAGTTTTACAGACTCCACTTATTTCCAGTTACTTAGAGATCAGTAGTTTCATAAATTTGTAATACACATATATTTTCTTGTCACAGTCTACATTCCTTTCTGGGATATTCAACTTCCTGACTTTAAAATTTGCATAATTAAAGCTCAATCTTTAACCTGTAATGTACTATGGGTTTTAACAAACGCATAATATATTGTATCCACCATTATAGTACCATAAAGAATAGTTTTGCTTTCTTAAAAGTTTCCCTGTGCTTCTCAACCTTCTCTTTTCTGCTTCATTCCTGGTTACCACTGATATTTTTACCATTGCCACAGCCTGCCTATTCTAGAATGTTACATCATTGGAATGGTACAATTAACATCCCTTTTAAACTGGAGTCTTTCATTTAGCAATGTGCATTTAAGGTTCATCCATGTCTTTTTGTGGCTTGAGACTCATTATTTTTTTTTACTGCAGAATAACATTTTATTTTATGGCTGTGCCACAGTTTGTTTGTCCATTAACATATTGAAGGCTATCTTTGTTACTTCCAGTTTTTGGATACCATTAATAAAGCATCTATACACATTTGCATGCAGGTTTTACATAGACATAAATTTTTAAAAATCAGTTGGATACATACCTAGGAACATGAATATTGAATTGTGTGGTAAGAACATGTTTTGCTTTAGAAGACAGTGCTAAACTGTTGTCCAAGGTTATGGTACCATTTTGCATCTCCACCAGCAATGAATGAGAATCCCTGTAGTTCTACATTCTTGCCAAAGATTGGTATTGTCAGTGTGTTATTTTATTATTTAAACCATTCTAACAGGCATATACTGAACTTTCACTAGAGTTTTAACGTGCAATTCCCTAATGACAAGTGACATTGAGTATGACTTTGTATGTTTATTTTCTATTTGTTTATGTAAGCTGAAGTGTCTATTTAGATCTTTTGCCCATTTTTAAATTGGGTTGCTTGTTTTCTAATTGTTGAGTTTTACAATATTTTTTGTATATTTTTTATTCAAGTCCTTTATGGGATATTCGTTTTGAAAAAAGCTTATGAGTCTGTACTTTAAATTTTTTAAACAGTATCCTTTGCTACTAAGATGCTGTTATGAGCAGTAGTTTTTAACTTAGTAATATCTAGTTTATCACTTTGTTTTTTCTGCCATGGGTTATTCATCTAGAAATATACTTAAAAGCTCATACAAATCTAAGATCACCAACATTTTCTTCTACAATTTTTTTTTAAATTTTATGTTTTACATTTAATCTGACAATCTATTATGAGTTAATTTTAGTGAAAAGTATAAGGTCTTTTTCTAGTTTTTTGCTTCTCTGTTTTGTTTTGCATAAGGACACCCAATTATTCCAATGCCATTTGGTGAAATGATCAGTCTTCTTTTATTGAAATGCCTTTCCTTTTTGTCAGGTGACTGTATTTCTGTGGGGCTGTATCTCAACATTTTTTCCTGTCTTAATGCTTTAGGTATCTATCTTTTCACGAGAACCATGCTGTCTTGTTTGCCTTAGCTTTGTGGTATGCCTTGAGATTGGGTAGAGTGTGTCTTCTAACTTTGTTCTTCTTAAGCGAAGTAGTATTGATTATTCTAGGTTTTTTGACTTGTCTTATAACCTTTAGAATCAGTATGTCTACACCAAGAAAAGTACAATTTGATGGGATTTAGAGAGAGATTTTGTTGAACATATGTATAATTGGTAAGAGTTGATATCTTAACAACATTGGGTATTCTGATCCATAAATAAATTATTATCTCTCTGTTTATTTAGATTTTTGTGTATTGCTTTTATTAGAGCTTTATAGTTTTCTACATGTATATGCTGTACATATTTTGAAAGACTTATACCCATTTCCTTTTTTGCGTGTGCTATTGTATTTTTAAATATCAAATTATAATTATTCATTACTGGCATATACAAAAGCAATTGACTTTTATATTTAAATCCTGTACCCTGTGATCTTGCTATACTCAGTTAATCATTCCAGAATTTCTTATTGTCATTTCTTTGGGGCTTTCCTCATTGACGTTCATGTTGTCCGCAAACAATGCAAGTAATTTTTTCTTGCTTTCTAATATGTAACCTTTATTTTTTTCTTATATTGTACTATGTAGGACTTCCAGAATATTATTGAGCTTCCTTCCTTCCTTCCTTCCTTCCTTCCTTCCTTCCTTCCTTCCTTCCTTCTCTCTTTCTTTTCTTTCTTTTTCTTCAGAGTCTCACACTGTTGTCTAGGCTAAAGTGGTGTGATCTCGGCTCACTGCCACCTCCACCTCCCAGGTTCAAATTATTGTTGTGCCTCAGCATCCTGAGTAGCTGGGATTACAGGTGTGTGCCACCACACCCAGCTAATTTTTGTATTTTTAGCAGCCACGGGATTTCACCATGTTGGCCAGGCTGGTCTCAAACTCCTGACCTCAGGTGATCCACCCACCTTGTCCTCCCAATCCCATGCTGGGGTTAGAGGCATGAGTCACCATGTCTGGGCTCATGATCTTTATGAAGCTGAGAAATCTTCTCTCTACTCAGTTTACTGAGAGTTTTGTTTCTTTGCTTGTTTGTTTTGCGTGATTGGGTGTTGGATTTGACATTTTTTTCCTCTGTCAATTGGTATTGTCATATGATTATTCTTCTTTGTTATGTTCATCAGTGGTGGATTACACTGATTTTTAAATATGGAACTAATACTACATATCAGAAAGAAATCACACTCAGTTTTTTTTGTATAACTCTTTTTATATACTGTTGAATTCAACTTGCTAATACATTATTAAGCATCCTTGCATCAGTATTAATGAGAAATACAGGCCAATTGTTTCTTTTAATAATATCTTTACCTGATTTGGATATTATAATAATATTGACTTTAAGAATCAGTTAGTAAGCATTTCCTCTATTTTCTTTTTCTGGAAGAGATTGTGAAGAATTGTTATCACTTCTTCATTTAGTGTAGGTAAAATTCAACAGTCAAATAATCTGAATCAGGTGCTTCCTTTCTTAAAATGTTTTTAATTATGGAATAATTTTCTATAATATTAATAAATCAATTCAGATTACCTATTTTTTCTTGTGTGAATTTTTGTGATTTTTTTCTTCCAAGAAAGGTGTACCTTTTATTAAAATAATCAGATTTGAGTGGACTAAGTTGTGTGTGGTAATTCTCTTAATATGACGATTCCTTTAATACATCAATAGTGATAACCTACCTTTCATTTATGAAATTGATGTGTGTTTTCTGTTTTATTTTTGTTTTTAATTTGGTTACTTTTGCTAGCAGTTGCTTTTCTTAATCTTAATAAACATATAATAGCTTCAAAAATTTATTTGTTATATTTCTGTTTTGTTATTTAATAAAAAATTAAATACAATTTTTGTTTACCTCTAATATTATTTATATTTATTTTCTGCTGCTTAATTGAAGGTTACTTTTCTCCATTTTCTCTAAATTCCTAAAGCAAAGTTTGTATTATTGATTGGAGATATTTTTTCTTTTCTAATGGAGTTTATGCATTCGACGCTATAAATTTCTAACTAAGTGCTTTTGTTGCAACTCTCAAATTTAGGTAAGTTAAATTTTTATTTTTTGGTAAATTCAAACTGTTTGAAAATATTTTTTGTGACTTACCTTTTGACTCATTTGCTATTCAGAACTTTGTTTTTTAATTTCAAAATATGTGTAACTATGCATTTCAGTAATATTTCTTTTTTGCATTTTTAAAATTAATTTTTATTTTTAATGTATATGGGTACATGGTAGGTATATATATTTATGAGATACATAAGATATTTTATACAGAAATGCAATGCACACTAATCACATCAGGGTAAATGGGGTATCTATCAACAAAGCCTTTATTCTTTCTAGGTCCTAAAAACAATCAAATAATACTCTTTTAGGTTATTTTAAAATATACGATAAATTATTATTGGCTGTAGTCACCCTCTTGTGCTATCAAATACTAGATATTATTTGTTCTATCTAACTAGATTTTTGTACCAATTAACCATCCTTATATCCCCTTCCACCCTCCAGCTAACCTTCCCAGCCTCTGGAAAGTATCATTCTACTCTATATCCATAAGTTCAATTGTTTCACTTTTCTTTTTTTAGGTTCCACAAATAAGTGAGGACACGTGAGGTTTGTCTTTCTGTGCCTGGCTTATTGTACTTAACATAACGTCCTCCAGTTCCATCCATGTTCCAAATGACAGGATCTCATTCATTTTTAGAGCTGAATAGTATCTGCTGTGTATACGTACCATATTTTCTTTATCCATTTCTCTGCTGATGGACACTTAGCTTGCTTCCAAATATTGGATATTGTGAATAGTGCTACAATAAACATGGGAATGTAGATCTATTTTTGATATACTTATTTTCTTTATTTTGGGTACATACCCAGAAGTGGAATTGCTGGATCATATGATGGTTCTATTTTCATTTTTTGAGGAAACTTCAAACTGTTCTCCACAGTGGTTGTACATTGTTTTTACATTGTACATTACATTACATTTACATGATTGCACATGTAATTTACATTCTCACCAACAGTGTATGAGAGTTCCCTTTCTCAAAAACCTCACCAGTATTCATTATTGCCTGTCCTTTGGAAAAAAAAAATGTCATTTTAACTCGGGTAAGATGATTGTAGTTTTGATTCTCATTTCTGTGATGAACAATGATATCAAGCATTTTTTCATATACCTGTTGCCATTCATATGTCTTCTTTTGAGAAATGTCTATTCAGATATTTTGCCAATTTTTAAATAAGATTATTAGATTTTTTCCTATAGAATTGTTTGAGAACATTATATATCCTGGTTATTAATCTCTTGTCAAATGAATAGATTGAAAATATTTTTTTCCTATTCTGTGGGTTTTTGATTGTTTTCCTCACCCTGCAGAAGATTTTTAACTTCATGTGATCCTATTTGCCCATTTTTGTTGTGGTTGCCTGTGCTTAGACCAATGTCCTGGAGAGTTTCTCCAATGTTTTCTTTTAGAAGTTCTATAGTTTGAGGTCTTCGATTTAAATCTTCAATCTATTTTGGTTTGACAGTTGTATATAATGAGGGGTGTAGTTTTATTCTTCTGCATATAGATATCCAGTTTCGTAGCACAATTTATTAAAGAAACTATCATTTCCCCAATATATGTTCTTGGCATCCTTGTGAAAAAATGAGTTCACTGTAGATGTGTGAATTTATTTCCGTGTCCTCTTTTCTGTTCCATTGCTCTGTGTGTCTGTTTTTATGCCAGTATCATGCTGGTTACTACAGCTCTGTAGTATAATTTGAAATTAGAAAATGTGAATCCTCCAGTTTTGTTCTTTTTGCTCAGGATGGCTTTGGATATTCTCGGTCTTTTGTGGTTCCATACACATTTTAAGATTGCTTTTTCTATTTCTGTGAAGACTGTCATTGGAATTTTGATAGGAATTGCATTTAATCTATACATTGTTTTAGGTAGTATGAATATTGTAACAATATTAATTATTCCAATGCATGAACATGGAATAAGTTGCAATTTTCTGTGTTTGTTCTTAAATTATTTGCATCAATGTTTTATAGTTTTCACTGTAGAGATATTTCACTTCCTTGATTAAGTTTATTTTCAGATATTTTATTTTGTTTATAACTATTGTAAATGTGATGACTTTCTTGATTTCTTTTTCAGAATTTTGCTGTTGGCATATTGAAATACTACTGATTTTTGTATAGTGATATTATATCTTGCAACTTTACTTAATTTGTTTATCAGTTCTAATAGTCTTTTGGTGGAGTTTTTAGATTTTTCCAAATACAAAATTATACCATTTGCAAAAAAGATAATTTGACTTCTTCCATTCCAATTTGGATGATCTTTATATCTTTCTCTTGTCTCATGGCTCTTGCTAGGACTTCCAGTACTATGATGAATAGCAATAGT
Organism: Homo sapiens; assembly: GCF_000001405.40. Classification (NCBI taxonomy): domain Eukaryota; kingdom Metazoa; phylum Chordata; class Mammalia; order Primates; family Hominidae; genus Homo; species Homo sapiens. The sequence goes on along the minus strand of NC_000001.11, from coordinate 190,819,701 downwards.
GAAAGTGGGCATTCTTGTCATGTTCCATGTCTAAGAGGAAAGGTTGTGAGATTTTAGCCATTTAGCATGATACTAGCTGTGGGTCTATCATATATACCTTTTATTATGTTTAAGTATGTTCATTTTATATGTACTTTTTTGAGAGTTTTTATCATGAAGGGATATTGCACTTTATCAAATGCTTTCAGCATCAGTTGAAATGATTACATGGCTTTTATCTTTCATTCTGTTGACATGATGTATCACATTAATTGACTTGTATATGTTGAATCATATTTGCATCTCAGGGATAAATCCCACTTGGTCATGATGAATATATTTTTAATGTGTTATTGAAGCTAGTATTTTGTTAAGGATTGTTGCATCAATGCTCATTAGGATTATTGGCCTACAGTTTTCTCTCCTTTTTTTTTTTTCTGTATCTTTGGTTTTGGTATCAGAATAATACTGTCCTGGAGAATGAGGTTGGAAGTACTACTTCTTCTTCTATTTTCCAGCATTGTTTGAGTAGGACTGGCATTAGTTCGTCTTTAAATGTTTAGTAAAACTCAGTAGTGAAGCCATTGGATCCCAGGCTTTTCTTTGATGGAAGAATTTTTTATTATGGTTTCAATCTCATTACTTGTTATTGGTCTGTTCAGGTTTTGGATTTCTTTATGGTTCAATCTTTGTAGGTTGTACATGTTTAAAAATTTATCTATGTCTTCTAGGTTTTCAAATTTATTGGCATATAGTTGCTCATAGTAACCACTAATGATCCTTTAAATTTCTGCAGTATTGGTTGTAATATCTCCTTTTTCATCTCTGATTTTATTTATTTTGGTCTTCGCTCTTTCTTAGTGTGGCTAAAGATTTGTCAGTTGTGTTTCGTTTCAAAAAGCCAACTTTTTATTTCATTCATATTTTGTATTGTTTTCTTTGTTCAGTTTCATTTACATTTGCTCTGATCTTTGTTATTTCTTTTCTTCTGCTAAATTAAGGTATGGTTTTCTCTTGCTTTTCTAGTTCTTAAGATGTATTATTAGGTGGTTTATTTGAAGTTTTTCTTCTTTTTGATATACATGCTTATAGCTATAAACTTTCCTCTTAGTACTACTTCTGGTGTATTCCATAGATTTTGCTATGTTCTGTTTCCATTATCATCTGTTTGAAAAATGTTAAGTTTTCTTCTTAATTTTTACATTCACTCACTAGTCATTCAGGAGTATGTGTTTGTATAGTTTCCCAAAATTTATCTTGTTATTGATTTTTAGTTTTATTCCATTATAGTAAGAGTAGATGCTTGATATTTCAATTTTTTGAATGTTTTAGACTTGTCACCCGTGATTTCGGAAATCACAATTTCTAACCACATTGGTAGAGATGTATTGTATCAAGAATAATTTCATCAGCATGTAATAACAAAAATGAATAATATTTCTTCAACTGTGACTTATCTATTGCTTATATACAAAGAGGTCATCAATTAGGCTGTCCCAGTTTGACTAGGAGGTTCAACTGGGTTTTTAACAGCCCAGAGTTTTTCAAACTTCTCTTTTACAATTTTTATTGATTTTACACCATTTCCCATTAAAACTAAAAAAGAAAACCAATGCATATAAGTAGAGTTAAAATATTTAGAGCTATAAATGTATTTAGCAGAAGAAACAGTTAATATAATGGAATTTGTTTAACATTAGCTAATGGAAATTATGGGTAGGGAGACCAGATTGAGTGAAATATTTTCTTAAATGTAAACACTTTCAAACAATTTTGCTTTCATTTGTGCACATTATATAATTGTAATACAATAATTACTAAGATTAAATAAAAGATATATAGCTTCAGTGAGAGAAGCAGGACCTTGGATCTCATTTTGCTTGTCTAAATAAAGACCCAGATGTGACAAGCCCTGTCTATTCCTAGCTCGAAGTACATCCAAGCTCATTGTCTAGAGTACTGAAATTCTTTGATCTTTTTAAATTATTATTTTAAAAGTAAATACTTTTAAAAAGAAAAGAAATATGGTGTGGGTATTTAAGTCATCCATAATTTAGCTATCTAGCAGGAACAACAACACATATATTACTGTATTTCATTACACTCTCTCTAACTAGTAAATACCTATATACTATGTAGGTAGGTAGACAGAATATTCTAAATAAACTTTTATTTATAATATTTAAATACTTTAAGGTTTATCACATATAATTAAATATTTTAAATAATAGAGCATGCAGCCAAAAAATAGATCCACATAAATATAGTCAATTGATTTTTGACAAAGGGATAAAGGCAATACAATGAAAAATAGATGGTCTTTTCAACAAATGGTGCTGTTAACAACTAACCATCCATTTCTGTGCCTAGATTCATTTGTTGCAAAACACAGGAATCTAGGCACAGACCTTATGCCCTTCATAAAAAACTAACTCAAAATGGATCACAGGCCTAATGTAAAATGTAAAACTGTAAAATACCTAAAAGTTAATTCAATATTTATTATTTAAGGATAATTTTAGGATTACTAAATATTTGTAAAATATTATCCCAAAAGTTTTATAGTGTATTAAAAAGACAATGTTTACTGTTTTTAAATACTCCCACTTCAAACTTGTGTTTTATTTTACAGCTTCACAATTATTAGAAAATCTGGAATTAATACATTTGTATAAAAGTGTTGAGATTTTTTTTCTCCTTAGGATAGATTTTTAGAAATATTATTAGTTATTTGAAGGATAGTAACACCAACCTCCAGTATATTTTATGGTCTTGTTTTGCCACATGGATACTGATGTACCTACAGCTGGATATATTAGAGACCTCAAAAGATAAGTAATTTGCATTGATAATTGGATGTCATCAAATAGTTTGTACATCAGAATGATGAGATATGAATGATTCTTACATTTTTAGCCTAAATTGTGACCGATGTTTGGTTGTTTAAATTGGCTAAGGGAAGTCAGCACAGGCCTGAATGAGCAGCTGGGAAGGCTTAATTGGAGCTAATTGCTGATTGGAGACTGGCAATTACTAACTACCCTCACCTGTATAAATTGGCCTATTAAAAAAATTAGAAAAGTTAAGTAGAAGAATCCAATGTAATAGCCTCTTACAGCGAATCTTTGAGCAGACAAAGCAAGTGATTTGAACCTAAGGGAAGAAAGAATAGAAAAGACAATAGTAAACTTGAACATCTTCACTTGATAGTATATTAGCTGAGTCTATGGTTATTGTTGCCTGTAGTGTAGGCTTTTGTTATAGCGCACGAACAAGTTCCAGTTGTGTGCTTACTAAAAAAAAAAATTCCTCTAAGAAAGAACATTTCAGAAAAGATGAAAGCTTTTAAGATGTTTTTAATAAAATAAAATTATAAAAGAAAAATTAACACAAGCCTGATCTGAGATAGACATATTTTGGTAATGTCACTTAAAACTTAGTTTTGGAGAGAAATTGATTCCTACTGTTTTTTTTTTTTTTTTTTTTTTTTTACTTTTATTTTAAGTTTGGGGTACATGTGCTTGTTTGTTATATAGGTAAATTTGTGTCATGGGAGTTTGGTGAACAGATTTTTTGTCACCCTCATATTAAGCCTATTATCCATTATTTTTTTCCTGATCCTTTCCCTCCTCCCACCCTCCACACTCTGATGGACAGCAGTGTCTATTGTTCCTCTCTATGTGGCCATGTGTTCTCACAGTTTAGCTCCTACTTTTAAAGAAGAATATGTGGTATCTTGTTTTCTGTTCCTCTGTTAGTTTGCTAAGAATGATGGCCCCCAGTTCCATCCATATTCCTGCAAAGGACATAATCTCATTCTTTTTTATGGCTGCATAGTATTCCATGATATATATGTACCACATTTTCTTTATCCAGTCTACCATTGATGGGCATTTAGGTTGATCCAATGTATTTGCTATTGTGAATAGTGCTGCAATAAACATACACAATTTTTATTTCTTTGGATATATACCCAGTAATGGTATTGCTGAGTCAAATGGTAGTTGTATTTTCAGGTTTTTGAAGAATTGCCACACTGTTTTTCAGAATAGTTGAATTAAACTCCCACCAACAGTGTATAAGTGTTCCATTTTCTTTGCAACTTTGCCAGCACCTGTTAGTTTTTGGCTTTTTAATAATAGCTATTCTGCCTGGTGTAAAGGGTATCTCACGTGGATTTGTTTTGCATTTCTCTAATGATCAATGATATTGAACTTTTTTCATACGCTTGTTGGCTGCATGTATGTCTTCTTTTTAAAAGTGTCTGTTCACGTCCTTTGCCCACTTTTTAACAGGGTTGTTTGTTTTTTCTTGTAAATGTGTTTAAGTTTCTTATAGATTCTGGATATTAGACCTTTGTCAGATGAACAGTTGCAAAAATTTCCTCCCATTCTGTGTGCTGTCAGTTTACACTATTGATAGTTTCTTCTGCTGTGCAAAAGCTCTTTAGTTTAAACAGATCCCATTTGCCAATTTTCTTTTTGTTGAACTTGCTTTTGGCATCTTCATCATGAAAGCTTTGCCTATTCATACATCCAGAATGGTATTGCTTAGGTTGTCCTCCAGGTTTTTAAGCTGTAGGTTTTACATTAAAGTCTTTAATTCATATTGAGTTGATTTTTGTATATGTTACACAGAAGTGGGACAGTTTCAGTCTTCTGCATATGCTAGCCAGTTATTCCAGCAGCATTTATTGAATAAGGAGTCTTTCCCCATTGTTTGCTTTTGTCAGCTTTGTCAAAGATCAGATGGTTATAAGTGTGCAGCCTTATTTCTAGCCATTCTATTCTGTTACATTGGTCTATGTGTTTGTTTTTGTACCAATACCATGCTGTTTTGGTTACTCTGGCCATGTAGTATAGTTTGAAGTTGGGTAGCATGATGCTTTCAGCATTTTTTTTCTTAGTATTGCTTTGATTATTCAGACTCTTTTATTTTCCATATGAGTTTTTTTTAAATTTTTTAATTTTTTATTTTTATTATACTTTAAGTTTTAGGGTACATGTGCACAACGTGCAAGGTAGTTACATATGTATAGATGTGCCATGCTGGTGCGCTGCACCCACTAACTCGTCATTTACCATTAGGTATATCTCCCAGTGCTATCCCTCCCACCCACAACAGTCCCCAGAGGGGGATGTTCCCCTTCCTGTGTCCATGTGTTCTCATTGTTCAATTCCCACCTATGAGTGAGAATATGCGGTGTTTGGTTTTTTGTTCTTGCAATAGTTTACTGAAAATGATGATTTCCAATTTCATCCATGTCCCTACAAAGGACATGAACTCATCATTTTTTATGGCTGCATAGTATGCCATGGTGTATATGTGCCACATTTTCTTAATCCAGTCTATCATTGTTGGACATTTGGGTTGGTTCCAAGTCTTTGCTATTGTGAATAATGCCGCAGTAAACATACGTGTGCATGTGTCTCTATAGCAGCATGATTTATAGTCCTTTGGGTATATACCCAGTAATGGGATGGCTGGGTCAAATGGTATTTCTAGTTCTAGATCCCTGAGGAATCGCCACACTGACTTCCACAATGGTTGAACTAGTTTACAGTCCCACCAACAGTGTAAAAGTGTTCCTATTTCTCCACATCCTCTTCAGCCCCTGTTGTTTCCTGACTTTTCATTAAAAAGTCATTAAAAAGTCATATGAGTTTTAAAATAGTTTTTCCTTTTTAGTTCTGTGAAAAATGTCCTTTGTAGTTCGATAGGAATAGAATTGAATCTATAAATTGTTTTGGTCAGTATGGCAATTTTAACAATATTGAATCTTTCTATTCACGAGCATGGAATGTCTTTCTATTCAGGAGCATGGAATGTTTTTCCATTTGTTTGTATCATCCCTGAGCGGTGTTTTGTAGTTCTCGCTTTAGAGATCTTTCACCTCCATGGTTAGCTGTATTCCTAGGTGTTTTATTCTTATTGTGGCCATTGTGAATGGGATTTTGCTCCTGATTTGGCTCTTGGCTTGACTGCTGTTGTTGTACAGGAATGTTAGTGATTTTCGTACATAAATTTTGTGTCTGGAGATTTTGCTAAAGTTGCTTATCAGTTGAAGGAGTTTTTGGGCTGAGACTATGGGGTTTTCTAGATATAGGATTATGTTGTCTGCAAACAGTGATAGTTTGGCTTTCTCTTCCTATTTGAATGCCTTTTATATCTTTCTCTTGCCTGATTGCACTGGTTAGGGCTTCCAGTACTAGGAAGTGGAGAGAGGCATCTTTGTGCCAGTTTTCAAAGGGAACACTTCCAGCTTTTTCCCATTTATTATGATGTTGGTTGTGGGTTTGTCATAGATAGCTCTTACTATTTTGAGGTATGTTCCTTCAATAACTAATTTATTGAGAGTTTCTAATATGAAGAGGTGTTGACTTTTATTGAAAGGATTTTCTGCATCTATTGAGAAGATGATGTGGTTTTTGTTTTTAGTTCTACTTATGCGTTGGATCATGTTTATTCATTTGCATATGTTGAAACAACTTGGCATCCCAGGGATAAAGCCTACTTGATTATGATGAATAGTGTGTTTGATGTGTTGTTAGATTCAGTTCACTAGTATTTTGTTGAGGATTTTTGCATCAACGTTCATCAAGGATATTAGCTTCAAGTTGTTTTTTGTTGTTGTTTTATTGTGTCTCTCTGCCAGATTTTGATTTCAGAATGATGCTGGCTCATGGAATGAGATAGAAAGGAGTTCCTCCTCTTCAATTTTCTGGAATAGTTTCAGTAGGAAAAATAATAGCTCTTTCTTGTACATGTGGTAGAATTCAGCTGTAAATTCATCTGGTTGTAAGCATTTCTGATTGGTAGGCTATTTACTACTGATTGAATTTTAGAGTTCATTATTGGTCTGTTCAGGGATTCAATTATTTTCTGGCTCAGTCTTGGGAGGACGTATTTGTCCAGGAATTTATCGATTTCTTCTAGATTTTCTAGCTTGTGTGCATAGAGGTGTTCATAATATTTTCTGATACTTATTTTTATGTTTCTGGGTTCAGTGCTAATATCTTTTTGGTTGTTTGTAATTGTGTTCATATGGATTTTCTCTATAGACCTAGAGGTCTATCTATTATATTATTTTTTTAAATAAATCAGCTCCTGTAATTGTTAATTTTTTGAATGGTTTCTTGTGTCTCTATCTCCTTCAGTTCAGCTCTTATTTGGCTATTTCTCATCATCTGCTAGCTTTGGGATTGGTTTCCTCTTGGTTCCCTAGTTCTTTTAGTTGTGATGCCTTGTTGCCAAATTGGGATCTTTCTAACTTTTTGATGTGGATATTTAGTACCATTAATTTTCCTTTTAACACTGCCTTAGCTGTGTTCCAGAGATTCTGGTATGTTGTATCTTTTTTCTCATTTGTTTCAAAGAATTTCTTGATTTCTGCCTTCATTTTATTATTTACCCAAAAGTTATTCAGGAGCTGGTTATTTACTTTCCATGTAATTATATAATTTTGAATAAACTATTTAGTTTTAATTTCTAATTTTACTGCTGTGGTTTGAGAGAGTGGTTCTTAAGATTTCAGTTCTTTTGCATTTGCTAAAGAGTGTTTTGCATCTAATTATGTGGTCAATTTTAGAATATGTGCCACGTAGTGATGAGAAGAATGTTTGTTGTTTTTGTTTAGAAAGTTCTATAGATGTCTGTTAGGTCCATTTGATCCAGTGCTGAGTAAAGGTGCTGAATATCTTTGTTATTTTTCTGCCTCAATGATCTGTCTCATATTGTCACTGGGGCGTTGAAATCTCTCACTATTATTGTGTGAGAGTGTAAGTCTCTTTAAAAGTCTCTAAGACCTTTATTAATTTGGGTGCTACTGTGTTGGGTGCATGTATATCTTGGATAATTCAGTCTTCTCAATGAATTGAACTGTTTGTCATTACGTAATGCCCTTCTTTGTCTTTTTTGATCTTTGTTGGTTTAAAGTCTATTTCATCTGAAATTTAGAATTGCAGCCCTTTTTTTTTTTCTGTTTTCCATTTGCTTAACAGATTTTTTTCCATGTCTTTATTTTGAGCCTATTGTTGTCACTGCATGTTTGATGGGTCTCTTGAAGACAGTATACCAATGGGTCTTATTTCTGTATCCATCTTGCCACTTTGTGACTTTTAGCTGGGGCATTTAGCCTATTTACATTCATGGTTAGTTTGACATGTGTAGATTTGATCCTGACATCATGATGTTAGCTGGTTATTATGCAGCCTTGTTTGTGTAGTTCCTTTATAGTGTCTGTGTATTTCAGTGTTTTTTTTAGTGGCTGGTAACAGTCTTTTCTTTTCATACTTAGAGCTTCTTTTAGAAGCTCTTGTATTCCCTTAGCATTTGCTTGTCTGAAAAGGAACGCATTCTCTTTTACTTATGAAACTTAGTTTAGCCAGAAATGAGTTCTTGGTTGGAATTGGTTTTCTTTTAGAATGTTGAATATTGACCCCAAATCTCTTCTGGCTTGTAAGGTTTCTGCTGAGAGGTCTGCTATTGGTCTAATGGGCTTCCCTGTGAAGGTGGCCTGACCCTTCTCTCTAGCTGCCTTTAACTTTTTTTTTTTTTTTGTTTCAACCTTGGAGAATCTGATGATTATGTGTCTTAGGGTGATCTGCTTGTGAATCATCTTACTGGGGTTCTCTGCATTTCCTGAATTTGAATGTTGGCCCCTGTAGCTAGGTTGGAGTTCTCATGGATAATATCCTGAAATATGTTCTCCAAGTTGCTAAAACTCTCCCAATCTCTTTCAGGGACACCAGAGGGCCATAAATTTGGTCTCTTTACATAATCACATATTTCTTGGAGGTTTTGTTTGTTCCTTTTTATTCTTTTTTCTCCATTCTCATCTGTCTTATTTGAGAAAGCCAGTCTTCAAGCTTCGAAATTCTTTCCTCTGGTTGCTCTGTTCTGCTTTTAATACTTGTGATTGTATTATGAAATTCTTGTAGTGTATTGTCATGTATTTTTCAGCTCTATCAGGTTGGCTACATGCTTTTCTATACGGTCTATTTTGTCTGTCAGCTCCTGTGTCATTTTATTTTTCAATGCACTCCTGCATCTCAATGATCTTCAGCCTGTCTATATTGTGAATTATATTTCTTTCATTTCTGCCATCTCAGCCAAGTTCAGAACCATTTCTGGAGAGGTAGCACAGGCATTTGGAGGAAAGAAGGCACACTGGCTTTTTGAATTGTCAGTTGTTGTGTGGGTTCTTTTTCATCTTGGTGAGCTGATGTTTCTTCATTATTTGAAGTTGCTAACCTTTGGATTTTTATTTTATCCTATTTCATGACCTTGACTGTTTGATTGTGGTAAAAGGTAGGTTGACCTGAAGAGCTTTGTATCTTGAAGATTTTACGGGGCCAATGCTCAGCCCCCAACTCCTGGACTCCATTCTCTAACTCTGAGAAACTTGTATCAGGCCACGACTTTTTCCTCTGACTCCTCTAAGTTAAAAATCCAAGGCACTTGGGTGCAGAGGAGTTTTGGGACCAGTAGTAACTACACTCTGAAGGTTGCTGTCAGCCCATCAGAGTAATGCATTTCATAGTGCGATGGCAGGAGGATCCACCCTCTTTTGCACATGCCTGATGCAGTGGCAGTGGCAGTGGCAACACAATAGGGTGTACATGTTGGCTGCAGCAGGGTGCTAGTAGGTGTCAGCATGCCTGCCTCTGTGCTGGTTTTCACCACAGTGGTGGAGGTAGCACAGGTTGGGGGATAAGGAGAAGAGGGCCTGCATGGTTGCACTAGTGATGGTGATATTAGGACAGAGGTGGGGTGCTGATGGGTTCAAGACTCTGTACACTCTCAGTGTGCCATAGGCAGGCTAGGTGGGTCATGATGAGGAAGGGTCCGCTGTTCTCTATGCCTAGTTTCATTCCCTGTATTTTTGGCACAAAGACTGGGTGCTGGCAGAAGTGGGGCTTGCTGGCTCTGTATCTGTCAAGACTTTGATTGCAATGGTGGTCTGGCAGCGGGAAGAGGAGCGGAGTGCATTCCCACCACAGCAGTGGCAGGGCAGGTTGCTAGCACACATGTGCACTGATGGGGCAAGAAAGGCAAAACCTGCCATACACACATGTACTGGAAAAGTGATGTTGGGGGTGGCTGTGGGACTGGAGGAAGCTGCAGTGTTATCAAGGAGCCAGTGGTCTAGTGGATGGTCGGAGCAACCCCGCTGGAGCTCTCTGCTGGTCAGGCATGGTCCTCCAGAGCAGTAGCTATGATGCAGGCCCCCAGGGTAACCAAGGCTGTCCTGCAAGTAGGTGGGGCCAGGAGACATCAGCAGCCCACGGGGTTCTCAGGTCAGACCAGCCAGTCTGATGGGCAAGACCACTTTGCAGAGTTCAGGTCCACCAGTTCCCCTAGGGCTAAAATATCCTTCAGGAGCAAATTGAGCCCAGGGGTATGAGTATCCCTGCCCATGCTCCACTATAGAAGCTCTCTCACCAAATCATGTAGGCTCATCATCAGCTAGTGTACTGCCCATACCACTTTAAGCAGCTCTCCCTGTCAACTTCAGTGTCTGTGGTGGTCAAGGGGTTTCCTCCTTCTGCGATTCTAGAAGCCCATGATGAGAGCAGGTTGCTCTTGCCAGTTCAACTCACCTATTCCCCCGTAGTCAGGAGTAAGGAATGAGTTCTGGTGCCAGGCAGCCCCATGAAGGGTTCCCAGCTTCCTCCTCCTTCAGCCCAGGTTCTATGTCTTCCCCTCAGTACCATCCTTCTGAAGTTGTGTTACGAGTGCCCTAGTCATCTCAGTCCCTTACCAGCAAGTGAGATTTGGGCACAACTGGGGCCTGGATTGCCGATTCCTACTAAAATTTTTAAGCAAATTTTCTTGTTTTCTAAGAAACCTAGTTATATGCCACCAAGCTGTCAGGAATCTTATGATCTTTAACCATATATATTTTGTCTTATAGCTAATGTAATAAAGATATTTAAATACTTTCTCTGTCCATATAATGACCTCAGAATATTGGGTTTTTTGAACTAGCTTATTCAGAAGGTTCTTCTCTTGTACTAGTGTGCAATAGGACTTTGGCTTATGTTTATCATTTAATTTTCTTAAAAAAATGTAATACTCAAGGAAACGAAAGTGTAAGGCATCTAATTCTATACAGAAGGGCACATTGGTGATTTAAAAAGTAGTGAGTAAAATAATACCCAAGAGGAAAGAAAGTGTTAAAAAATTAACTGATTATTGAAAATGTAAATACCTTCTTGAAAAGAGACACATTTCCATGCTCTAGAAATAAAGAAAAGAAAAAACTAATCAGTAGCACATTTGGGGAAACATTATAGATACCCTGAAGAAAAATAAGGGTGGTTGGACAAATTAAATTTGTTGTGGAGAACGTGATTTTGGAAAATATTACAATAACGTTTTGTCTAAGAAGAAGTCGATTTTAATTTGATTGATTGAAATGTCTCTAGTTGCAGATGTGTGTGTATCCAATAAAAAAATATTCAATTTTGTGTGGAGGGTAAGAGAGGATGATGCAATAATACTGTCAACTGCTTATTATGAAAGATAAAATTTTACAGAAAAACAAACTTATCATGATATATATTTGGCACAATACAGGAGAAAAAAATTTGAAAGAAAAAAAAGCAATTAGTATTTCCTCACCCATGCTATACTGTTAAGTCATTGGTCATAATGTCATCTTTAAAAATCAAAACAGATAGTTAAATATTTCTCCCAAATGGCTAGATTTCTAGTGAAATTACTGCTTTATGATTAAGAGAACCTTGAGTTCTATTTGAAACAGAAGAATGCTCTATGTATTCAAAGATTAACAGAATTGTGTGAGCATGTGAATGAGCATTTAGATAAGAGTAGATGTTTAAACACAAAAACTAAAATATTTGTAAGTACATATTTAAGGTCATTTGGAAAAAATGCCAGAAATGGGTACTGTATTTTTTACAACGATCTCAATTGACCACAGAAGAAAACATATGGTAATGATGGAGGTTGTTAGTTATTAATGCTAAATATAACCCATCATTTACCATGTATTTAATAGTCCCATAAAATTGGCTCAAAACTTCATCCTGAGCATGTGAGGAAATCCAGTGCCTCTCTCTTTATCATTCAATTTCTTGGCAAGTGGGAAACATTACTTGGCTATTTCTCACTTCATTTTCTTGGTTTCTCTAAATCCAATCCAGTTATACCATGATAACTGAAACTTTACTCTTAATCACAGTATTCTGATACAAATGTTCAATAGAATGTATGATCTCAATTTTTCTTAAAAAGAACTCAAAAGAGTTACAACTCAACAAAGCAGAGGAACAGAACCCCTGACCGTACCTGTAGGAGTTTTACTGATACTCATTTTTATCACTTGGCTGTGCCCTTCCAACCTTTTGCTCTTCCCTTTTCTTTAAATTGGAATTAACTTTTGATCTGTATTTTCTTAGCATTCACTGAAATTCTTTAAGATGACCATTATGGATCCTTTGTCAGTAATCTTATAGATCTCCATTTCATCTAGGTACTTTGTTGGAGCTTCATTAGTTTATTTTGTTGTTGTCATATTACCCTAATTTTGAAAAATAATCCTTGTTTATTTATGTTGAGGAGGTAGCCACTTCTTCCATTTTTTGCAAGTGTCTTTTGGAGGCGATAAACCTTTACTATTTAGTCTAGCCTGGGATCATGGATGGGCTGGCTGGTAGCAAGTCCGGACAGAAGACCCTACTACTGAGTCCTCTAGTTAGACTGGGTTGCTTGTGCGCTCTGAGGTCAAATGGTGCTATTGACTGTGCTTCACACTCTAGTGAGACCAGTAGCTGGACTCTGCCATCATGTGGTGCTGCTGGCTAGGCTCTGTAATTGTCTTTAATTCAGCAGAGCTGTAAGTTATTTCCTCTAGCTAGATAATATTTTTATTTAAAATCTGTATTTGAGCAGAGCTATGTGCTGGGCATCAGGGTGGGTGAAGTCTCTGGGGTTGCTTCTCAGCCACACGGGGGTGAGTAAAAATCAATGGCTATGCTCCTTGCTATGCATGGTGTTGGGCTTGCTTCCTAGCCTGAGGTAGACCTAAGCAGAGCAGCAAAGTTTGTCAGAGTCACCACTCAGCAGCTAGGGTTGGGTGGGACAAAATTCTCCCTCCACGGGTAATTGTTGACCTGCAGTTGCCAGCCAGTCTGGGGAAGATTTAAAGGGAGACTTAGTTGGTTTACTTATTTTTGTCTGGGTTTGGGCAGGGTAAATGCTCACTCTGCAGGTAATCACTGACCTGCAGTTGCTGCTCAACCTGGGGAATAGCTGGAAGATGGTTACAGATTGATGCCTGAAAAACCTGTGGACTATGCTTCCTGTAGTATGATGTTGGCTAGTTTCTCTGGTGTGGAACCTCTGGTGGTTCAAGTGCAGAGAAATTGCCATGATCTGCACACTGGTCACTGTGAACTGCACCTTCATTTTTGGTTCTAACCGATCCACAGTTAATCTAACCCTGTCAGTATCCCAATGTTTCCTGTGGGATGAGACAGGAGTGAAGTGTTCTGTGAAGGGTCCCAGAATGGTGGGGAAGCTGATGTCCATTTCCAACATACTTTTCCCACTGTACAAACCATGGATCCAGGCTAATTTTCTGTGTGTGGTTCAATGCCAATTTGTGAGAGGGGCTGTGCAATCAAAGAAATCCATTTCTCTTGCCATTGGATCTAAGAGGGAGTGAAGCCTGGGGACTCCTATCCTGCCCTCTTGCTTATGTCATGCCCCATTTCTTTTAACTTTAAATGAATGGCAAATTATTTATTTAAAAAATGTTTGACATCACTGAATTAAGATAATACAGTATGTGGAGCATTCTCTTTGTCTTTCTTTCTGAAGCCAACCCAAATAACAAGGTGATTGACAAAATATTTTATATGTAATTAAGGAACATCTATACTCTTTGAATACAACATGTAAAGCTTGGCTTATAGTTTGGGTAAAATCGGATTGGGATAAGGTATATACTTACAAGTTCATTAGGCTTTGGAAAGAGCCAAAAGCATTCAGACTTTGGAAAGAGAAAGGGCAAAAGTTATCAAAGCAGATGGTTAACTCTTAGGTGTAAAACCAATAAGCCCTTATTTTGGAAGAAGATCAATATTTGACACATTAGTGGGAGAGAGAATGTGCTTGAATCTTGATTATGTAGTGACAAAACCATCTTTGAAAATAAAAAAAAGATAAATATACAGTGCCAGGCAAAATATGTCACAAAAACTCAATAATTGTTTTCTGCCAGAAAACAGAAAAAGGAAAGACTAAATTAAGAACACAAATTTTATACGATATGGAGTTTACTGAGCCTAAAAAATACCTTGCAAGATTGCCTGTGAGTTATATCTGCAGATATGGCATTTGATGAGAAAGTATCCTATGGATTACAGCTCAACCCTAATGCATGCCCAATATAAACAGATAATGAATTCACAATATTTCACAAATAACTTGCACATAAATAACTTATAATGTGGTTAAGAATCACAACAGACACTGGGCAAATCCAAAAATGCATGAAGAATAAAAATAAAGGGAAAATAATTAGACTAAGAAAAGGCAAAAGAAGAACATAAAAATAATGAATACATCACAGTGCAATACAGCGTTTTCCATAAAATTTAAAAAATACTCAAATGAAATCTGGCTTTTCTGATATACTGCTAATGTCAAAAGATCAAAGGACTCAGAAACAAAATGCTGTCAGGAACAGATAAACAGCAAACTGGCAAGGATTGGTGGGAAAATAGAAACACAAAAAGAAAATGAGGTTTGCATCATAAGTAGTAAAAAAAAACATAGGCTGCTCAAAATGTGGCAGGGTCATTGAGGACAGTCTCATAAAAATTGATCACAGTTACATTAAAGATAAAAAATAAAGAACGATTTTACTTTTTATGAACTACTCAAAAGAGAGATCCAACCTATTTAGTGTTGCTCTTAGAAATGAAAATGGCCTCACACCTGTAATCTCAGCACTTTGAGAGGCCGAATAAACATCTAAACATGCACGTGATGAATTTACCTGAGCCTAGCAGTTCCCTAAGTTGTCCGTATAAAATGTACAGATATATAGTTATAGTAAAGGCTATATCTATTTATAGTAATTTTAAGAGGAATAATATGTATACGTTTTCTAAATTGGTTGGCATGTGTAATTTTTGAATGAGCTATTGCAGCTAGAAAGAGAAAATCTATAATGGAGTCATTTGAGTGTATGATAGCCACCTTCCTATATTAAAACTTCAAAATAATGAGTGATTTATGAAGATTCTAGAGGAACACCATCTGTAGATTTGAGATGTCACTTATGCTTTTTTGTCCATTAGATTTGTTGCCCTCTTTTGCACCTAAATACATCATTTTCCTTCTTTATCTCAACCTTCCATAAAAAATCATGATTTTTATCACCATTTGAAGCATTACACTATGGGAAATATCCTACAAAAGTTATTTTAAGAAAACTACCACATTTTCTTAATCCAGTCTATCATTGTTGGACATTTGGGTTGGTTCCAAGTCTTTGCTATTGTGAATAATGCAGCAATAAACATACGTGTGCATGTGTCTTTATAGCAGCATGATTTATAGTCCTTTGGGTATATACCCAGTAATGGGATGGCTGGGTCAAATGGTATTTCTAGTTCTAGATCCCTGAGGAATCTCCACACTGACTTCCACAAAGGTTAAGAAAATGTGGCACATTTACACCATGGAATACTATGCAGCCATAAAAAATGATGAGTTCATGTCCTTTGTAGGGACATGGATGAAATTGGAAATCATCATTCTCAGTAAACTATGGCAAGAACAAAAAACCAAACACCGCATATTCTCACTCATAGGTGGGAATTGAACAATGAGATCACATGGACACAGGAAGGGGAATATCACACTCTGGGGACTGTGGTGGGGTGGGGGGAGGGGGGAGGGATAGCATTGGGAGATATACCTAATGCTAGATGACGAGTTGGTGGGTGCAGCGCACCAGCATGGCACATGTATACATATGTAACTAACCTGCACAATGTGCACATGTACCCTAAAACTTAAAGTATAATAAATAAATAAATAAATTAATTAATTAAAAAAAAGAAAACTACCAAATTTACTTAAAATTTTTATTGGAAAAAATAATGTTGCAATAGATATAAATGAAGTTTTGCTCAGCATAGAAAGGCTTAAGTAGAAATATTGTTTGATCAATTGAAGTTCACATGTATTTACACAAATTATAGCTAGGAAATTATTTTTCTCTTTTATTACTTTAAAACTTGCTTTATCCATATGAAAGCAATTAGTTTGATCAAGATATATAAGTAAAATCTGGCTCTGTTCATATTTTGTTTTTCTAAGGTAGCATATTTTTAAAATGCAAAATGTGTTGCTCATGGGCTAGACATACATAACTTTATCCTATCACGGATATTACTGTATTTGTTATCTTTTTTTGGTTTTGGTTTTATTTAATTATCCTTAGTAAGTGAATTCTGTAATTTCTATCATTATCTTAAATTAATTTTTGAAATTGTAAATATATGTGTGTAGGGGTATAATGCATGCGTTTTTACTTTCCCAATAAAGAGAAAAATAATAACAACTGAATTTGCTTTTCATTGTAATATTAGCTTCCACCATCATTTGTAATATACCTCTGCAGGATTTGGAGAGAGCACTTTAAAATTTTATAAACTGAAGGTTTCTATTTAGTCTATTTAGTAGGTTCTCTG
The DNA here is from genome assembly GCF_000001405.40 of Homo sapiens. Lineage (NCBI taxonomy): Eukaryota > Metazoa > Chordata > Mammalia > Primates > Hominidae > Homo > Homo sapiens. The sequence continues at coordinate 190,802,986 of NC_000001.11, read as the reverse complement.
GAAGTAAAAATAAAAAAAAAATTCTTACATTTGAGCTTGTGAGATTCCCAGCAAAATTTCATTAGCTGTTTGTAATTCTGGAATAAGAGACATGTAATTATTAATAACTTTCATGCAGACTTGTAACATTTGTGAATACAGTCAGAAATGAATAAAAATTATTTAGTTAAATAACCTGAAATACTTTTTAATAAAAACAACTCTTCACAAAAATTATAACTCAAAGTCAATATGTTATCTTGTCCCTATTTTCTTAAAAAAGTTATTCTTGAAAATTCTACTATTTTATATTTTATTTATTTTTATTGATATCTAATATTTGCACATATTTATGGGATACATGTGATATTTTGTTACATGCGTAGACTGTGTAATGATCAAGTCAAGACATTTAGAGTATCCTTTCTCTAATGATTTAGACTATCTAAGAAATGATTTAGAGTATCATTTCTATACGGTGGGAACATTGCAAGTCCTCTTTTCTGGGTATTTTGAAAGATTTAGTACATTACTGTTAACTGTAGTCGTCCTACTCTGCTGGTAAGCCTTAGCACTTACTCCTTCTATTTAACTGTATGTGTTACCTATTAACCAATCTGAAAGGCATCTCCTATTATTTGGCTACTCCTATTATTTGGGGAATAGGCTTCATCCAGAGCAGATGCAGCAGAATGCCTAGGAGTAGAATACACGGTCAGTATGTGGAGAGCTGGATGCTTTCCTCCTTTTTGTGAAGAGCCACTTTGCCTTTACATCATTCATTACCAGTGGAGTTTGAATCATTTGGTTAAGTTTCCCAAAGTTAACATGTGTTTATGCTTGACTGCTTGAGATTTAGAAGTAACAACCCCTAACTGAAATTGCAAACATCTATCCTTAGCCTTGTCACTAAGGTTAATGATGACATGAGAATATGAAGTATCCAGTTTTAAGAAGATGGAAATTCAGGATATGTTTATTTTGTACTGACTTGTTCAGAAGTATATTTTACAGAAGGCTTTGTCTCACTTTTTATTGTTTTAGGGAAAAACTATATGAATTGCTTTAGTTTGAACACACAATAATGTTTATCTATTAGGGTTTATTTTGAAAAGTTGAGTCAGGTTAAATAACAGCCAATAACTTTTAGAATGAGATAATAGAGATAGTTGTTTCTGATCAGAGAAAATTTCTTCATTATTCACATTTTAAGATTCTTTATTAATAACTGTCTTTGACTTAAATTTAACTAGAAATGTGATGTAATCTGCCAAAACTATATTAGCATCAACAGCATGAATTTTCATAAGCCAAATAGGAGGCTAGGGGACAGTGAATCAAGCTTCTTATAGAAAGCAATTTTGAATCTTTAATTAATATGTATAGTAAGCAATTATACACATTATACAAACATATGTGAGAGCATCATAGTAACAGTTTTGCATGTGCAAGAATTCCAAAGGTTTTGTTTTCATATACTTTAGCCAAACAAGTTAATTGAAGGTGAATTATAACAAATAAGGAAGAAAATTGCAAACAAAAAATATAGAAGAGAAACTCTAATCCATGAGTTCAAGGAAAATAAGTAACAGGAAAAGATATGCATTGCAGCAGGCATATAGAAAACATTCATTCTGAAATGAATAAAAAGCAACAATTAGAGTGCTTTGACAAACAGGGAGGTTCTATGCACTAGATGATAAGCATATGGTAAAAGTGGATTAACCTTAGGTCGAGGAGAAAACTATTAGAACTCATGAAGGGAAAAATAATAAACTATGAAATAAAATATACCCCAAATATAAAGCAAAATATAATGTGGCATTAGATTGACCAATTTTTTTTTTGAGACAGGTTATCACTCTGTTGTTCAAGGTGAAGTACAGTAGAGCAATCATGACTCATTATAGCTTCAACTTCCTGGGCTCAGTTGATTTTTCCACCTCAATCTCCTGAGTAGCTGGAACTACAAGCATGCACCACCATGCCGAGCTAGGCTAATTTTTGTAATTTTTGTAGAAACGGGGTTTAGTCATGTTGCCCAGACTGGTCTTGAATTCCTGGGCTCAAGTAATCTACCTGCCTCAGCCTCCCAAAGTGCTGGGATTACAGGTGTGAGCCACCAGGCCCAGGTAGATTGGACAATTAATTATATACCAGTCAAGTTATTTCTGCCAGTATTGATATTAACATCACTGTCTTTTAAGATACATGGAGGTTTTACATGGTATACATAGAGAAGGAATTATAATATAAACACACAATCTGGATATTTGTGAAGTCAGAATACTGTTGTCTGTTGCTTATAATATTTTTAGTTACACTGTTGTTGGAAAATACTGATGGTTGATTTTTAATTCTACAACTGGGCTTTAGAATTTTCTTTGGTATGGCTTCCATATTTCTTGAAAATTTCACTGCCTGCCATAATTATATTAGCTCATTCTTCTAAAGAAATATTAGCTTTCTTTCTAGCCACTTTTGTTACTATCTTAGAGCTTTTGTGCCAGCTACTTGTTTAGTGTTTAATATTTTTCCTAGATTTGGCATGGCTTTCTTCTTCCTTCCAATCAAGCTTTAAGTTAAAGCATTCTTATACAGACTTTCTCTAACAACTAGATCTAAAGCAGAGATCCTTTTTTTCCATTATGGGGAGTGTAAGTTTTGTGCGGATATAAGCTTTGTATGGATATTTTTCATATCTGCTGGGTAAATATCTGGGAGTTGAATCACTGACTGTTTATAAGTGTATCTTTAACTTAATAGGAAACTGCTGAACTATTTATTTCCCAGTTGATTGTAGCATTTTATATTCCCACCAACAATGAATGAGAGGTCCAGTTGATCCACACTTTTAACAACCCTGGGTATTAGCAAACTTTGTAATTTTAGCCATCTTAACAACTATGTGATGGTGTATTCTTATGGTTTAGTTTGTATTTCTCAAATGATTAACAATGTTGGGTATATTTCCACATGCTTATGCATCACACACACATACACACACACACACACACACACACACACACCATATTTGGTGAAATGCTGCTCACATTTTTGCACATTTCTTTTTAATCAGGTTGATTATCTTACAAATGAGTTCAAAAATTAGTTATATATATAGGATACACAACCTTTTCCTGACACATGTTTTGCAAATATTTTCTTCCAGTCTGTTTCTGGTCTTTCCGTGTTTGTATAATTGACCTAAAAAAGAAATTTGTTCATTTTAGCATTTGTAGATGTCAAGTATCAATATTACTCTTTCATTGTTTCTACTTTTGTGTCGTATCTGAAGCATTTGCAAATATTTTCTCATATTTTCTTCATGAAGTTTTAGAGTTTTAGTTTTTTATTTAGATCTTTGATCCATTTTTAGTTATTTTTTGTGAATGTTAAGAGGAAAAAAATTATGGTTTACTTTTTTTCCTACTGTTTTTCTACTACCATTTATGCATATTAGGCGGTCTTTTTGCAAAAATAAAGCAACTTCCTTTTCTGTTTAAACTAGTTTGAATGGATTCTGCTGCCTTCAACTAGGAAGTCAGCCTAATAGATATGTTTTATTGTAAAGTGTAAAGAGATGAAGCAGAGGAGGAAGACAAAGCATCCAAGTCAGAAGCCTTTAATAAGATGGTTTAACTTCATCCTGAAGAAAGGGAGCCAATGAAGAATTTTAGGACAAGAAGATACATGGTTATATTTATACTTTAATATGTACTCTAACTTCAGTGAGCAGGAACAATACATATGGCTTGCCGCTATCTCATTTATAGTACTAACCATTTATTTGTCACATAAACACAACAAAGAAATACAAAAGCATTCAAAGAGCAGTTGAAGAACTGATGGTTATAAATGTATCCTCTTATTCTGAGCATTAATCATTGTCTTGTTACTATGCTAAATACTCAGTAACTTAGTTCATGTGCTCAAGTCCTATGTCTTCTAGGTGGTAGAGCTGAAGAGGATAAATGAAGATTGCTTTACTAGAGAAAGTAACAGTTAACCACTTATGTGTTCATTATTGGTAAAATTTTACTTTAATAAAGGATAAACTGCTAAATATAGGCCTTATACTATATATGCATGTGAGTAAGTAAACACTCACAGCAAACGTTTGGTATTTGTATAAGCATACTATTTGGAATCAGAGCCAGAGAGTAAACAATAATATTGTTAAATGCAGACAACATCATTCCAAATTTCCATAGTGGATAATTACAAACCTATCTCTGATGTTAGTCAATGTTTTGACAAAAATAATAAGAGTAACAGAGAGGGAAAGAAAGAGAGAAATAACGAAAGAACAAAAATAAACAGTAGGAGGATGAAGAGTTTTCCTTAACTCTAATTGGAAAACCAAGTTAAAAAAAATGTAACTTAAGACATATTCCCAATTTACTTTCTGAGAATCATTGGCATACTTGCAAAAGAGGACTAATTATTTAATTTTAGGCAGATAGATAAGTAGATGGAATATGGTACTGTTCAAATATAAAATCACTAATTGTTGTAGAACATTCTGAAGATGTTTTACACAGTATAAGTTGATTATCATGAATTAGGATGTGTGCTCATCAAGCAAGGATAAGAGCTAAAATATTATTTGATCTATCAAAAGTTTTAGGGAAAGCTTTGAAGACTTATTACATTAATTATCATTTTATCATATGCTAATCACACTAAGTTTGATTCTATATTTTCTTTTACAATGTATGTTTTTTAATTATATCAAGTGAATTCAACAGATTTAACAGAAAGGTCAACTCGGTAGATTTTGAGTTTTCAATAGCTCACTGTTATTTAAAAAAGAAAGAATATAGTTTTAAAAATTCATACTTGTAAGGGTTTGAAATGGCATATTAATTAAAGAATATATCTGAAGAGAAAATAAGTGTAAATTATACCAAATTAATTTTTTTTGTTATTTTGTTCAGAATGATATGTAACCCTAAAACATCACTTTATTACTTGATTATCTTACTTCTTGTTCATTTTCTTTTTTTTCATTACTTTTCCTCAGAATAGTTTTTATAGGGGTTTCATTTTTACTCCTTGGTTGATTTCACATATTTCTTATATATATCTTCATTCATTAATCCATCTAGTTTTTAACGGTTACTGAGTGTCACCTTGATCAGCCAACTCTATTCATAACAAGATTTGTTGACAAGTGCTGGATTTTCTGCAAGAGCTTCTTTAATTTTGGTTGCTTCTCCTGATAGAAGAGAACAAAGTTCAGTAGCAGCTTTCACCCTTTCCAATGTCCAAAATCCATTTTATTTGTTTAATTTTGTCTCAATTTCAGGCAGACTGTAATAAACATCTCCCAAATTTTCCTGTGCAAACCTTCCAACTGTTCCAATACCATTTTCAGTTGTTACCTATTCACATTGGTCTGCAAATTTATATACTGAGAGCTGAGCCAGGCCATGTACATAGTCCAGAAATCACTTACCTCAGCCTCCAGGGCCACAGTGGGCAGGACAGGGCCAAAGTGGGCAGGACAGTCCCACAGGGTTCCAGCTACTACCAGTGTCTGGTTCTCCTGGGTGCCAAGGGTAGTTGTTCAGCGCCTGGGCAGCCCCAGGTCAGGAGGGCCCCAGGCTGGAGTGAACCAGATCATGGTTCTTGTCCATTTTCTAATTAAAATATGATCTGTCAGTTTTGAGCAGGAATGGAATTTAATGGGACTTTGAGATTTAGAAAAATATTAGAAGAACTGAGAAATCAAAGTTCAGAAAGTTCACCATTACTATCTCAACCAAGAGTTTAGAAGCATGTTGTTACCAACAATGCCGTGAGAAACTGCTACATTTCTTCATTAAAAAACAAAACAAAACAAAACAAAAAAAACAACTTTTATTTTACGTTCAGGGGTAAATGTGTAGGTTTGTCATATAAATAAATTGTGTGTCACAGGGGTTTGGTGTACAGATAGTTTTGTCACCCAAGTAATAAACATAGTACTCGATAGGTAGTATTTTGATTCTCCCCCTCCTCCCAACCCCGACCTTCAAGTAGGCCTTGGTGTCTGTTTTTCCCTTCATTGTGTCCATATGCATTCAAAGTTTAGCTGCCATTTACAAATAAAAACATTTGGTATTTGATTTTCTGATCCTGTTTTAGTTTGCTTAGAATAATGGCCTCCAGCTTCATCCATGTTGCTGCAAAAGATAAGATCTCATTATTTTTTATGGCTGCATAGTCTTCTATGATATATATGTACCACATTTTCTTTATTCAGTCTATCGTTGACAGCCATTTAGGCTGTTTCCATATCTTTGCTATTGTGAACAGTGTTGCAATGAACATACATATCCATGTATCTTTATGGTATACTGATTTATATTTCTTTGGGTTTATACCCAATAATCAGATTGCTGGGTTGAGTATTTCTGCATTTGGGTTCTTTGAGAAATCACTAAACTGCTTTCCACAAAGGCTGAACTAATTTACATTTCCACCAGCTGTGTAGAAGCGGTCTCTTTTCTCCACAACCTTGCCAGCATTTATTTTTTGACCTTTTAATAATAGCCATTCTGACTGGTGTAAGATGGTATCTCATTGTGGTTTTGCTTTGCATGTCTCTAATTATCAGTGATGTTGAGCATTTTTTTTTGTTTACTTGTTAGGCGTGTCTATGTCTTCTTTTGAAAAATCTCTGTCCATGTCCTTTGCCCACTTTTTAATGGGGTTGTTTGTTTTTTGCTTGTTAAGTTCCTTATAGAGTCTAGATATTACAACTTTGTCATCTGCATAGCTTGCAAATGTTCTTTCCCATTCCGTAGGTTCTATGAAGAAGCTTTCTAAATGTTCAGGGAGAAATTAGGCAATGACAACATGGGTGTATCTCCACAGCTCGCCAGGAAGCTTGTGTCTGATCACAACTACCTCTGAAAAATAATGGCTTATCCATTTTTTTCTACCTTCCGAATCCTGCATTAGTGCCTTTCACTGGCAAACTCTGACCTGAACCATGTTGGGAAGGATATGGATATGTAGTTCATGCCCTCGTCTTGCTGATGAAGAAGAGATCTTAAAAAGGTGTGGGTAAAAGAATGTGGTATTGGTTGAAAATGGAAGATTTAAATATTAACTTTTATTTCTGCTTCTAATTAATGGATAATTGAACTAAGTTAACCTGCCTAGAAAAATAATTAAGTAATACTATAAGTAAATATTAAAAACATTATTAACAGAATATTTCAATGGTTAATAATGGTAGTAAAATAGATTATTAAACTATTTTAAACATTTTAATACACAAATGAAATTATCTTAAATTAAAATTTGTCATCTGATAATATTCAAATTATACTAAAAAGCCATTTGTCCTACTTTCTTACACTTATCTCCATTTATATCCTAAACTTAAGTGCTGCCAGTACCAGAATTGCCCTGTTCATATGTTTGCTCATGTTAGTCCTCTGTGTAGATTAGCCTTACAGCTTAATCTCCGAATTTCAAAGTTCTACATTTTATTGTTCTTGACTGCCCTGAGGATGGTGAGAATCTTGTTCACTTGCTGATTCTGTGACACTTGAGAGGCCTTCTGGGAATTTCGAAGAGCAAATTCAAATTGTAGACTTTTCAATTGAGTCTATATAAATAAGTCTTTATCCTTGGTGCACAACCCCCAGTTAGTATTTATTGAATATTTATTACATCTTAGCCATTCTTAGTTGAACTAATAATTCTTGCCACCTGAATATATCAGCTTGAAGACAACAAGTCAGGGGTTAAATCTAAAATGGTTTTGGTGCATGGCCCTAGACTAGAAGACTACATGATTGCAATAAGGAATGGAGATCTGTTCACTGTTTTATAATTTTCCATTTCATAGACTTGAAGTCCCATTTGCTCATAGGTAGATTTTATTTATTGGTTTCTTCTGAATTGGATGTGGTGGGAAATATTTTTCCCAGGGAATTTCCGCTTGGCAGTCCAAAAGATCTTAAGATCTTGAAAGGGAGTGAGGTGAGTTGGTAGAAAAATGCAGCAGGCCCATTTTTATTCCATCCTCTAATTTAGCCTTGTCAAGAAAACAAGAAAAAGAAACAACTGATATTTTATTTTCTAACTGACTCCAGCGTGAATTTCTCAGTTGGTTAAATACTTGGAGTTGAAAATAATGCTATTAATTAGCACTCACAAACCTAGCATAACATTCTGTCTTCAGTTACATTTATAATTATGGGAATTATATGTTTTTTCCTATAGTTACAATGCTTTATGCTGTCTTATTTGCATTTATCTCCAATAACAACTAACATACTGTCCTGTAATTTGTGCATGTAGTATATACAATAAAATATATAATACTATACATACACATCATATATAGTATAATAATGTGTTATATATGTTACATATATAATGCATTACTATATAGTATATGTAATATACTATATGATATGTAATAAATTATATATGTAACATATAATATTATAATACATTACATATGTAACATATATAATAATGTATTATATGTTTCATGTTAAACATAAAAAACATATTTACATATTTATATTCTATATTCTTTCAGCATATGAGAATGTCCTTAATACATTATATATATGAGTATACATATATTAGCATATATATGAGAATATTCTTTCAGCAGGTATGTATGAGAATTTTCTAACTACAGCTTACATAATTGGACAGAAAACCACATTGTGTTTTGCTTATGCAAAGACTAAAATCTTCCAAGAGACCTATGTATTTGGTTGAAAAATTTGATAACTCACTTGAGAAGCATTGTTACTTATCAGTAAGCATGGTTGCTGAGCTGCTTTTAAAGGATTTTAAGTTCAACTAACAGAATTTCAGTTTTGCTGAATAGAATATGCATGGTATATTTGCTTAGGACAATACAGAAAGGTGAAGAAATTTGTCTTAAAAGGGAAGGGGAAAAGAGAGGTGACATGACTATAAGCCAGTGATGAAATAATTTTATTTTATTTTCCTGAATGTTATAGGACATAAAGCTCCAAGATGTATAATGTAAATCTTATGAATTATTAATTAAGCTTGAAATTATTTTTTGTTTCTTTAGTGATAATTGGGGCAAGTGCTAAGGGTAGTCTCAAGGTGGCTGAACTTAGGCTGAACAGGATGCCCACTTAGATCCATTTACTCTCGGTCAAGTCTGTGTGACAGGTTTATTGAGCACTCAGAACTTGTTGGGGTGCCTATGTGAATGACATTTATTTTTCTTCAATAGCTTCCAACAAATATCTGCTTAATTTCTTTTTAAACCCATTAATACTATTTGAAGTTTATCTCATTAAAACAGACAATTTGCAATGAAAATTGACATAAGGGTCTAAAATATAGAGTATGCAATTTCTAGATCAATCATCCTAATTTAAAACCTCCATTACCTATGCAATCAAACCTTACCTCTCTCTCTGCTCCCAGTACCTGGAGGCTTAGAGGCTTCCATGCCTATTTTCACTCCTCCTCTTCCTTCACTCTTCTTCCTGTATCTACTCTAGAGTTAAGAGTGGGGAATGAAAAAATTGGAGAATGTATTAATTTCCTAAAGTTGCTTTAACAAAGCAACTTGGTTAAGCAGTGTACCACAAGCAGTGTAGCTTAAAACAACTGAAATTTGATACGGGAGCATGGCAGGGAAGTGCTGGGTAGAGAAGAGCGGGGTACCTGGCGGGAGCTCCACCCTCGGGCTTGTGCCCAAGAAACTAAGTGAGGAGAAGCACTCCTCTTTTCATGCCCAAATGTTGCACTTTCAAAGATCACTCTGGCCCACCACGCCCCCCATCCTGTGCCCATAAAAACTCTGAAACCCTAGTGGGCAGACACAAACAACTGGACGTCGAGAGGAGCAGAAGAGCAAAAGAGCTCACTGATAGACACCAGCAGACGCTGGCAGGCCATCAGATGGCGGGACGACATGGAATTCTGTTGCGGGCAGTCAGGGGAGAGCTGGCCACTGGGAGGCCCGACTCCAGGGGAAGACCATCTTTCCACTCCATTCCCATGCTGGCCTCCTCATCCGTCTCACTGAGAGCTACTTCCATCACTCAATAAAACCTTGTACCCATCCTCCAAGCTCACATATGATCTGTTTTTTTCCGGCACACTAGGGCAAGAACCCAAGATACAGAAAGGCCTTTGTCCTTGCAGTAAGGCAGAGGGTATAATTGAGCTGATTAACACAAGCTGCCTGCAGATGGCAAAACTGAGAGCGCACACTGTAACACAGGCCTACTGGGGCTTCAGGAGCTGTAAACAGTCAACCCCAAACACTACCATGGGGCCTGAGACCCAAAACACTCCCTAGAACTGCCAGTCTGCATGCTCCCCCCAGGGGTTTGAGCAGTGGGCCACCTAAGAGGGGAGCCACACCTCTGTCACATGCCCTGCAAGGGGGTGAGGGAACTCCTCCCGTCTCAAATTCACTCTTGCAAACTGTTGTGGAAGTTTGATGTCTGAGGCAAAGGTGTTGGTGGAATTGGTTCCTTCTGAGGGCTGTGAAAGAGGATCTGTTCCTTGCCTCGCTTCTAGTTTTGGGTGACAACCAGCATTCATTGTTATTTTCTTAACTTTTAGAGGCACCAATTCACTCTCTGGTTACACCATCATGTGGTATTCTCCCGGGGGTCTCAGTGTCTCCTTATAAGTACATTAGTTATGTTGGATTAAAGACTCATCCTCCTCCCGTATGGTCTCACCTTAACTAATTACACCTACAGTGACCTCATTTACAAATAAAGTCACACACATCCAGAAGTACCGGGTGTTAGAACTGCAACATATATTTTCCTGAATACACAATTTAACCCATACCAAAGAAATATACAAACAATGATTTTCTCAATTGATGATGCTTTAGTGCTCTCTTGGCTTTCTGGTAAAAAATATATATGATTCTGTGGGGCAGAATACAGTCTCCCTTCTGTGGCCTGATTCTTCGACACGAAAAATTCAGGAACTGACCAATTTCCTACTCAGCACCTGTCTCTGTGGTCTATGCAAGCCTTTTCCTGTTGGAGTTTCCCATTGAGAGACTGACCTCTCAAATTCTGGTAGGGAACCATAAAGTTAATTATATTTAGCTAATTTTCCACTTAAACTATAGGAAACACACCTATCGCCTGACCAAAGCAGGAAACTATCAGCTGATTTGTTGTTTTGTCTTCTTTCTGCCTTGTCATATTTTTTAGAATTTTTTTTCCACTTGCTCAAATTCCTAGAGAAGACTGATCAGCAAATCCATTGAATAATAATAATACATTGAAAGTGAATGGCCTGGCTTTCCATCAGTCACATTATCTTCAAAAATATTTGTTTTGGAGCCCACCTCTTTGACTGGGCAGTGAGGAATGCTTTATAATATTTTAAGAGTCTTTTGATGGCATATTACAAACATCAACACTCAATAGATGAAAGACAGGATTTTTATTGTTACTTACAGCTCTGAATGAGAGAAGGCTTCCAGGCAGGGCCACACAAGGATTGCAACCTAGGGACAGAGTAACAACAAGTTGGAGCTGTTGGGGACGCTCATGCATGGACATCACGTTAGGGTTAGCTAGGTTTTCTGGGCTCCCTATGAACTGGCTAATTTGATAATTTAATAATTTAAGTTGCCTGGAACCTGGCCTTGGAGCAAATAGGGCAAGGGCATAGTAGCCTGGAGTTGAGAGCCCAGTAAGGGGAGAGGCTGTTGTAGAATGGGAACAAACTGGCCTCAATACTGGGTCAAAACAGCACAATTAAAAAACAAAAACAAAACCTTATATTACAGGGAAAAACCCCACTGTTAACCAGTAAGGAACGATAAAGGCATAATCTCTTACTAAGGTCACTGTACCACTATTTATTCTATGTCTTCTGTAATTCCTAAGTCTTCTGCTTGTCTGGGATATTTGAGCATATCATATCCCCTCTGAGGTGTATATCTGGTGGCTCTTGGCTGTCTCCAGCAGTATTTTGGTGATACTCCACTCCCATTTTATTCAGCTTTGGTGCTTTAGGAAAGAGCTTTCCATCTTTTTGTGACAATAATTAAAATGTTCCATTTGATTTTTTTTGTAATGACATTTAGTATGCTCTATTTCTTCAGTAAAATAAAGTTATATCAATTAAACCAATATTCTCTGTCAGAACAGGAAATACATACTAATGTCCTGCACACAAAGATACATTTACTTCTCTTTAATTTATCTCCTTCAACCACAAGTATTCAAACTCTATTACTCTTCCAGTAGATTGAAAAGCATTTCTGGCACACCCATTACTAAATAAATGGTATGTTTCATTATCTTTTCATGATCACAATTTAAAGCTCCTCTCAGGAGATTTTTTAAATGATTCTATAATTAGAGGAGGGGTATCTCTAAGAATCGGTGAGCATTCTCCAGGAGAAAAAATAAAATACTTAGAAAGGGGTTCCTATTCAATCCTTTGCTCTTATTATTTACCACTACTAGTTATCTTAAGAGTTTATTTTGCTTGAGAATACACAGGAAATGAATAAACGGTAATTTTTCTTCCTTAACATTAGGACAACAGAGAATAAAAACTAGTATATTCCTTAAATACTAGTTATTTGATTACTCAAAAAATAAATAAATAAAAAGGTATAAGAGAAAGAAAACAGAAATCCCTAGACAGGCAAATTTGTGAAACTCAACAAAATTAATTCCTCTCTTGCAGCTTCGCAATGTGAATTAACGTATCAAAGGATATGAGGAATTTTGCAGCAAATTAGCTAGACAATATTGATTAATTCACATTTCATTTAAAAAAATTGATCCCGGAGGAAGTTGTTTTCAGCATATAACACTTCAGTGATCCTAGGATATAGTTTTTTAATGTTTAATATCTTTAGAATTGGGAAGCATAGAAATTTGTTAAAATCTTGTTCTCATCTTTGTTCAGGTTGCAATGCAGATATTTTCATCATTGCTTCTATATGTTTAAATTTTTTCATGGCTTTTCATGTTGCTGTCACTTCAGTTTGGTTGTGAATTATTGTCACCATATTTGTTAACTTTAATTGCCACTTAAAATGTTTCAGTTGCTTTCTAAATATCCATGGAAACCATCTAGTTAGATCAAGAGGTCCCTCGTAAGGACCTGTGGAATAACTATCATTAGCTTGAAAGAAGATTTGGAAAACAATAACACAATACTATTTTAAGAAATGTTCAATCACTGGAATTAAACCTATATAAAATTTAAGAAGTTTTAATATATGGCTACGGTTGTTATTAAAATTGAATTCTCTCTCTCTTTCCTTAAACACAGGTGGAATCAACACAGAAATGTTACAGTAAATTGATATGTGTGAAATATAAAAACTTCTTAGATTAAATATAATTAATGCAGAGGTCACTTTTATAGTCCATAAAATATCTAAGCTAGTTTTGATTAAACTCATATAGTTAAGCAAGAAAAATAGACACAACTTTATTTTCCACATTGCAAATTACATAACAAAATTTGTTACCACTTTTTCCTCCAAACAACTTTTGATCATGCCTGTCACTTATGCTCAAGGTCCAAGGCAGTGAGTTAGAATTAGAAAGATGGAAGAAGAGTGGAAATCATTCAATTGGATGGTCAGAGGGGACCATTGAAAAGTGGGAATTTGAGCAAGCTTCAAGGAAATTAAAGGAGTTAGCCACTGAAAATAGCATTGAATGCAACAGAAGAGCTAGCACAAAGTTCTTAAGGTGTAAAACTATTTGACATATTTGAGAGAATGCAAAGAGTTCATCGTTGCTGGGGTACAGCATGTGAAATAGAGATTAGTGGGAAATGATATCAGAGAGGTCATAGGAAACAGATCCTCTAGTGTGAACAACTGTGACAATTTGCCTGCTACTGCACTTGTTTAAGCAATGAAATCCCTTTCTCTCAGGAAACCCCTCAATCTCAGGAAAACTAAGATATCTGGTCACCCTGTAAGAATTTGTGTAAGCCAACTAACAATTTAATAAGAGAAGTCAATAATATCTTCTGCTTGTTTGGCCTGAGGACTTGCAAGATGGAGTTAATATTACCTAAAATGGACCATGAATGAGATGGGTTTGTAGGAAAAAAATTATATTTGGAACATGTTAAAACTGAGATATCTGTAAGCAGTTGGATATGAGTTTAAAATTCCTAGGAATAAAGTTGTCAGTCTTTAGATCAAATGATATCAAAATTATAAAATTAGATATGATAACTAGTGTAGATGTAAAAGAGGGACAAATATTGAGTCCTAGAAGACAGGCTGGAGATAATTGGTGAACTTAAAAGAGTGGTTCTAATAGAGTTGGAGATGAAGATTGATTATATTGAATTTAAGAAAGAATGGGAATGGGGAGAACAACTGGAAACAATCAAAATAAACTATTTCAAGGGTCTTTGCTACAAATGAAAGAGAGATATGGGGACATAGCATGAATAAGAAATGAAATAATATATTTTTTAAAAAAGAAGAAAGATAACAAAAAGGAAAAGAATTATTTATACACTGAGGGAGGAAAAATTAATGATGCAGATTAGAAGAAGAAGAAACTATTGTATTTGTATCCTTAATTTGGAAAGCAGGAATGTGCAGAAATACATTTTATGTAAAAGGATGTTAGTTGATCCTTTGTAAGGTGACTGGAAAAAGTAAGTAAAAAAAGATACAAGTGTAGATTTTAGAAGTTGTGGGTAAATGTGGTGATGAAAATCTATAGAAATTTTTATTATGATCACTTCAAGGCTTTTAGTAAGCAAGGTCATCATCTGAGAATAAGGTTGGGAAAGAAAGTATGGAAGGTTTAAAAGAGATAAAGAAAAAGATGAGTTGGTTTTCTAAGAGAAAGAAATATGCTTGAGAGAAACAAATTATTGCCCTTAGGCAGTGCTACAGGTCTATTGAGGTTATATTCATCATTTGAAGTGAGACGAGTCATTATGATTTGGAGTTTTTGTCCAGTTACTTTCACCTACATTAGTGCAAGAAAAGAGTAAATAAATGCTTAGTTTGGTCAGTGTTATGATTTGGGCAAGAAAGCAGAGCTACGTGAAAAAATGCAAGAATGTTTGATGGTATATGAGTGTGGTTAAAATGAATGACCGTGAAATTGAAAATGCATAAGCAAGAAAGAGAAAGCATAGAAGTTAGTGAAAACATTGATGAATACACATATTATGGGTCCTGATAGTTTTGAAGGATTCTGTAATGCCAAAAGAAGTCACCTGGAAAGAAGTTGGAAGTAATTAGAAAAATGAGTGCAAAAAATGAGGATATTATAATACACATATAGAGGGTATAACCCTGAGAATAGATGAATCGTTGAGACAGAGGAGATAACAAGATCACGGGTGGAGATAAATTCATGAAAATTAGAGTTTGTGGTGTGTGAGGATTTCTATAGTTCTATAGAAATTGTCAATAATTAAGACTAAATAAGAATAATAAGAGTAATATGAAGACAGAAGCAAAAATAAAGGCCCCTTGCTGTTAGTACATGATACAGAAACAATGAGGTGTAAAGTGTGATACAACATGATGACAGACTTCAACACGGGAAGTTTGAAAGGAAAGTAAAAAAAAATATGAAGTTGCAATGAGGTACTAAGAAGTCACCCACCCTCTTACAGCCACCCTGACCTGGAGGCTGTAGGAAAGAGAAAAATAACTCTTCTTAAGAAGGGGCAGGATTATCAGTATCCTATGACAAAAGCCAAGAGATAATGTGAAGAAGGCTTTTAGAGCCAAAGTTGAGGATACGAAGTGTTTCCATATTGGTGGAATGTTGAAGGCCTTCCAGATTCATGGAAAGGCAAGAGAAGGGATGGAAAGGAGATGAACTATATGGGGTGTAGAGGATGGAGAAGATGATGGATAACCAAGACGACTATAGCTTCTTATGACAACAATAATAAACAGAGCAAAGGGCATAATCAAATTGACTCTGGTGAACCCAAAGACATTGATTGGTATTAGCAGGCTGGGTCTATTTTCAGGGTAAGGAAATGTAGGGCAGCTTTATCTCAGAGATGTATCCACATCTTTCTTTTCTTCTGCAAATTAAAGACGTGTGCAATTGCATAATAGTTCATTATTAATTTAATAAACATGTTTTAAGGTAAACTGCTATTATCTAAGTCTGAAAATGGCTCTACAATGATCACTTAGCCTTCTTTGTTACTTTTCCTTTTCCACTGTTTTTTCTTGCTTGCTTTTTGTGTTTTTAAAAATATTTCAAATTTTACTGTAGATTTGAAGAGTACATTGCAGATTTCTAACATCGGTATTTTGCATGATGACGCAGTTTGGAGTATGCATGATCCCATCACTCAGGTAGTGAGAACAGCACCCAATAGGTAGCTTTTCAGCCCTTGCTCTCCTCCCTCTCTACCCACTCCAATAGTCCCTGGTGTCTATTGTTCCCATCTGTATGTTCATATGTAGCCAGTGTTTAGCTTCTACTTACAAGTGACAATATGCAGTATTTGGTTTTCTGACCCTGCATTAATTTGCTTAGAATAATGGCCTCCAGTTGCGTCCATGTTGCTGCAAAAACATGATTTCATTCTTTGTTGTGGCTGCATAGTATTCCATGATGTATATATACCACATTTTTTTAAATCCAATCCACCCTTGATGACACCAAAGTTCATCCTATGTCTTTGCTATTGTGAATAGTTCCGTGATGAATATATGAGCACATGTGTCTTTTTATTAGAACAATTTACTTTCTTTTGGGTTTAAACCCAGTAATAAGATCACTGGGTTTACATCCAATTGGTCAAATGGTAGCTCTGTTTTAAACTCTTGAGGAAATCCACAAACTTCTGAGAAAAGTGGCTGAACAAATTTATAATCACACCAAAAGTGTGTAAGTGTTTCCTTTTATTAGCAGCCTTATCAGCATCTGTTGTTTCTTGACTTTTTTCTAAGAACCAGTCTGACTGGTGTGAGGTGGTATCTCACTGTAGTTTTGATTTGCATTGCATTTCTCTGACAATTAGTGATGTGGAGCAATTTTTTTTCATATGTTAGTTGTTGACTTATATGTATTTTGATGAGCAGTGTCTGTTCACTTCTCATTTGTCCACTTCTTAATGGGGTTATTTGGCTTTTGTTTGTTGAATTGTTTAAGTTCCTTATAGATTCTGAATATAGACCTTTGTCAGATACATACTTTGTGGATATTTTCTCCCATTCTATAGGTTGTCTGTTTACTCTGTTGATAGTATCTTTTGCTGTGCAGAAGCTCTTTAGCTTAATTAGGTCCCATTTTTCAATGTTTGCTTTTGTTGCAATTGCTTTTGAGGACTTAGTAAAAAATTTTTTGTAAAAGCTGATGTCTAGAATGATATTTCCCAGGATTTTTTCTAGGATTATTATAGTTTAAGGTCTTACATTTAAGTCTTTAATCCATCTTGAGTTAATTTTTGTATGTGGTGAAATGTAAGAGTCCAGATTCATTCTTCTTCATATGGTTAGCCAGCTATTCCAGCAGCATTTATTAACAGGGAATTCTTTCCCCGTTGCTTATTTTTTGTTGACTTTGTCAAAGATCAGGTGGCTATAGGTATGCAACCTTATTTTGGGGTTCTCTATTCTGTTTCATTGGTCTATATGTCTATATGTGTACTAGTACCAAGCAGTTTTAATTACTGTAGCTTCATAGTATAGTTTGAAGTTGGGCCATGGGATTCCTCCAGCTTTGTTCTTTTTGCTTATGGCTGCATTGTCTACTTAGGCTAATTTTTGGTTCCATATAAATTTTATAATAGCTTTTTTTTAATTCTGTAAAAATGACATGGGTAGTTTG
This sequence comes from Homo sapiens, assembly GCF_000001405.40. Classification (NCBI taxonomy): domain Eukaryota; kingdom Metazoa; phylum Chordata; class Mammalia; order Primates; family Hominidae; genus Homo; species Homo sapiens. The sequence continues at coordinate 190,785,203 of NC_000001.11, read as the reverse complement.
ATAGAAACAGCATTGAATCTGTACATTACTTTGGGCATTATGGTCATTTTAATGATATTGATTCTTCCACTCCATGATGATGGAATATTTTTCCATTTGTCTGTGTTGTCTATGATTTCTTTCAGCAGTGTTTTGTAGTTCTCAATAAATTGTTTTTCTAAGTATTATGTTAGATCAGTATTTTGACATCCTTCTAGCATTTCAATGTAGGCATTTAGCACTATAAACATTACTGTCAGCACCACTTTCCTGGCATACAATAGATTTTGGTATGTTGTGTCTCTGTTTTCATTTATATCAAATATTTTTTTTGATTTCTGCCTTAATATCATTATGTACCTATCACTTGGCAGCAAATTGTTTTATTTCCATGTAATTGTGGACTTTTAAGAAATCTTCTTTGTTTTAATTTTTTTCCACTGTGGTCTGAAAGTATGATTGGTATTGTTTCAATTTTTTGAATTTATTGAGACCTGCTTTATGGACAAGCACGTAGTCAATCTTAGAGTATATTTTCTTTGAGATGAGAAGAGCGTATATTCTATGGTTGATGGGTAGAGCATTCTGTAGATGTCTATTAGGTTCAATTAGTCAAATGCTGAATTTAAAGTCCAGAATATCTTTGCAGTTTTCTGCCTCAATGTTTCATCTAACACTGTTAATGCAGTGTTGAGGACCCCCCTCTATTATTGTGTCACTAAGTATTTTCTTAGGTCTACAAGTACTTGTTTTATGAATCTGTGTGCTTTACTGTTGGGTAAATATATATTTCAGATAGTAAAGTCTTCTTGTTGAATTGAACCTTTTATCATTATGTAATGCTCTTTGTTGTACTTTTTTACTGTTGTTTGTTTAAAGTCTGGTTTATCTGATAAAAGAATAGCAACTCCTGCTAATTTTTGTTTTCCATTTGAATGATAGATCTTTCTCTATCTTTTACTTTTAGCCTATGAGTGTTGCGTAGCCATGAGATGTGTCTCTGGAAGAAAGCAGGTTGATGAGGTATTTTTTTAACCCCACTTGCCACTCTGTGTCTTTTAAGTGGGGGCGTTTATACTATGTACATTGAAAGTTAATATTGATATGTGAGGTTTTGATGCTATTGTGAAGTTGTTGGCTGGTTGCTTTGCAGTTTCTATTATGTGGTTGCTTTACAGGGTCTGTGGGCTATGTAATAAAGTGTGTTTTTGTGGTAGCAAGGATCATTCTTTCATTTCCATATGTAGAACTCCCTTAAAGTTTTCTTGTAAGGTTGATCTAGTGGTAAGAAATTCCCTAGCTCTTAGTTGCCTAGAAAATATTTGATTTTTCCTTCTCTTATGCAACTTAGTTTCCTGGGATAAACTTAGTTTGGTGGGACAATTGATTTTTTTTCTCTTTAAGAATGCCAAAAATAGGCCTCCAATCTCTCCTTGCTAGTAAGGTTTCTACTGAAATGTCCGCTGTTAGTATGATTGGGTTCCCTTTGTACATAATCTGCCCATTTTCTCTGAGTCTTTAAGATTTTTTTTTCTTTAGTGCTGACTTTGGAGAGTCTGGTGACTATATTCCCTGGTGAGATATGTTTTGTATAGTATCTTGCATGTGTTCTCTGAATTTTTTGTATCAATATGTCTACCTCCACCAAGATTAGAAGATTAGAAGAGTTTTCTTGAATCATTCCCTCAAATATGTTTTCCAGGTTATTTGCTTTTTCTCCTTCTCTCTCAGTAATGCCAGTAATTTGTAGATTTGGTCACTTTACATCATCTCATATTTCTCAACGACTGTTCATATTCTTAAATTCCTTTTTGCTATTTTTGTGTGAGTGGGTTAGTTTGAAAGACTGGCTTTTAAGTTGGGAAATTACTTCTTTTTCTTGGTCTGGTCTATTGATATAGATTTCAATTGTATTTTGAACTTCCTTAAGTGAGGTTTTCAATTTCAGAAGCTCTGATTAATTTATTTTTAAGATGTTTATCTCTTCCTTCATTTCCTTGGGTGATTTGGAAGTTTTCTTTGTGTGGTTTTTCAGCATTGTCATGGATCTTGTAGAGCTTCTTTGAAATCCCTGCTTTGAATTCTTTCTCTGTCACTTCTGACTTTCCAGTTTGGTAGGAACTGTTGGTGGAGAGAGTTAGTGTGATCCTTTGGTGATGTCACTACATTCATATTTTTCACAGTGCTAGAAGTCTTGCATTGGCTCCTCATCTGAAGACACTGGCACTTCCAATTTTTGCAATTATTTTCATGTGGATAGCAAATTGTGTCCTTGCCTTTTTCTCTATGATATTACTGTATTTCATTTCAGTTCCTCCCCTTCCTTCAGGGAGTGACTGTAGAGAATGCTGAGTAGGGTCTTTTGGCTTTGCTTCTATGGCCCTATGCACTTCTGTCACCAGTTTTTTACTGGGTTGCGTAGTTTGACTTACAAGCCAGTAGATTGTGCTTATAAGTAAGAGCCAACTATGGATAATGGGGCTGGGTATATACCTGATCCTTGTTTACCAGGAGAAGCTCTCTGTTGCCTCAGACAATGGGTTAAGCCATGAAGTGCAAAGTGACCTGAGCTGTGTGCTCAGACACTGAGTGGGGAGAAGATGGATGAGGAAGGACCATGCAAGCCCACCTACAGGTCCTACAATGGCAGGCACAAACACCAGTACTGAGGGAGAATCCAGCGAGTGGCCACCAAGCACCCAGAGGTGTGACTAAGTGTGGAGCTGAGAATCCTCCTCAGCCTCAAGTTCTCTGCATAGGGAGGAGGGGCAGCCTAAACTTTTATTCCAGGATAATGGGTGTTCAAGATACCTGGAGATATGGCAAGGAGTCAGGTGTTGATAGCCCTGCTGCACCACAATCTCTGCACATGAAGGGTGTGGAGGCTTAGCCTGTTGATCCAGGGGAATGGGTATTCCAACTTCCTGGGGATGTGCCTGAGTGTGGAATGGTGAGGGCCCTGCTGCATCACAGTCTTTGCACAGGAAGGGCGGAGTTGTTCAGACTGCTGATTCAGGCTAGCAGCTGCTTGGAATGCATGTAGATCTGCAGGGGCATGAAGCAGAGGGGGCCCTACTGCACCATGATCTCTGCACAGGAGAAAGCAGGTGCTCTGAATGCCTGGAGATCTGCCTGGGCATGGAGTGGGAAAGGCCCCGCTTCACCATAGTCTCTGCATGTCAATGGTGGGGTGGCTCAGGCTGCTAATCCAGGCAAGCAGACATTTTCCTACTGTTTTGAATGAAGAATCTCATTCAAATTCTTGGGCAATGGAGCACAACTCTCCCCTCCCACACACCTCTATGCATACGGCAACATATCTGGGATTGGCAGCACAAAATGAACTATCCCAGGTCACATAAGAAACCTGGATGTCATTATAGCACTTGTCGTTTTTCACTATTTGTCTAAAACGTGCTGTTATACCATTCACCTCATGTGTGAGGCTGAGGTGTCTGAGCTGTCCCTACAGCCACAGAATTATTTGTTGAGAAGCCCCAAGACACCTCCAAATCCTGAGGCTTCTTAGAAAAGAATATTTTAATCTCTTAGCACATTTTTTAACATTTCTTTGTTTAAAAAATGATATACTAAGTAATTCAACATTACAGAAGATATATATTCAGCAGAAGAACCAATCTCAAGTTTTGATGGTGTATGAGTGATAAAATATATACCAAAATAAAATTGAATTTCAAATTGTTTTTTTCATATAGTCTTTTCATCCTTGTCACATTACACAAATATCCTGATACTTGAAGTAGTTATTAAAATTTCTGGTTATCAAATACACTAAAATGTCCACTGTGTTTTTTTTATATTATATATTCTTATTAAAGGTGCCAAGCCCTCTTTACTATAAGAGTATCATAAAAATAAAATAAGATAAAAGATTTTTGAACGTTAAGCACAGTGATTTTTTCTCAATATTTTTTACTATCTGGAACATTTCTTTCATAGGAAAGAAACCCCCCCAAACAGTTCTTGCTTTGAAATGCGTGTTTAGATATTACAACTTACAGAATTAATGCAATATAATTTACTCATTCTAAAATACCTTAGTTACATACATACCTAAACTCATACAAGTTGTTTCATATACAATTCAATAAAAAGGAGCAGTTTAGGAATTTGGTCTTTGATGGACAGAATGAATAAGATAAGATTTATCTTAAATATATGAAAATAGAAAACCAGTGTTACTGATATAATAAAAGAAAAATACAGGAAAAAAATTATTAGTGAGCAAAGCAGTACTCAGGAGAAAGTGAGAAGAATTGTACCACCATAAAGCATGTTCTTTTGCTTTAGTAGGCACACTAAACATAATATATGGCAGGTCTAATTAAACACTGGAAGGCATGATTATCAATAATTAATCTACTAAAAATTAGAAATCTTTTAATTCCAAAGCAAAACCAAAATACCTACTATTATAATTTTAGATTGAGATGGAATATATTAGAAAACAATAACTGCTATGGAAATAAATTAAGCAAGGAAAGAAGATTGACAAGGGTGTTACAGAGAAGAAAAAGAAAGCCTTCACTGAGAAGGTCCTATTTGGTGAAGACTGAAATATAGTGCTTCAGATGGAGGGGAAAAAAGAACATGGGTAAAGAACTGAGGGGTATGTTAGGAAAATTGAAAAAAAGCAACAGAACCAAGAAGCTTAGAGCAGGAAAAATTAGTCAAAGATGATGCCAGAGAGGTAAAGGAAGGCCAGATAAAATAGGTTCTGTTGGAAGGGCTTTATTTGGCTGTCATTATGGGGAAACCAGTTGTCATTGGAACACTTTGAAAGGAGGAAGAACAAGATGTATCTTTCACATAAATAAGTGACAGTAACCTGTTAGAGGCATAGCACAGGTGAAAAATGGGGTAAGACTTAAGGTTTCCATCAGAGTTCCTGGCATGGGTCAGGGTTAGGAGGGGTCAGATTCAAGGAATTTTGAAGAAACAGCTAACAGAGTTTGCTGATGATTTCATGTGGGGTAAAATAATAAGAGAAGTACAAAATGTCAAAGTTTCTGGCATGAACCACTGGTAGAATACTATTTTTTATTAACTAAGAAAGAAACAATTGTAGAAGAAACAGGTTTGGTGAAGCAGGAAAAAAGTGAATCCCAGAATTGTGATTTTTTAATATATTATATTTTATGAATAATATTTAAGTGATCTTAATAATAATGAATACAATTAAGTCCCAAGTTATTTCTAAACAGCTAAATGTTTTCAGAAATTTAATTTTAGGGCTGTCTTAAATTATTTAATTTAGCTTATATCAAAGGTTATAGTTTTCTAATATATAGATTTTTTCTTTCACCTAATTATATAGATATAATTTGCTGAATATTTAGAAAGTGAAATACCCAAATTATTTTAATTTACTATTACTGCATACCAACTTACCATAATCATGGAGGCTTAAAACAATACCCATTAATAATCTAACAATTTTCATGGGTCAAGATTTTAGGTATGTGTTAACTGCTCAGCATCTCACAAGACTGTAATGAAGTCTTGACCATACTGTGGTGTTAGACATGCTGTGGTTCTAAGAGGCTCGACTTGGGAAAGATCCACTTCCAACCTCATTCAAATTATTAACAAAATTCATTTCCTTGTGATAGTATGTCTGAAATGACTGAAGTCCCTGTGTTTTGTCTAGCAGTCAGCTGGAAACCACTTTCACTTCCCAGAGGCTGCTCACATTTTCACGCCATGTCTAATCACTCCTCCCATAGGAAATTTCTAAAATCAATGTTGCTCTCTTTAGGCTACAATGCATATAACTGATGCTTCATCTTTTAAAGCTGTCTTTGATTAAGCCAGATCCAAGCCAACCTTCATTTTTCATTAACTCAAAGTCAACTAGTTAGTTACCTAATCACAAAAATAATATCTCATATATTCACAGGTTTTTTCCCCACTCCAGGGGAGGTGAGCACTCAGGACATTTACATGGGACCTGTAACCTTGGGGACCATCTAAAAGTCTTGCTTACCACATCTACCCACAAATGTATCATCTTACTCATGAGAATTTAGAATAATGCTACTTAGAACAACAATATAACACACAAGTATATAGGTCATGGTATATTTATTTATTTGATTCAATCTTTCTGTAATATTTCCAGTGGTATTAACCAATACTCCATAAATACATTTAGTTGTGAAATTGAGTAAAATAGGTACTTCTTAGAAATCAGAGAAAAAGTTGACCTTTGTATAATTTCCACTGACAAAAAAACGTAAGCAACATTTAGGATATAATGTAACATTGGTTCCTTCTTTTGTCTGAAAGAATCTAAGAAGGGGATAAAATGCCTTTATTGAAATGCAATATGAACTTATATTTTTCCTGTAACCTAAGATTAATGAGCATATGATATTTTGATAAATGTGCCATTAAAATAGAAAAGGTACACAGAAAGAGTGAAAGATAAACATTAATATGAAGGAGCAGATTTTTTTTCATATCATAATTCAGGCTTTCATCAGAGACTCCTAATTACAGTCTGTAGACTGGTATTCTTGCAGTTCAAACCATTAACCTTCATCTGAAGCACTGGTTTCTGCATAAGGTACATTGTCTTTGCAATGCTGTTTCTCTGTGAAAGTCTGTGCTTGCTTGCAGAAGGAAAAGACTACTGAATGGATTTAGGGCTTATTTTCTGTTCCAAAGCAAAAACTGAAAAGACTAAAAAAAAAAAAGAAAAACACTCCCAGAAAACCTCCATTCCCACTCCCCAACAGTTCAGAATGAGGCTAAGCTATTTAGCCATTTTCAAGGAAAAACAAAAATATCTTAATTACAGAATCAGTAATAATGTATTGCTAAAAAATAGTATGCATAAAAGTGAAGAGAAATACAAAGAGAATTAGAGGAATAGTTTAAACAGTTCCTAAAAGAATGATGTAAAATTATACAATTAAATTCAAGGCTATTTTTTCCCGAAAGAAAAGAGAAAATGGCATGCCTAAATAAGAGATGCTTTGTTTAAAATGTAGTTTTGGTTTTCTTAATTACTACTTAAGATTCGGATTTTCCTTTTAGTGTTACAAGGGCAAATAATCACTAGGTTCTCTCATTTCTATAACACAAGCTTAATGAGATGGTAGAATATTGCATGTCTTAGTTTATGTGTCCCAGACGAGTCTAAATAAAAGCGTTAACAGAAAAATTATTTTATTCATGTAGTCTCTCAATTAACCCTTTAAATACTGTAAGAGAGCTATGATAGTAATGAAACCAAAACATATTTATATTATTTTCTTGCTAATATAAAGATGTATATATCTTTTCATTAAACAAATGCATACAATAAAATAATTTTAATAATGCTAATTAAGGTCATAATTTAAATGGAAGTATGATTCTAGATGATTTCTGAGGTTTCTCCTACCTCCAAAATTCTATTTAACTATTGGTAGTTTCCAAAGTATGTATTATCTAAAGGCTTGGTAAATAATGTTTTGTATAAATATTAAAATAATTTTAGTATGTTTAAATGACAAAATATCTTCTACATAATAGTTATGATAGAATCTTTTAGTATATTTTTTCCCAAAATGAAGGAGTTTCATTTTAATTGGTTCTTTTTTATCATATTCTAAGTGAAATGCTTTCAGACACCTTTATCCCAAATATTATTTATTACATTATTAAACATTATTTAGTAAACAGTCCTCAGATAATAACAAGTCATCAGATAATAAAGTACATTTGGAAACTACAAATTAGAATTTTAAAGCTAAAAGGAACATCAGAAATCATTTGGAATCATACTTTCATTTAAATTATGAGGTGAACTTACATCTAAATCAACAAAGTGATTTGTTATAGAAATTAGCAAATCAATAAAATAATCTAATTTAAAACCCCTACTTTGCTAGGGAACAAGTAGAGACTTCGAAAAAACACAGATTCCTGGAAATGAAGTGCAACACTTTTTTATGGCAAATAGTTAAATTTCATGAAGCACTGGCTCTATGATTACTTTCCATAAAGGTTGACAAGCATTATTTTTAAAATACATTTTTAATCTAAACATGTCAGTGGTGGGTTTCTTTTTTTGGTCAAAAATTTAAACTTTGTAGGTTATTTCCTAGTGAGATTTAGAAAGGCAGGCCCTAATTTCAAAGGAGACACAACTGTTATCTCACATTGAAATAAATAATCATAACACCTTTGCTATAAAATTGTTTATATGTTACCTATAATTCTCCCCTCCCTATCCCAAACCCTGAGGTCAAATTTTATGAGATTACATTAAAAACAGATTTTAATATCTGCCATTTACTTAGAGTAATGCATACTTTCAAATAAACTTGGAGAATTAGCAATATTTGGTTTCAACTTTTAGCAGAGCAAATCATCATTATTATTTTTGACACTATATCATTTAATATTTTGCCCTAAACTTCAAGTTGTAAACTATTTCTTTAAATATTTGACAAGTTTATTTAAATCTCATTTCTAAGCTTAAAATTTGTACCTGGTATCTAATAATTGGTGACCATTTGCTGGTTTTTAGCACAACATGAGGCAAAGGTAGATTACAGAACAGGATCTCAATTTTAAACTGCTTTACATTGTGGCCAGGATATATGCAGAAAAAATAATTATATACAATAAAGAAATGGAATTTTATATTTTTAAATTTAGTCAACAGTAGAGTCTACCTCAAAGTTTGCTGTGAGTACTTAGATAACTAATACACAAAAGCAATTTAGCTCAATGCCATGCATATAGCAAACAATTATGTAATCTAGTATAATTATTAAGTCTGATAATGTGGAATGTGATAATGAATAGAATGTTTAGTTTTCCAAGTCCTTTACTATGTGAATGCATTTATTAGTCCTCCAGACTTGAAAAATAACAGATTATATGTTAAAAGCCAAATGTATTTATCAACCTGTTTAACTAAATTTAGTTTAGCTTTTTTAAAGTAAACAACTAAAAGTGTCAATAAATTCTGTCACCTTTAAAACAATATGTCAATAAAAACAGAATGGCATTGCTTTAAGATAATTGCAGCAGACATTTAATTTCTTCAAAGTGCTGAAATTTTCTCACTTTAATGAATCGTGGACATTTCACAGACATCATATTTACTATATTAGGCGACCTTTGCATCAACAAGCAAGAGAAGATTCCTCTAACACAATTCACTTCAGCGTATGTAGTAGCAAAGCTATTAACACTAGTGCCTATATTTAATTATCCAATAAATGTGTGGAAATAAGTGAGGATTGAGTGTAAATGTGAAAATAAAAATAAAGCAATGCTTATTGCAACACAATGAAAAATGATGGAATGAATGAAAATAATAAAGTGTTTTAAGATAATACAACAAAATGGTAATTTTCATAAGCTGGGGAAAAAATAAGTTTTTAAGACACAGTGAACGAACTTTCTAGAACATGGTAGTACTGTGCCATAACATAATTCTATATCATCCTTCCCTGAAACCTAGAACAAGTGTAAACACTTAGATAGGTGTTGTTCTAAGTGCTTTTCATGTATCTACTTGGTTCATGCTATAACCACCTATGAGGTAGGCACAGTTAATAGAGCCCATATTTTAAACATGAGGAGTTAAATAACTTACTTAAGGCCACAGAACTTAGAGTTACCAAAATCTATATTAAAACTTGAGCAGTCTGCCCCAAAATTTGAGCTCATAATCACTGTACTCTAATTCCTCTCTAGTATCTTTGTTTTCTATCTGAATCCTAATATTTTTGCAAGACCTAACACATTAAGTCTTCTCAACTACAGCCTGTGAATGCAAGACTCAAATCAATACTAAGATACATGATTTTGTCTTTTTGGTTATATTCATTCTTTAATGTTCCCGCACACACTCATCTATCATTGTCTATTTTCCTCCTCTTCCTCTACCTCTTCCTCTTCATCATCACCATTGTCATATATCTATAGTTATTTCTTCAAGTGGTCTGGGAGACAAGTGAGGGCAAATAGACTGTCTAAAACTTTATGCTGTATCTTTGTTACCTAATATTTATTTTTGTCATATAATATGCTATATATTTTAGATGAATTATTTATTAGCAGCCATTTTAAATAGACTACTATTCAGTCAAGTTGACACCTAAAATTAAGTTTACAATTTCACCCCTTGTCAAATTTGCAACCATACACATTTCCTTAAATCATACTTAATTGCAAAATGAAGAAAAAAACAAGGTAATAGTTCTGCCTGACATGATGCAACTATCCTGCATACACCTGAAAATGCACTAATCTCTGCCAGAATTCAACTATTAAGATTCCAACTCTCAGGATTCTATCTTTCAGAATTGGGATTTTCAAGATTTTAGGCATTAGTGATGTGGAATTTAGACTGTAGGATTTAGACTGAAGAGATTTTGGTATTTTATGATTTTGATATTTGGGATTATGGCATTCAGAATTGTATTTTCAGAATTATGATTGGCACTGGAATATAGCATGCAATTGAGCTATCTCTGAAAACTCGATATAAACATTTCCATGGTGTGATTTCTGTTGGTCTATGCAAAATTTTTAAGTAAGATAATTGGAATTATTATGTTCCACTAAAATGGTGACTGAATTAATACCTAGAAACCTGGTAAAGCATTATTTTGCTTGTGTCTGTGAGGGTGCTGATTGCAGCATGGACCCAGAGAGAACAAATACACAAGGCAAATTGGTCTTTCTGAGAGCTGGGGCAGATTTTTCTTCTGCTGCCTTGGACATCTTAAATTTGAGTTCACCAAGTGCATTATCACAATGTTGACCCTGAATGTAAGCATTGTGAGTATAACTAAAAATTTTGAAATCTCCTCAGTAAATGAAAAGATATCATTTTTTGGACAACTGCATATACGATGGTGACCTATCGCAGTTTTTCATTGATTTTGTCAAATACTTATGTTGTCCATAGCAGTATTTCAGGTGACCACAGTTATAAAGCTGAGTGCACTCAAATACCAACCATTGTGATATGTGTTTATACATTTAAATTTTTGACTTGTGTTTTTATAAATACAGTTCATCTGCTTATAACTGATATAGCAGTATTATTGTAATTAATAAGCCCAATTATTCTTGTAAAATATGGATGCTATTATTGCCTATTTTATTGTGTAAATTGGACTATAATGTGTTCTGACATGTTTTTCATTTCTGAAATTAATCCTTTTTAAATAAATGGATAAGTATCCTTAATTTTCTTTTATTTTTTTCCAGAATTATACTTTTGAGATTTTGATATTTTGCGATTGTGATTTTTGAGGATTTTAGACAACAAATTTTGATCTTTCAGGATTTCAACTTTAGGGATTATAACATTTGGAATTGTGTCTTTTCAGATTATGGCCCAAACCCACTGTACTCATTCAGTAAGTGATATTATGTAAGTCAAAATAAATTTGATTTTGCTCCATGTAGCTGTCAGCTTTCAATTAGGAATAATTCGACAGAAACATTAATTATAAAATTTAGGTATAAAATGCTGCAAATAAGTTTATCTAATATCAGAGTCAGGTTAATATTCACCAATGACCTTTTGTGGAAGCTTCTTATACCGCAATAATGAAGAATTAGTAATGAATAGAAAGTGATGCAACTGAATCTACTGTGAAAGTTTATTTTCAATATGTATCAAGAGTACTTTTACAAAAGTGAATAACTATTATTATATTTTGTTTAATCCATTCATTGTACTTTTTAATGTTATTTCGCTCTTAAGTACAATCTTTTAAATTTCTTTTTGTGTATATTCTACATGATTAACAACCATAAAATGTGATAGTAAAATTTATCTCTATTTAATTTCTAAGAAAATAAGTGTTAAATTAAATTGTTGTTGGAATGTTTATTTTATTCCTGAATTATAAAAAATACATTTAAAAATGTTTTTATCTCTTACCACTTGCATATTCAAAAAACAAAATAATATATGTAAAGAAATTACACATACCTCAAGAGAATACAGTTATTCCTATTTCTATCTATTTTATAAATTTACCATTAGGGTGGATGCTGACCAAATGGTGGACTCTTTCCAGTTACATGTATGTCCTCCACATTTTACAAAATTTCTTGTTAGTGCTCCATTCTGCCATTCCAGAAGCAAGAGCTGACTTCCCTTTTGGTTAGAAATTTAGCTCATCATTTGCATTTAATCGTCTATTAATTCCCTTAAAATGCTAGATGAAATTTACTTTGAGTTTATTGCCTTCTATTAATATTTTCAATTTAATAGTTTTCCAGAAGCCTAAGTGAAATAGACGCATAAGAAGGAAATTTTACTCTCAAGTCTTTAAAACTTCCACTATGCAGATGCGAAAGACAGATTCCTGCTGCCTCAGAGTCATAAGTGATGATCAGCCCTGTCTATGAATAATATTGAAATTGTAAACAAAATTAAAACACCACTAACAACAAGACTCACTTAAAATAACCAGGTTTAAAATAATCAACTTGAATTGACAGGAATCTGTAACAAAGCTTACAGTTCACTGGATTAATGGGAATCCAAGTGATTGATAAGAAAAATACTATGACTAAGAGGAGTTTATTCTGATGGTTTTACTTTCTGTTGTGATTTGAATAACGTTTTATTTTTCAAATTGTAGTTTTCTCTTTCTTCCATGTGTCTTTGTTTCAAAAAGGCATAGAAAAAAATAAAAACAAAACAATATAGAAATACTCCTGGAACAATATATTTTAAGTGTTCGATATGCCTTCATAAAGGAATAATAAAGAATAAATTCTTTTTCCCAGGTGAAGCTTTTGCCTGGGGTTTCTTCTCCAAGAGCCAAACGTTATTTTTAAAATTTCAACTGCTTTAGGTAGGGAAGTGAATCACTACAGGAGTGCTTGGGTTAGAGCTGATAAGCAGAATGTTACCAGTTATATGCTTGACTTTAAGTCTTAGCCTCCATAAGCATTAGAAGAGAGAATATAGAGACAGAGGTCATTTGAGAACTCAAGTTTCAAAAGAACAAAAGATACAGCTATTCTCAACAACAAATGGTTCCCTTTCTTAATCCACACTTGGAAATGCAATTATTATTATTATTTTTTTTTGAGACGGAGTCTCACTCTGTTGCCCAGGCTAGAGTGCAGTGGCACTATCTCAGCTCACTGCAAACTCCGCCTCCTGGGTTCACACCATTCTCCTGCCTCAGCCTCCCGAGTAGCTGGGACTACAGGCGCCTGCCACCACACCTGGCTAATTTTTTTTTTGTATTTTTGGTAGAGACGAGGTCTCACAGTGTTAGCCAGGATGGTCTTGATCTCCTGGCCTCGTGATCCGCCGGCTTCGGCCTCCCAAAGTGCTGGGATTACAGGTGTGAGGCACCGCGCCCGGCTTCGGAAATGCAATTTTTAGGATTCTATATTATGAACAATATAAACAAAACTTAGGAAAGACAAAAGAGTTATTGCAGTTAATTCCTAAAATCTTCAATCCACTTTTTAAAAGCAAAAGATTAAAGTAATTTTTGCAGGGGATAAATGGTGAAAATATGCAAACTACCAGGCATGGATACTTAACTCTTTAAGGAGGTTTACATAAAAAACCTTCATATTTTAATATGCTGTTTATAAACATTGAACCCTTGCCTTTGTGTATGTGTCTTACAACACACAGATCATGAAAAAAATGTTGTTTTGGTTTACTTCTGAGAAAAAGAAAGGCTTAACTGGAAAAAAAAATAATGAGTACAATTTACAAACAAGAAATTTAATGTCTTAGATATTTTTAAAATTCTGATGTCACTTAGCACAATTTCTGTTTATATAACACAATTTACAAGGATAGACATTATATTTTAATTGGTAGCATTTTTGTGTGTAGTATAGAGTTGCATCCAAAAGATTTTTTTCTCAAATTAAATTTAATTTACAAAATAAATCAAAATATGTCACATTTCTCTTCAAATTCTGCAAGAAACTTACCTTATAGTAATATTAGGTATATCTGTGAATGTTATCTAATTTTGTTTAAATAAGTATATTAAAAAATTAGACAACACTGTTTTTAAAACAAATTTATGTTCCACCAATAAATATTTAAATGTGTCTTTTACTACCAATAGGCAAGAAATGCAAATTTTCATCCTAAAAAATTATGAAAACTTAGAAACCAAATACAACACTGCATACACTTGAGAAATTAAAAACAAAACAAAGAAAACCTGTGTTTATGTTTGTGACAGAAATTATACTTCCAAAAAAAAAAAAAACTAACAAAAAATTGTTAACAAACCACCACAACATAACAAACCACCATATTGATCTTTTTTTTTTTTTTTTTTTTTTTTTTTTTTGAGACGGAGTCTCCCTGTGTCACCCAGGCTGGAGTGCAGTGGTGCGATCTCTGCTCACTGCAAGCTCTGCCTCCCGGGTTCACGCCATTCTCCTGCCTCAGCCTCCGTAGTAGCTAGGACGACAGGCACCCGCCAGCACGCCCGGCTAATTTTATATATATATATATATATATATATATATATATATATATATATATATTTTTTTTTTTTTTTTTAGTAGAGACGGGGTTTCACCGTGTTAGCCAGGATGGTCTCGATTTCCTGACCTCATGATCCTCCTGCCTTGGCCTCCCAAAGTGCGGGGCATATTGTTCTTTTTAAGAATACCTTTCATTGAGTGTATATTCCTATCTAGCTACTGCTTTTTTACTTTACACCACTGGCAAAGCTTCTTGAAAATAATTTTACTATCTCTAAGTGCTCTCAAAATATTCTCCTTTGTTATCTTTTGAACTTATTCTCTTGATTTCCCAAACTCCAGTGAAATCAGTCTCATCAAAGTCATTAATGAAATCTATATTGCTAAATCCGACGGCCAACTCTTAGCCCTTATCTTACTAACCTCTTAGTGGCATCAAGTACAGTGTATCTTTCTGGATGTGCTCTTTATTTAGAAATGGCAGACCCTAATAGAAGCCACATTAGCTTTTCTAGACACTTGTAACATTCTGACTACAGCTTTCTTTCCATATTGAAGAAGTGTTATTAAATTTTTTTTTGGTAGTTTCTTCTATTATTCCTTATCAGTGGCCGCTGACAGTTTAATATTCCTTTCCCTTCTCTTTATATTCTCATTCTCTGGATAATCTCATAGAGACCAATGGCTTACAGTGTGTTCTATATGTTGTATTTTCCATATATATGTCATATGCCCTGATATTTTCTCTGAAATCAAAACCAATTTATCTGTCTTCCTACTCTACCTCTCCAATTAAATGTATTTATAATATATGTATACATTATACATATATATCATATATAAATCTAGTTCTAAAGATCCATCCGAAAGAAAAAAAGGAATATAAAACAGTTGGTTTTCTTTCATTAGAAGACAAAAGTGCCCACAAATTCTAAGACAGCTAGTGAAATTCCATTAGTTCTCAATGGAGAAAAACAACTAGAACTGAAGAGAAGAAAAAAGAACAGATTAGGACAATTAAAAAATGAATACAGGTCAACTTTTAGAATACATGGTAAATGACTTAATATCCTATTAATTTTTATAATTATTTATCTTTTTCTTAAAGTTGATTAACAAAACACAATTTCAAGCAGGTAATTTTTAGTGCCTTGACATTAAAAATATTTTTCCAAATTATTCAAATTAATATCTATTGATATTACTCTTCACATTTACATTTCATTCATGTACTTATCATGGAATTGTGTTAAAATAAAACTGGCATAGAGATACAGGGAATTAATTATGTCTCAAACTTATAAATGTACATCTCAAATTGTAAAAATAGGACTATACAGGATTTCTAAAATGAAGACTACTAGACACAGGCATTTATTTTGCTGTAGTTGTTCATCAGTATACTTTACATAGGGACTAAATTCTTGCCTAACAAGACATTGAAGTAAGGAATGGCTAAGTATCTTCTGCAATACTGCAGTTCCCCATATTGGGACAGTTGTCAAATTCTACATATGTGTTATTTCTTATCTTTAAGTTATTGTAGAAAACAACACGCAAAAAAAAAGAAAGAGAAAAGATGGCAAAACACAAATATGTAACCTGTCCTTTTTAGCATCATGCAAATGAAAATGATCATATATATGATAGCTTAAATATCCAATTATAATATTGCTTCATTCTTCTGAAATAAAAGCTAGGACATAAAAGTTGTTCCTAAAATAATTAAAATATGTATCTCATATCTTATTAGAAAATCTAATTAAGGTTAATCAAATATACTTGTAAGGGACTTAAATAGTTTGTGTATAACTCATGTCTTTTGCAGACTTTTTGTTTATTCGAACAGAAGAAAAGTGATTGTGTAGAATCTTTCCTAATTTAAGCCATAAAAATCTCTCCCAGATCAAGATTAAATTGTTCAAGTACAGTGAGATTCATCTATAGGCAATGCCAATAGTGTAATGTCACAAAAGTCCCAATTCTTCTACCTGTATAGTGCACTTGGGAATCCTGTGAATATTAGAACATCTTGATTTCTTCCATCAAAATTTTTCATTCTTACCCTTCTTGAATTTCAACCCCACTAAAATCAGTCTTGCTATGTCTTTCTTCCAAATATTAGTAGACAAATTTTGAAAACACTATCTTTGTTTTTCTTTGAAATCAAATAGATCCCATGCTTTTTCTTAATATTTCTGATATATAGTGTGTGTGCATTAGTACTGGCAGAAATCAGTGCACAGTGTTTCACATTTTATATAAACATGAGTCAGAGTTGCTAAGACTAAATCTAATTCTCTGCACATACTTTCAAAATAAAAATATATGCCTCACAACATTGGTGGAATTTGTTGAGGTTAATAAATAAGAATACATTATAAGTTATTCTAATCTACCTTGTCATTCTTAGCTTTTTCTAAAACTCCAAAACAACAAAATCAAAAATGATAAACACTTAGCCGGGCGCAGTGGCTCAAGCACTTTGGGAGGCTGAGGCAGGTGGCTCACTTGAGACCGGGAGTTCAGGATCAGCCTGGCCAACATAGCAAAACCCTCTCTCTACTAAACCACAAAAATTAGCCAAGTGGGTGGTGCATGCCTGTAATCCCAGCTACTGGATTGCTGAGGCATGAGAATGGCTCAAACCTGAGAGGTGGAGGTTGCATTAAGCCGGGACCGCACAGCTGCACTCTAGCCTGGGTGACAAAGTGTGACTGTTAAAAAATAAAAATAAAAAATAAAAAATAAAGATTAAAACACAACGGAGTCTCTTTGTAGAAAACAGTTGGTGGGAAGTTTTTAAGTTAACTTGTAATCATTTTGTTTTCTGAACTTCACTGTGTAATCTAACAAGAGCTTTCTTATACTAGTCTGGTTTATCTTGCAAAAACAGCATGTTGTTCTCTTAAGGCACTAAAATGTGGTATATAATGATGTATTAGTCAGTAACCCCAGAAGCGTAAACTGAGCTGAAGTGCATTTTAGAGCCTCAGAACTTCCTCCAGGCAGAGTAAGGTGAACTTCTTTGTGTGAGTTCAATTTATTCTGCACTACGAAGTTGGGCTTCATTTTAGAGTATAAATGTGAAATCATCACAAAACAACAATGGGTAAAAGGCCATTTTTCTGTACATAATTATTATAAATTAAAAATGACATAAAATATAAATAACAATGTATTTAAATGAGTAAAAATAATTCTGATTTTTTCTTAAATATACATGAAATAATGACTAAAATTTCCCACCCCAAATTAAATGAATAGGAACAAAAACTTTAGGGATTTGATGAAAAATCACTAATATTTCACCCAGAAGAGATATATAAGGGACTAATTTCTTCAGTAGCAAAGTACTTACAAATAAGAGTTTCTATAAAGCTCAAGGGTGCAATAATGCACTACAATATTAAAATTAATTATTTCATTCAAGAAATTCAAGCAAAGCTCTATTAAATTTAATTATGTAAAGTATTACTCTGTGTTGTCTCCACTTTCTCTTCCTAAATACAAATCTCTGCTTTTTTTTCCTCTACTGCACATATTCAGTTCTCTATTCATCATTCTTACTTAATGTGTTGTAAGTAAACTCATTATTGAGCCTTATGAAGCACATCTAGGCTCAATAGAAAGACATTTTAAAAACTCTGGGATCCAGGATTTGGATCTGGACTTAATAGGTGGATGAGATCTTTTGTTGCATGTTTTGGTGAAAAAGGCAAGTAAGTTTAGACATGTATATGGTACCATTGAATTATAAAAATGGACATATTTTCAACATGTTTACATAAGAAGAAAATATGTTTGAACTTGGGGATCTACTGCCACTCATCTAAAAATAGCAGTCCGGGGCAACTCACTTTCTTATTCTTATTCCAGTGGCCTGTGCAAGGAACTACTCAGTGATTCCAGGTATTAGAGGTGACAAAAACCAAAGCCAGGCAGTGCATCACATTTTCCTAAGCCAAGTGGATTTCTTTAGGGACAGACACATAGCCCAAGCAGAGGAAAATAATTCCTGGGACTTTACTTGGGAATACTACTTCAGAGAGTCATCGATCTCCCCACTGAACTTGATGCTGACCACATGAAAAATCTGGGTCTGCTACCACCCCTTTAAATACAACATGAGGCCTTAAAATTAAACAAACTTGAAGGGAGATATACTGATGAAGACAGATAAGGTGAGGGTGACATCATTTTAAACCCTGAATTAAGTGATGCTGAAGCCTGCACTATATACTCATGAACTTTGAAGTTTTATTGTCAATATCTGTTTTCCTCCCGTGTACACTTCCTGCCATCTTTTAAGCAAGTTTTTGTTGATCTTTTTGTCCTTTGGAGCTTTAAAAAGTCTTAATTGATTTAAAAAAAAAGTTAAATCACCTGTCCAGCCATTCTTTCAATCTTTAAGAGACTGCACTTCTTCTTTATATACATTGCTAGTTGAGTTAGAGATAGTGATTTTCTGATGCAATTGAGTTCAGTAACAGTCTTTCTCTAGGACCTTTTAAATTATAGCTGAGGAAGTCAAGTCTCATTGGTAAGGAGAGTCATCAATTTAAAATTATGATAGCAAGAAACAGCTGTTTCCCAATTTGCTTTAAAAGCATGTTTCCAGTAAGATTAGGATTCTTGTTTTAGAAAATGGAATCATGAATGCTAAATAGCAGGATAGTGACTGATAGGGTTTGGATATTTGTTTCCTCCAAATCTCTTGTTGAAACGTGATCTTCAGTGTTGAGATCAGGCCTACTGGGAGGTGTTTGGCTGAAGTGGGTGGATCCCTCATGAATGGCTTGATGCCTACGCCATGGGAATGAGTGAATTCTAACTTTATTAGTTTATGTGAGAGATAATAGGTTAAAAACAGCATGGCATCTCTCTTGCTCCCTCTCTCACCATGTGATGTGCCCACTCCCCCTTCACCTCTTGCCATGAAAGTGTAGATCAAGGCCCTCACTGGAAGCAACACAAGCTTCTTGTACAGCTTGCAAAACCGTAAGCCAAATAAACTGATTTATTTATAAGTTACACAGCCTCAGGTATTCCTTTATAGCCACACAAAATGTACTAAAACAGTGGCACATGGAAATAATTGTATGATATTTGAAAATGGAAAAAAATAAGATTATATTTAAGTGTTCAAAGAGCAGGTAAGTGAAAAGGGCCTCAAAACCTAGGGAGATGCCAGAAAATAAAAAGGTGAAACTCTCAAAATTAATTAGATTTTGGAATGAGTCAATTCACATCAGTACTTGAAATGCAATTTTAGATACTGGGCACTGAAGTATTTAGTGATGAGCAAAGTAAATGTGTAATTTCATATGAGATGTGGATATAATTTTGTTATGTTGAGGCATAGACACACACTTGATGATACCTTGAGATGAAAACAATGAGAGACATAACAATGACTAAAGATGTCTCATTGATTTCTCTAAGTATCTTGTTCATCCAAACACAGGCAATGAAAATAAATTGGTGATTTTAGTAAAAGAAGTTAAACTTCACTTTTCAGTTCCAGTTTGCTGTCTCTTTTCAGTAGCAAAATAGGAATAGAATTACCTGTTGACTGTCTTGTCTGAAAGAAGTTATGGCAAGATAAAAGAAGACATCACATTTGCAGGAAGAAAATGTAATGCATCTTGTATTGCATTATGATGTTTACTCAGGCATTTACCTCACATTTCAAAGCTGTAAGACATAATAGGCATTGCTGTCAGTCATTCAAAAAATTGAGAAGGTCCTTTTAGTGTAATGATTGCACAAGAAAGAGTACTCGCTAGATGTTTATGGGAAACCTATAAGGTTACCTTTGAAATATTCTGGACTCTTTACTTAGATGTTCTTCTTCATGTACCATTTTCCAAAAGGGTAAAGATGCTATTAGATGATTTTGTATTCAGAAATATGTGATTGAGGTATTTGTAATCATTAATAAAAGTTCCATGATATGTGGTTAATTCTGTAGTAATGATCTACAGGAAATAACATCAATTACCTTGCTGAACTGCCCTCATTATTACAGGATATAATGAACTGAAAAACTACATTAGTGTTGCTGTGTTTCTCTGCAATTAAAAAATTCTGCATTGAAAAATTTATTTTATAAAGGAAAAATATCCTTTTATCTCATAATGTATCTGCTAGAAGCTCAGAGCAGAATTTGGGAGGGAAACTGTTTTTGTCGCTTTTTAAGTGACTGAACTTGGGCAATTTATTTAACCTCTCTAAGCCTTATTTTCTCTATTTATAAATATTCCTAATAAAATCCATTTAATAAGCTCATTGAGAAGATTAAAGAAATGACAAAACAATGCTCTTGTTCTGATACCTAACACAGTAATTGCTCAATCTCTTGTGTACAGAATGAAAGTCAATACTTCATAGAACCTGCATGTAAAGAGATGTTTGGTTAATATTTCTAAATAGAAGCCTACATTTATTTGAAGCTATCGCTTCTCATTATCAATAGGGCGTGGCCTTATCTTGCGTTCATCTTGACTTTTAAAATTTAATTAAAATTATATATTGTTTTAATATAGTTTTAAATCATTAAAAATACAAAGTTTAAAAATTTTAAGTCATACAAAGTTTGGCCGGGCGCGGTGGCTCATGCCTGTAATCCCAGCACTATGGGAGGCTGAGACGGGCGGATCACGAGGTCAGGAGATTGAGACCATCCTGGCTAACACGGTGAAACTCTGTCTCTACTAAAAATACAAAAAAAATTAGCCGGGCGTGGTGGCGGGCGCATGTAGTCCCAGCTACTCGGGAGGCTGAGGCAGAAGAATGGCGTGAAACCGGGAGGTGGAGCTCGCAGTGAGCCGAGATCACACCACTGCACTCCAGCCTGGACGACTGAGCGAGACTCCATCTCAAAAAGTAATAATAATAATACAAAGGATTGTTTTTTTTTTTCTTTCAATGTAGTCAATATATGCATTGGTAGTTCAAGAAAATGCAGACAATAATTTCTTCAATATCAATCAAAAGTACTCTCATTAAAAAATATATTTTTGGCTGGGTGCGGTGGCTCACGCCTCTAATCCCAGAACTTTGGGAGGCCGAGGCAGGTGGATCACTTGAGGTCAGGAGTTCGAGACCAGCCTGGCACACATGGTAAAACCCCGTCTCTACTAAAAATACAAAATTAGCTGGGCATGGTGGTAATTCCAGTTACACGGGAGGCTGAGGCAGGAGAATCACTGGAACCTGGGAGGTAGAGGATGCAGTGAGCCAGGACCGTGCCATTGCACTTTAGCAACAAGAGCAAAACTCCATCTCAAGAAAAAAAAAGAAAAAAATATATATATACACACATATATATTTTAATATTACTTCAAGTTCATTCTCTTTTTTGGTATCAATAGTCTAATGTTTTTTTCTTTTGTTTCTATCCCAAGGCTGACATTGTTGAGGTAAAGGGAATGTCAGTGCATAAAACATAAATTTAATAGCAGCTTTATTCTAGAGATGCTGTTGACAGAATTTAAGAGTTACACTAGTTTAAGAGATATGCCTTCTATGAAATTGCTTTAGGTTTTAGACTGACTTCCCCTGTAATAGAGTAAAAGATTCATATCGAGTTCTTTTTGAAGATACTTTAGATTAAACATTATTTTTTCTCTCTTTTTTCTTTTTTCTTCTTCCTTTCCTCTCTTTTCATGTGTATTTTGGCATAGAATTAACATATTGTTTGTATAACCAACAAGTTTAAGTATATGCTATTTTGTTTATACATTTTAGTTATATTTCTCCTAATTTTGGATTTATTTAACAGAAGTATCTAATTGTCCCATCTTTCCTTGCTTATAATATTTTCACATTTAATATCATCTTAACTTCTCTGCCTTGGCTTTTTTTTTGCTGAAAATATGGAGAATTTTGATAATATAATTGTAATTGACCTGTGATGTGTTTACACATATAAAACAGCATTACCTGAATTATACTGTTATCATGCTTAAAAAGGTCTTTGAAAAGATTTAACTGAAATAGACTGTTAAAAAGAACTAACTCTTAATATTTGCTGGAAGAACGGTGAGACTCTGCCAAACTTCTGTGAAGTCAAATTTATCACTCACAAAAGGTAAATTTATAGCACTTAAAGTCGGTAAGGCATTTTTAAACTTAAATACATCACTATAGTACCTCGACATTGAATATCATAGTTGACTACTTAAAAATACCCTGCACAATATAAAGCAGGATGTGTCACCTCAGCACTTTGTATTGATTGAACAAAATTTCACTAACTGGAAGTTGAAACATTTCATCAGGCACATACTGTCCCTACCATGCAAGTTCAATAGACTCACCTGGTCCTATAATGATAATAGAGTGGCATTTCACCACCTCCATTGTGATGAGAATAATAAAAAGAGTGTGCTACTCAGCTTTTAAAACCTCTTTCTTAGAATCAGATGAATTTTATTAAGGAGGAAAATTGATCATGAACAAACATAACCTTTAAGGTAAATAAGAATCATAGATATAGTTGAGCAAAACATATTAAAGGTAATATTTTCAAAATGAGGAAAGAGTAATACTCCATAGTTTTAGAATTTTAAGCAAGTATCAAATGCTACAATCACATAGAATGATTTAACCCCCAGATGAGGTCATTACGTAGCTTGTAAAACAAGCTAAGCAAATTTTTTTAAAAAAACTAAAACTTTGTATTTTAAACTTTCTTTTTTTTCCTAGTGACACAGTCTCATTCTGCTGTCTAAGCTGGAGTGCAGTGATGTGATCACAGCTCACTGCAACCTCAAATTCCTGAACTGAAATGATCCTCCTGCCTCAGCCTCCTGATTAGCTGTGATTACAGGCATGCTCCACCATGCTCAGCTTAAATTGTAACTTTTAATGAGCATTAGTTTCATATTTCTAATGTGATGACTCTGTTATTATGTATAACACTGACTCATGGTAAAGACTGTGAAAATAAATAAAACATAATAAATAATATTGTTCTTCATTTAATTTCCTGTGTACTAGCATGAAAGAAGAGAAAAACTATCCCACAAATATCTATGAATTTATTTTTAAATTTGAATGACCTCAGGCCTTCTAATTGGAATAATTCTTGAGCTGCTTAGTTTATTTTATTCTGTGAATATTTGGATGACTTGATTAAATATAATACTATATTTTATTTGGACCTTATTTAGGCAATGCTTGTGCCTCCTTTTTTCTATCAGTTGCTACTGTTCTAATAAAGTCTCCATCCTCCCTCACCTTCACTACCATTATATCCTTTTAACTAAACTCCCTTTCTAATCTTTCCACCTCAGTCCACTCTCTGATGAGTAGCTTGAGTATTGTTTTAAATTATTTTATGTGAATTGGATCACTCCTTCCTTAAAACCTTTTAAAAACTTCCATTATGCTTACAAAGTTGGGGTTTCTACTTTTAACATAAATAATCCTTAACATTTCCGTAACCTCACTGAAGCTTTTCTTGCTGTGTTTTACATTTGCTGCACTTGCTCTGTTCTTTTGAGGTTCTCAAACACACCACGTTCTTGTCTGCCTCAGAAGCTTTAATACATGCACTTTCTTGAAGCCTGGTATAGGTAGCTTCTCAGCCTTCTGCTTCCAGATGTTAGATTAATCATCTACCAAGGGATGCCTTCTGAAGATGTTAAATTTAAAGTGTTTTTTTTGTACTATTCTTCATATTATTCATGATTTTTCCTTCAATTTATACAACTAGCAATTAATTTTAATTTTTAGTACATTTATAATTTTTACTTCTGTTCCCCTTCTAACCATAAACTCACTGATGACAAGAAGCATTACTATTCTACCTACCTTTTTTCCCCAATCAGCTAGCATCATGGATTATGTGTAGTAAATGCTCAACAATTACTTATTGAATCAATAAATGGTTACTAAATAAATACAATGACATAAGACTACAAGTAAGACAAAGGTAATAAATTTTCACACACAAGCACACACTCTCTAACTCTGCTGGTGTTATATAATTTTAATTGTTCCTATTCAAAGATGATACATTTTATAATCGCTGCAATTTTTATTGAAAGCCTTCTTCCTTGTTGATAGGCCTTTCCATATTATTGAAATAAGAAGTTCTTTTTAACTCTTTTTCTTTGTATATTTCTGTTATCTATCCTTTAAGTTACTAGCCGAACCCCAACTCTCACACCTCTTTCTAACTTATTTGAATTAATGTTATTTTCACATTTCCTCATGTGTAATGAAGTCCTCCTGTTAGTTTTCCTAACTTTGAATTTTATAGTTTGCCACATACAAAAATTATCATTCCTGACTTTTGATGTAACACTGTCTTAGGTCTATATTAATACCCAAGTTCAAATCCATGTCCTGCCACTTACTCACTAAAAGAACTTAGGCAAGTCTCCTGTCTTTCCAGAGTCCTCATGTAAAAGCAAGATATTCTATAGTACTGGAGTAAAGAATAAAATGAGATATCTTACTAAACTACTTTTTAAAGTGTCTGAGAAATAGCACCTTCCCAATAAGTTGATCAGCTGGGTCTTTCTCTCTCTGTCTACTCTCTGGCCTTCTCCTTCCCCATGTGGCCTGTCTAGATTGTCTTTCCACATGATCCCTCCTGAAAGATAGCTAGACCTATATGGCATCTCAGACTCACTAAAGCACAAAAGTGGAAACTGCCAGACTTATCTTAAGACTCAGGCTCAGATCTTGATCTTGTATGGTATCACTTCCACCACATTCTACTGGTTAAAGTGACTAATAGGGCAAGACCAGATTCAAAATAGGAACAGAGCCTTACAAAACATGAACTGAAAGTCATGGACCATTTTACACTAGCTATTACAAGTCATAATGTTCAACTCAAAGCATAGGCTTTGATCTTGCTAACTTTGTAGTAACCCTAGCTTTGCTGTGTGTCCTGCAGCAAGTTACTCTACCCTCTTTGCCTCTTGATTTCTTTATTTTTAAAGAGGTAATGATAACAGAATACAATTGTAAAGTTTGTTATGAGAATCACAGTTGTAAACCACTTAGGTGTTTGTCTGGCACATAATTCAATACTCAGTAAGTGTTAGTTACGCAAATTGCTGTTGTTACTTGCCAGTGAGAGGTTTATATCTGGCTAA
The DNA here is from genome assembly GCF_000001405.40 of Homo sapiens. Taxonomy (NCBI): domain Eukaryota; kingdom Metazoa; phylum Chordata; class Mammalia; order Primates; family Hominidae; genus Homo; species Homo sapiens. The sequence continues at coordinate 190,759,629 of NC_000001.11, read as the reverse complement.
GTTACTTAGCCCCTCTTAGCATCAGTTTTCTTTATATATATTTTAATGATGGTTATAATTTCCACCTAATAGTGTTGTTGTGAAACTTCAGTGAGATGTTTTCTGGTTGCCTGGCATGGAATATTTAGATAGTCAATGAATCTTATACTTCCCTCCCCAGGACTATAAGTCCTGATAAGTTTGCAAAACATAAAATAATAATAATAATAATAATAGTATTAATAATTTCAAAGTGGAACAAGCACTATATTCTCAATAAATATCACTTAACATTAACAAGTTAAAATATTTTTGAAATGAAATAAATGTTTAATTGGTATAAAAGGTAATAGAATACTTAAATTATTATTTATCAATCAATCAATTTTCCATTTTAAAAATTCAAAAATGTCTCATGAAAATTATGACTATTGGTATAAATTGCCCATAAATTATTGGGAAATTATGAATTTACACTGTTAATAATTGTGCCTTAAATACTGTCACTAAAACTATAATATAAAATATAATTTTTTTGTACTGGTCCTAAATTCATAGCTTTTACATTTGGATTAAAAACAATAAAAGTATGCATAAGCCTACACTAAGTAAATTCTTAAGTGAACACTACATAAATTCTTAATGGAACTTAAAATATTCATTCAGTATATACTAAATATTCAGTATAGAACCAAGGAAAGTAAACAAAGTTACGTTGAATACTTCTGCCTTAAAAGTTGTCATTAAAAAATGATTAGATAGATCAGTAGGGGGACTAGAGTTAACATTAATCTATTGTACATTTCAAAATAGTTAGAAGAGAATTTAAGTTTTCCTAGCTTTAAGAAAAGGTAAATATTGAAGTTGATGGATATCCCAATAACTCTGATTCCATCTTTACATATTATAAGAATGTGTCACCTAATCACATGTACCCCCAAAATATGTACATTTATTATCAATACAAACTTATAAAAATGAATAAATAAAAACAACTTTAAAATAAGCAATTGATAGACTTTTCAAAGGAATTTTTTCAAGATGAGGTATTCAATAAACATCACGTGTTCCTTAAATCTATAAGGTACAGATTGACAGAGGTTTTTGTATCTCAGAAAAAGACATACACAAATTATAGTCTGACACTACATTGAAAATAATATTGGCTGTGAAATCTGATGTATATTTGCAATGGAAATAACATTTTGATATTGGCAATGTTGTGAAACAAAAACATATCATATCTGTTCTCTAGCAAAGCCTCTCTACTCATCGAGAACAGGTATTGTATGTTCTCTCAATATTTTTGTCAATTTGTCCTAAATCCTAATCTAGATTACAGAGAGACTTTGTGGCACAGAAATTAAATCTGGCAATGTCTGAGTATAATTTTAAAAAAATCTCATACATAAATGAGGCAAAGACTTTCCTAGTGTATTTTTTTCTTTGATATTTCCCCCAGTTTGCTTAAACTGGCTCCTTATAGATATATTCCATGCAATGAGCACTTTATTTCTCTACAATGAGCATTTATCTTATGTCTTTATTCTTTCCCAGAGCTGAAATTAGTAGTGTGTACCATTCTCTAGTGTCGAAATTTCACTTCACATAAAACAGTTAAAAGTAGACATCCTAAAATGGAGAAGTAACACAGCAAAGAGTTATGAACATGGAAAAGAGTATTTCCTAATAACATTTGGTAAGTTTTTTCCCAATTGAAAACAACCAAAGCCTTTTTTTCTTCACAATTTGCTTGGAAAATATAGCTTGTTAATTAATTTGGCAATTACTTTTCAATCCTCTACTATAACACTCTAGAAGAGACACATAATATAAGCCACATATATGAATCACATATGTAATTGTATATGTTTTAGTAGCCACTTTAAAGATACATGTTTTAAAACAGGTAAAATTAATCTGAATTATATATTTTTGTTTAACATGAAATATTACCATTTTAACATGCACTCAATACAAAAATTATTACTGCGCTATTTTACTTTTTTTTGTATAAAGGCTTTGAAATTGTGCATTTACACTTCCATCTTAATCTTGATTAGGCATATTTCACTTCAAGTGGTCAATATGCTTTCTTGGACAAAAGTAGCCATGGTTGGACCAGAGTTAACAAGAAAGAAATTGGCAGAGAAAGAAATGAACATGACAGGCAGAGGCTAGATCGTGCAGAGTTCCATGGATCACATAAGGTGTTTGGATTTTATTCTGAGCATGACAAGAAAAAGTTAGCAGGTAAAGAAGAGAAGACTGATATGATGACTTGATTAGTCTGACTGCCATGTGCCTGTTTGACTGGAGTAGAAGATTGTAAATGTGATGGCAAAGAAATCAGTGAATTAATGCTATCTATAACACAAAGAGTCATCACTGTGGCTTCAAAATGATATGGCATCTCAAGAATCAAGCTACAGTTTGTAAATTAGGATTCCTAGCTTGGTTGTTCACAAATAAAAACATAGTTTCATGTATCATTACAAGTGTTACTGTATTAGTTAGGGTTCTCTAAAGGGACAGAACTAATAGGATATATGTGTAATATGAAAGAGAGTTTATTAAGGAGAATTGACTCAAACGATCACAAGGTAAAGTCCCTCCATAGGCCATCTGCAAGTTGAGGAGCAAGGAAGCCAGTGGTGATTCAAACCTCAAAAGTAGAGAAGCCTACAGTGCAGCCTTCTGTCTGTGGCCAAGGCCCAAGAGATCCTGGTAAACCACTGGCGTAAATTTCAAAAATCCAAAAACTGAAGAACTAGGAGTCTGATGTTTGAGGGCAGGAAGCATCCAGCATCGGGGAAAGATGAAGGCTGGAAGACCCAGCAAGTCTTCTCTTCCATCTTCTCCTGTCTGCTTTATTCTAGCCACCCTGGCAGCTGATTAGATGGTGCCCACCCTGACTGAGAATGGGTCTGTCTCTCCCAGTCCACTGACTCAAATGTTAATCTCCTTAACAACACCCTTACAAACATGCCCAGGAACAATACTTTCCATTCTTTGATCCAATCAAGTTGACATTCAATATTAACCATCAATATTACATATTCTTCTATTTCAAAAACTTAATAACACTTCTTATAAAAATTAAATTTTCTTTCAATCTCATTGTATAGTAGCTTTGGAAAATCCATATACAAGGCCAAATTATAACATTTTATAGACAACTTCTATGAAATATATAGATAGATGTTACTAAAATAAAATTGTAGCCATATTTATCTTATGAAAAGCACTTATTAAAATTTTTAATATTTTTCCAAACCTGTATACATGGTGTACAAGTGGTGTTAAATTATATTAATGCAATTTATAACATCAACATGTATGTTCAATTTGTTTCTGATTCTCTATTAACCCTGTAAACTGGGCAAAAATCTAAATCATTTTTCTTATTTTCCTGCACAAACATTATTCAAATGCTTGCTTCTTTCTGTAAATAATTTTAAATAAATTGGCCCACAAAACAAGAATTTGAATCCTAGTTTTAACACATAGTACTTATCCCTGTTATAATAAACATCTAACGTAATCATGGAGTATATGAGATAAAGAATTTTTTTTAGAAAAGGCTTGGAACATACTGTTTTAATGATAATTATATAACCATCAAGTTAATAATGCATAACTGACTAGCAAGTGATATGGATAATTTTAAAAAATAATATACTAGTGAATATAATGTAAAATAAAAAATGATTGTTGAGTGATATGGAGAGAAACATCTTAGAGTCAACAATTTACCTTAAAAATTCTGGTATATAAAAACTGAAAATGAACTTCTGTGATGATTAAATTTTGTGTCATCCAGATTGGTTTAAGAACAGGATGTTTACATATTTGATCAAACATGATTTCTGGGTGTGTCTGTGAGGGTGTTTCTGATAAGATTAGCATTTGAATCAGTGGACCGAGTATAGGAGTATAGTAGATTGTCGTTCTCAATGTGGGTGGAAATCATCTAATCTGAATAGATCAAAAAGGCAAAAGAGGTATAATGTGTTGTCTCTGCCTGTTTGAGCTTAGTCATTGGTCTTCTTCCACCCTTGGATTGGGACTTACACCACCATCAGCACTCATAGTAATTAGGACTTTATACTCAGACTGGAACTGCACCATCAGCTTTCCTGAGTCTTCAGCCCACAGACAACAGATTATTGTACTTCTCAGTCTCTATAAATGCATTAGCAAATTCATTATAATGAATCTTTGTAGATAAATAGACATACATACACATATGTGCTTGTGTATCTATACACATATATACACATATATGTACATAAACAAATACATACACACAGAGGGAGGGAATGAAATTTATAAGATATATAGATCCTGTTGGCTTTGTTTCTCTTGAGAACCCTAACTAGTACAGTTGTCTAAAAATTTTCTTCAGAAAAAGAATCTCTTGTAGAATAATAGGATTATAAAATTATAATCATATATGTGTCAATAATTCAAACATATGTATGTAAATAATATTTGAACATGTAGGCCTATATTTTCCCCAAATATACACATATACACAAATCTATGTTTCCACAAATTCTTCTCCAGAAGAGTTATCAAATATTCCAGTAGAAACTCTTCTTGATTCAATAAACTAACAAGCAATAGACTTTTCTGGGCATAGTTCCAAGTAAGTATGATAATGCTGATTTGAAAGATGAAGCCCTCTTGTGGAAAGACAGCTATATACTCATATATTTCCCAATGCCTCATGGAAAGGAAAAAATATCCTAAACATATCTCTTACTGTACTCATTAAATAGTGTGAAACGATTAGGGTAAATCATCATTCACACTGCACCTCACTTTGTTTGGCTTTGTTTATAGAATCTATTTAGAAGCTCTTGGAGAAAACATTTGCCAAATTTTTAATCACTTATCAAATTCCTAGCAAGTAGAGTGCTTTCAAATGCTAACAATCTATAAACATAGTTATAAAAAACAAACAAAATGATATAGAATCAAACTGACAACTGGATAAGCACTTCAGCTGCATTTGTTGGAATTATTCCCACTCTCAAATGCTTTCAACTTGAAAAAAAAAAAAAGCACTCTTCCCTTTTATTTGAGCTACTGAGCTAGAAAGGCCAGTCGTCTTAATATCTTACAATATCTTAAAGACTGAAGAATAATAACTGATAGAATTTGGCAGAAAATAATGCTTCTAATTTAACATATTTAGGAACCAATTGCCAGAGTAACAATTTAGAATGAGCATATAAAAATCGGAATTGCGACAACTGTAATTGGAAAAATTGTGTGTGCAAAAACTCACTAAAAAGTGATTACTTATATTAATCTACATTTACAGATCTATTTCTATAATTTTAATTATATGAGTATCATATAAGTGCACTGAAATAAAAACAAAACAAGCAAAGAACAATCATTTACACTTATGCATGAGCTTAAAAATAACAAGGAAATTGTGTATCATGAGATTATATATTATTTTCTATTTTGATTTTTGATAATATATTTTGATCCATTTTTGATGATTATGTGGTTATCACATGTTTTGCTCATTTCCTGATGATTATGAAGAATTTCACCCTATTGATTTTCACTATATTCTACTATATTCAGGATCATTTAATCATCATAATTTTGAATAAACATAGAAATGAAAATGTTGTCATGGTGTTTTGTAGAGAAGAAATAAACAATCATTAAAGGAGAATTTCATGGCAATTCTCTTTGGAAAATGAGAGAGTTCTAGATATGAATGATGTCCCTAAAAATGTATAGTCTCTTATGAAAATGGAAACATGTTTCAGAGAGCAATTATACCAATTTTGATCTATATTGTTTATTAATTATGTAATAAAGACTAAACATACAATCAAATACAGTAAAAGTACATATAAAAATAAACATTTAAATTATATTTCATGTAGTTTCATAAATCTCCCAGAACATAAGGAACACTGTAGATATCTTTACATACATTTAATGCAATTCCCAGAAACTATGATATATTTATATATGTGAAAGAGCAAATATGAAATGCACCATATATATTTTGATGGAACGTCAACTATGATCAACCTAGCTACAGTCTAGGGAGGCATTAGTAAATTTAGAATTCAGAACACCAAAATCGGATGGTATTTTTAACTTTGTGTTTTAACCCCTGTTCCAGTTGTGCCCTCAAACAGCTGAAAAATATTACAGGTTTAGGCTAGAATCCAAAGGAGCAAATTCTTAATCATAGATTTGGTGCTCAAAAGAAGCAGAAAAATTTTTCTTTTTCATTGAGATCACATTTAGAACAAGCCTGAGACCCCTTTGAATAAGTATCCAAACATGCCTGTCTCTTTTGTCTCTAACACCTATATTTCCCTTCTCCCTATTTTAGATTCCTGCATTCCCCCTGTTCCACACTTTTTGGTGTTTACATTGGTAGAGCTCAGTTTCAGTCCCTGAGTAAGTCTGAATAAAGTTAACAATTAAAAAAATAAATGTTTAACTACTATAACCATTATTTCTAAGATAATTACACATATTTTCTGATAAAAATCTACAATCATATGTAGCATGCCATCTAATGATGGATATTTCTAAAGATAAATGCAATAGTCATACTATCTGCAACAAATAAGAGTGGCTAAATATGTAGAGGAAGAAACTGATATATTCCTAGAGGCCTAGGAAATAGTCCTTAAAATAACTTTTCTGATGAACATTCAATCTATATATTCTGTTTGCATATATAATTACAAAATTTTCAAGATAAAGCTTTTATTTTTATATATTTTTAAACTCATCAAATATTTTATAGATAGCTATTACGATTTAGAATGAAGTGCTAGAAAAAATATTGACACAACATGGCACAGTATTTCTTGATACTGTCCAAATATAGACATACATTTCCACTGGTCTTAAATTTCCTACCAGTTGGTTCCACCTTAGGAATTTCAAACTGATTAAAGGGAGGAGCACAGTATTTCTTGAAATGTGGTGAGAATAAGAATTGGCACTGGGCAGGAGAAAAGTGTTGATATCACCATAGGAAGTATTTCACCTGCAATCACGAAATGTGAGCCTGTGGTATGTTAGGTATGGCTGAGATATTTGAGTTTTCGAGGATGAACAGATGGGAAATTTTTTTTTAAAAAATGTGGCAGAAGGGTACTGCACACATTCCTAATTTGGGGAAAATACTAAGATTATGGTTGTAAAAAGATGTATATATGTTTTTCTTTATATGAATCTATATATGAATCTCGATTCAGATTTTAAAATAAAACACTTCAATTTTTCCAAAGAATCTGCTGACTATATAAAATGTTGTCTCAGATCTAGACATTACTATTCACAGAGAATGATCCTCCTTACTAAATCCACAGATTGCTCTTCTGTCTAGTGAATATTCACCCTGCTAGCATGCAATATGAACCTTTCTAACTTTGCTTGACTATTGCTCCGCTGAACTACCAAGTCTTAGAATGTCAGTAAAGAGGAGCAATTTGTCCATATCTAGATCACTGAAGACATACTCAAAGGAAAACCAGGTATCGATATGGCAATTTTTTCTTACATTTGCTTCTAAACTCCATGACAGATAAAACTGATTTATCTGTCATGGAGTTTAGAAGCAAATGTAAGAAAAAATTGCCATATTGAAAACCTAGCCAGAATTGTTAGGTGACATTAGAAATTAGATTGAACTGCTGTAAAAACAAGGATTATTAGTCTCTATAGGCTCTGGGGATTCTCAGTGTTCTTATTTTCCAACTGGATGGCACAATTAGCTTCTGGATGAATAATACATAATTATATGTTGCAACCAACCCTGACACTTACTGTCCTATCCCTAGAATTGACACACCATTAGTAACTTTGGGAATTACTAGAAAACAACTTATCTATGGATTTATGTAAGCAGTTTGGCAGCAGCCTTGCATGACAATCCAGCGAAAATAAAATGGGTATATCAAATGTAATGCCCATGCCAAATAGAATGTCCTTTAACTAATGACATTCATAATTTTTTCCAAAGGTGAGTTAATAATTTAGAAGGGCTTAGAGAACTTCCTTTAAATTTTACTAGTGAGGGTTATGTTCAGCTAATTTTATATAAACATGAACTACTGTTTACGTTAGTGGTGGCAAAATTTACAAAGTTAACCTATATTGAATGAATATTAATGAACCCTAAATCAAGGTTTTAGAATGATAAGATCTAGAATACTAGATGGGAATTTTCTTATGAAAGAAATCACTTATTAGGAATAAGAAATGTGTACAACTGACCCGGAGCGGTGGCTCATGCCTGTAATCTCAGCACTTTGGGAGGCCAAGGTGTGCGGATCATGAGGTCAAGAGTTTGAGACCATCCTGGCCAACATGGTGAAACCCCGTCTTTACTAAAAATACAAAAATTAGCTGGGTGCGGTGGTGCGCGCCTGTAGTCCCAGCTACTCGGGAGGCTGAGGCAGGAGAATCGCTTGAACCCAGAAGGAGGAGGTTGCAGTGAGCCGAGATTTCACCACTGCGCTCCAGCCTGGAGACAGAGAGAGACTCCGTCTCAAAAAAAAAAAAAAGAAATGTGTACAACTAAGTTATATCAAATTATCCTATAAACTCATAGAATAAGGCAGTTGCATGTTATTGTTTTGTCAGTTTTTCTAAAACTAATAAAACAAATATCTCAAATTTTCTTATTAATATGAATTATGAGTTTCACTTTTGGAACTCCTTTCCTTCTCCAGTTTTTTCACTAGGCTATCCAATGCACTTGCTATTATATTTATTATATGGCTTAAATTTTTTAAAAATTTGGATATTTGTATTAATTTGTATATAACATCAGTACACTGGGCATATTTTTGGTAGAGAAATAAGTATTGTAGAATGTTACAAACTGTTTACACATTGTACAGTAAATTATTTCTTGAAAAGATCATCAAGATCTAATTTTAATAAATAAGGTGTAGACACTTAGACGATATCAGAATGATTAATGATGGAACATAATCTTTGTATTTTTACTAAAATAAAATGTTAAGCATTAATGGAAAATTTTAAAAAAGAATATAGGGTAAGCAAATGTTAACAACAAAAATTATTAAACATAATATAAATAGATATATGTTATACATGTATGCCACATAAGCTTGTATAATTCAGCTCAGGCTGCCATAGCAAAATAGCCATTGTCATGGTGGCGTAAACAACAGGAATTTATTTCTCACAATTATGATACTGGAAATTCTATACTCAAGATCAGCCAAGGGTTGTCTTCCTGGCTTACAGATGGCTGCTTTTCTGTGTGTTTGCTTCGATAGCAGAGAAAGAGAGAGAGAGAGAGAGAGAGCAACTCCCTAGCGTCTCTTCTTATAAAGGCATTAATCCCGTCATGCAGGCAGAATAACCTCATCTAAATCTAATTACCTTCCCAGGGCTAAATACCATTGTATTGGGGTTGGGACTTCAACATATGAATTTTGGGGAAACACAATTCAGTCCATAGCAATACTAAAATACATTCCAGGATGTTATTTGAAATATAGTATAAGCCTAAATTATTATAATTATTTTCTGGATGAGTTTTTTTAAAACAATTTCTAAAGTTCTCTTTTTAAATAACCTTTACTAAATTTAGAGCTGAGTTTCAGTTATTGTTAGAAAAACTTGACAGTCCTTTATAATTACATAGTTAATAGGATAATCAATGGTGTCATCTTTTATACGTATTTGCGTATTTGCCTTGTTTATAATTGAATTATAATATTACTCACATTTATTTTTTAGAAACCATAACAAAGGTTTTTAATTCTTCTCAATTTTTATTCCTTTTATCATGTATGAAAGAGGATGCAGAATTCTTAGGGCCATAAGATACATTTCTTCGGCTGATGTGGATTTCAACTGAAGGCATTCTATAATCAGCTGTAATGGTCTAAGCAGAACAAATGGAATTTCTGTTGCTGTGGCATACTGAAGTTACCAACAATTAAGAAAAATAACCAAAATACAATTTAACAATCAGCAGCTGAATGGTTGAGGAAAAAAAAAAATAAAAAGAAGAAGAAAAGGTGAAAAGCACTTCTAATAGCACATTGATAGAACTATTTGAGCCATACACAAATCCCAGGAATCACCTGAAGTTGTAATAACTCTCAAAATTGTAGGTTTTAAAACCATGGGTTAGAAACTACAGAATAAAATGGAGCTCAGATAAAATACTGACACGCAGCCTTTGAAGATAACTTCACAATAATCTAATTTTATTTAGTATATAGTTTTACCTTGCTGTATTAGGGAACAGGGAATAAGAGACAGGTTCTCAAATTTTATTAGAGAAAAATTAATAGGTACTCAAATTTATAAATCAAGAAATGTGTACTTATGAATATGAAGATAAACATAAAAATAAGTACCTAAGATGTTAATAGTAGTTATTTCTGTGTTTGCCAATGTAGGATGGGAACTGGGAGACCCAGAAAGGCTTTTAAAAATATAACAGTGAGTTACTAATTTATACTTCAATGTCAAGAGTGAATTACATTAACAATATTAATAATTTTAATATAGGAATTATTTTATGTAGCATTCCTTCCCACAAAATGGCAATACCTGTTAAGTTAAAGTATTTCAAATTGTGCCTTAAAATAGTATTTCAAGCTTCTGCCATTTTGAAGACATCTACACTGTTTGAAATGTTGAATTATTTGATTTTTAAAAACTTTAAAAATTGAATCTGTATATATACATGTAAAATATTTCACAAATAATCTGGGTGGGTTCTTATAATATAAATAACATTAAAATTAAGATTTTTAAGTTATTTTAATATGTTTATATATTTCTTCTAATTATCTTTGTTAAATATAATTATTATAAATGGGTGTACAGGAGCAGTCATAAATAGAAAGGAATTTTTTCACAATTCAACCATGCATGTATTAATCAATTGATTTGTAATTTTGGCTACAGTAGCTAGATATTTTAAAACAAAAACAAACCTTTTGTGTTCCCTGCTCCTAAGAAGTGTGTCATCTTGATCAGAAGACAGAGAAATAAACCAAAAATTACAGTGTAGTGTAAGAAATACTAAGATTGTATAATATATTGGGATCTCAGAGAGGACTGAAGAGGGACATCTAAATCAGTCATGACAGCTTCTGTGTGACAAACTAAATAGTATTACTATGCATATGTTAAATAATTATATCTTCTAATTGCATTTTTTTACAATCTCAATTTTTTTTGCTTTATACACAAGCAATACACTTTCAATAATATTTTGACCTTCAATAATTAAAACTATACATCTAATAAATAATAAAAAATGTTTCAAAAAGTGATTTCAATGATATTTTCAAAAGAGACCATTACTGACATTATGCTCTTAATATTTTTAAAAATATAGTTACTGTTAGCAACTCAAATGTTTGGACTGCAAGGAAACCTATGACTGAAGAATGCTATTAATTAAATTCAGTAACTCAAACCATGTCTTCACAAAGTACTGGCAGGGTCTTCATAAAGAAATAGTTACATTCCTCATAAAACAGAGTTAAGATACTTATAAAGGAAGAGCTGAAGAAAGGATGGTGAAGCATAGAATATAATAGTCCACATTCCAAGTTATGGAGGCTTACACACATCATTCAGAATGCTGTTTAAATCAAATGTAAGTGCTTTAGTAGGGTAGCATTAGAATCTGAACTATGCTCAGATATTCTGTTAAGATATTATAACAGTATTCCAAGCAGAGATTTCAAAATCAGCAAGATTTGGCTCACAAATATGTTTTCTTTGGCCAGCACACTGTTTGAATGTGATTTGTTGTTACTGCAATCCCATGCTACAGTTAGTAATTCTTTGTATTAAACTTCCCCTGTTCAAATTACTGTGTGGTCTCTCTCTAGTGACTAGACTTAGATACATTTTCCATTTATCATGGGACTTGCTCTTGTTTACTTTATATCAGACAAATATTTTCCTACAGTATATTATATCTTTTTTAAAAATGGAAATGCAAAATTTAGATAGACTTGATTTTTTCACTAAAAGTGAGAGGACATCTTTTCCTGTAGACATACAGTTATTCCCATGTGTTTAATGAAAGAAAAAAGTAACTATGAGGGAAAAATGTATCTGCCTGAGACCCCAATATAACCCACACCTGTAGAGAAATATGCTTTTGGCAACACTGGACTGCTGGAGGCAGGGCACTGCTCAGGAATGCTTGCACTCTGATTCTGCTCCCACCTGCCTCAATGCTGATATTATGGTCTTACTGTCACTGATTTAAGGTCAATATGTACAGGATTCATATTTCTGTAAGCACTGTTTTAATGAAAAAAATGAAAACAAATTGTTGGTTTAACTTTCTCCTTAATATGTGTGTAAGCCTCAGGGATTTTTCTCGGTATAAAATGAAGTTTCTTGTATCTGACAAGACCCATGTTCATAATTTATCCCTGAAAGTATTCCCACTGGGTGGCTTGTGGGGCTCAGGAAGTCTCAGGTGAGCAGCACAGTATTCCTTCTTTGCTTGCATTTCTTACCGGATATTATTTTTTGTATTTTTATTAAATAGGAAACTTGATCCAGCAATGTGCACATACATTTTTGCATGTGAGTTTCTTGCCATCACTAGTTAGTTAATATGCAATGCTGCAGTACCATAATAGGGACCACAACAAATTTATGGAAACAAGGAATGGTGGAAAGCATAATAAACTGAAAAAAGGGATACCTTTTAGTGTTTTCTAAAATGTGAATTAATGGACTCATAGCATTGTGAAATACAGGGATATATAAGGTATAAAAATTGTTTAGAGCCAAATTATTTTACTGGTGGTATATTTAAAATATAAATCTATTGAATAAAATATAAATTAAATGTTCTGAGCCAAAGCAAACATTTTCAAAAGTAATCTAGCTGGAAATAATTGGGGTTAGTTGGGTGAAGATACAGCTGAGAACTTAAAGGATGGATGATAATTCTAAAAACCCTAAAACATATGGGTCATCTTCTACTGTAAATGACAAAACAACAAATATGCATAAACATTACCCAATTATCTATAGGCTCAATGAAAATACTCATTAGACAGAAGACATTTCAACAGTGTCCATAAGAAGTGTGTGTGTGTGTATGTGTATGTGTGCATACACACAGGGAAGAGTTTGAGAAGTTTATAACAGTTTAATTAAAATTAGAAAGGATTGCTATAAAATAAGGCTATCATTGCGCTGTTTTATATTAATTTTCTGCCTGTGAACATTTTTTGATAATACAGTGTGGCAACATTTTTCCAAAGATATGGAAATAAAGTCTGTTTATTTTAAATTAAAGCTTTTAAAATAAAAGATGTCTCAGTTGTCAATAATATATACACCTGTTATTGTCAAAAACAGAATTGTATACTTCCCAGTACAGTCAAGACAGGTTTTTTTAAAATTCATTTTTAAGTTCAGAGGTACATGTGCAGGTTTGTTACATAGGTAAACTTGTGTCATGGGGGTTCGTCATACAGATTATTTCATCACCCACGTATCCAGCCTAGTACCTATTATTTTTCCTGATCCTCTCCCTCCTCCCACCCTCCAAACTTCAATAAGCACTAGTGTGCGTTGTTCCTCTTTGTATGTCCATGTGCTTTCATTATTTAACTCCCACTTATAAGCGAGAATATGTGGTATTTGGTTTTCTTTTGTCAAGACAGTTTTAAAACTATTTTTTCCAATAACAAGCATACTATGTAATCAAGGGTGTGATTGTGCCTACTTAATTATTTAAGCACTTTCATATTTTTACACATTCTTTATACTTAACACTTTTTTATCTGGATAATATTCACTGGTTTGTGTTGTAAAAAATTATTTAAACTTAACTCTGTTTAAGATACAAAAGTTATCATCAAGCATTCATTTTTAAACATAAAACAAGAATTAGCATTAATTTATAGATGGTTATGTGTACAACTAAATTTCTAGCAGACTTTTACTTCTAGCCAAGGGTATGAAGTAATAGTTTTTATCACATCCCTGAGAACAACTAAAAAATATGAGAAAATATAAAAATCTATTTGAAGGTCTGTTAGCAACAAAGATATCAGAAAGTCAGGAATTCCTAAGAGGAAAGCCTGGTCATTCCGCTGATAACATTAAATACCTAATTCTATGATGAAGGAAAATGATCAAAAAACAAGCCCTTAGGGAGATTAAAACTGAGTCTTAATATAACTCAAGTGATGATTCAATTGAAGAAGTTTGCCTCTCTTACTGAGACCAGAAGCTGAAAATCCAGAACCTTGAATTAACTCTGTAATTTTCCATATAGAGCATTCAGACTTAATTTAAACCTTGCACATCAGGAGATAAAACCAAACACCAATGAATGAGTAGAAATAACCCCAAATAACACACAGTAGACATAACCCCAAAACAATTCATATATGATTAACATGATGAAGAAAATGGAGAACAAAAAGAGAAAATTGCAGCAAAAACTGGATTCCATAAAAGAGAACTGGGTTTTTGATTCTCACTTCCACTTCCAGTTAAGGGGATACAAAAGTTCTTTGTTCTCACAGTAATAACAACAATAAACAAACAACACACACAAAAAAACACCCATGGAAAATAAAAATACTTTAAAAATATATAACGGTTATGGGCTGAATTGAGTATCCCCGAAATTCATATGCTGAAGTCCTAACCCCCACTACCTCAAAGTGTGTGTCTATGTGGAGACAGGGTCTTTAAAGAAGTAATTAAGTTGAAATGAGGTCACTGGGTTGGTCCTAATTCAATACTGCTGGTGTGCTTAAAGGAAGAGGCGATTAGGGCACAGATACAAACAGAGAAAGACCATGTGAAGACACAGGGAGAAGATGGCCATCTACAAGCCAGAGAGAGAGACTTAAAAGAAAAAAAAAATACATCTCCACCAACACCTTTATCGTGGACATCCAGTCTCCAGAATGGTGAAAAAATAAATTTTTATTGATCAAGCCAGACAGTCTGTGGTACTGTGTTATTGCAGCCCTAGCAAAGTAATACAATAACCTAGGGCATCATACAAAAAAAAGATTTAAAAGAACTGAATTCCACAGAGAACTGAGTCGTTCATAGATGAGTAGGTGTGGCGGGAGTTGTTGCACCTTCCAAAGCTGAGGGCAGATGCCCGATCTGTGTATAAGTAAGTCTGACATAGACAAAGAGACTCTGAAATTGAAAAGAAATCAGTCAGGTCTTGAAAACACGGTGAGTTGTCTAGGCATATTCTAATCTTGAAGAACCAGAAACAAAAGAAAAGATCACTAGATCAAGCAATTGTCTTCCGACATCCCCAATATTGTCAAGAAAGTAGCAGTGGAGGAGGGAGATGGTGGGCAGAGGAGTTACAGTCTTGCTCATGTTCAGGTGATTATGTTCAGTGGGATTGCAGGAGGAAATGAATATAAATGAGTTGGAAGGGGGTTTCTAGAGTAGCGGTGGTATCTCATAAGTTTTATCTGTGATAGATATTTGGGTGTGTATTTCCTTGGGACATTCATTAATCTACATACTAATAATCTGTGCACTTTCCTGTAGGTAGGCCACACATCTAACAAAATACTACTTTTAGCAACTAATATATTACTCTTTCAAAAGAGGTTTACAAAAATATAAATGTGTGTTTGTGTGTATATATATGTTCTTAATTTTGAAAGTGTATTTCTAAATGTGTCCATTTATTCATCTTATCTATTTATTATATCAATCTATCTTGAAAAACACTGATTATTAACACTCTAAAATATTAAAATGTTCTTTCCATATTGTGGAATTATACAATAACCCTCCTTAATACATTTTTAGTAATTTCAGTTGCTTACCTATATTTATTTGAGAATATAACAATTAAAAAATACTTTTCATGATTTTCTATACCTACAAAGTCAGAAGTCTTTAATATGGTCCTCACTTATGGGATATTTTATTCTTTTTATTGACCTCTTTGCATCACTTACCTTTAATTGCTTGGTAACTTCTCTGCTCGGTTTCACAATTACAAAGTTATGTGTGTATTACTCCTCACCTCCTATTCATAGATACTCCTTCACCTATGCTTTTCACTTGCCTAATTATTTTCAACTCATAATGTGTACCTCCTTTCCACTTTTCCCTAATTTTCTACCCCTTCCATATCCCGGAATATGTTAATTATTATATTATCTATACCATAACATCATTTACAAGTATCTTTTTCACTATGAATCTTTTTAGGCAGAAATAATCTCTCTCTCTATATATATATGAAATGTTCATGTGTATGAATATATCCTCTCTATATGCTTAATATAAAGAAAAATACCTTGCAGTATCAGCAAATTCTTAAATTCTTTCGGGAAGAAAGAATATGTTTGAGGGAGGGAAGGAAAGAAGGAAGGAAGGATGGAATGGAGGAAGGGAGGAAGGGAGGAAGGGAGAAAGGGAGGAAGGAAGAAAGATAGGAATGAAAAAAAGAATAAGGCACATATAAGACCTTTACTTTTTAGATGAGTATGTCAATTCCTTTCTTTGATTTCCCTTTAACAAATTATGAGGTATAAAAAGAAACCATTCTAATTATTTATAAAGTGATTTCAACTTAGTCCACAAGAGTATTGCTTGATAAGTTTTGTGTCTAGTTGAGTGTATATAGTTATAAGAATATGTCAGATCTTTTTGCATTTTGAGTCAAAAACCACAAAGAAAGTTTGAAAGCTACTGCTCTAGATAACTCCTTTAAAGGATCAAACAACAAACCAACATTTTGGGAATGTAAGTTACAATCATGTTTAATACTTTCAGTCATGTCTATTATATCTGCATTTACTAATCTTTGCTCATTTTGATTGCTGTTGAATTAGGTCAACACATAAAAATAGATTCATTGTTCATTGTTAAACAATATTATTTCACATATTTATTAAACAGGCTAATAACAAAAATAATCAAACATATATGTATAATAGCTCATGTATAAAAAATAAAGAAAAATAAAAACTTATATTTACACTCTAAAATATATAACTTTTAATAGACCTATAAGTCATATATACATTCAAACATGGTGACTCGTTTGGTCATATTACAAATTGTATTGTTATATTTTCTTTTTCTTTTTTTGTTATATTTTGTTTTTACATTTTTATTCCCTTGAAATTTTAATGAAAATGGATTTATCATGAAGTAAAGTCAGGTTTAGAACAGAAAATACATTGAATCTGTTTGATTATTTAATATAATTTACAGTATCATACCCTTAACACAATATTCTAAACCTTTCTTATGAAGCCCAGGAGTGAGAATATCTTTTATAGATTTATTTACAAAAATAAACTGAGTGGAAAAAAATCATAAAAAGTTTGAATTGTGGAATATTTAGAGCAAAACACTGAATATTATTACAAAACCAATGCATTAATTTAAAGTAAACCAATTAAATTTTTATTTAGTTGGGAACTTTAGAGGATATTTCCAAATTAGTAAGTACAGTTCATAGTTGAATTCTTAATTTGTGCACCTTTTATGAGTTCATCTGAAGATATCAAAAATATTTTTTATTTTTTCATGGAGAATATTAATATTTTCTTAGAGAAACTAGGTTTAAAAAAATGGTGAGTGAACAACAAAAGCTATAAAGAAAATTGTCACCTAGAACCCTTACTCATTTCTAGCAGGATCAAAAGTTGCTAGGAGCCAAGTGAAAGATAAATATTAACTAGGGTTATCAATACGTATGAAGGAACAACAATTAAGACTATAAAGTAACCAAGCAGGCCTGAAACTTTTTGACAACTATATCATAATTATTTCTTCATTAGCAGTGCAATCAGTTCTTCCATGGTAGTTAACAAACAAATATTTCTGGTAAAAAAAATATATCTTTTTTATATATATTATTTGCAAACTAAGTTATCCTTTCCACTGTCATACAAAGGGATTCTGAATTAAGAAGAAAGGCCTTAATGGCAAGATATCTTACTGATAGAAGATATTGATACAAATTTATATTTACATACCTGTATGATAAGTGATGTTTATGTAGGTGCATAGATGAACAATATAAAATAAATACGTATATATAATTTAAATAATCTACAATAAATATGATAGATTAATAATAAAAATATCAAGCCAGGAACGGTGGCTCATGCCTGTAATCCCAGCACTTTGGGAGGCCAAGGTGGATGGATCACCTGAGGTCAGGAGCTCAAGACCAGCCTGGCCAACATGATGAAACCCTGTCTCTACTAAAAATACAAAAATTAGCCAGGTGTGGTGGAGAATGCCTGTAGTCCCAGCTACTTGGGAGGCTGAAGCAGGAGAATCACTTGAACCTGGGAGGCAGATGTTGCAGTGAGCTGAGATTGCGCCACTGTACTGCAGCCTGGGCAACAAGAGCGAAACTTCATCTCTAACAATCATAATAATAAAAATAGTAATAAAATTTTCTAGGACTCTTAGCTAAGTCTTACCAGGAAGCATGCTATTGCTTTATACTATTTAATTCTGTCCTCATCACAACTCTCTGAGACTGGTACTAGTATGTCTATCTTACACGTGAGACAAGGATGTATAGAGAGCATAATTATGTTTTTTAAGATTATGTAGCCGGTGAGATGCACAGATGGGATTATAAACCTGTTGATCCATATCTTATCTGTGGCATATAAATTTACATTAGTATTTCAGTATGGCAGAGGACATTTGGGATATTAACCATAAAGCAAGCATTAATTACATACCTGTGTGCCTAATAGTAACAGTAGTTCCTAATATTTATTTATTTTAAATAATCTGAATTGAACAATGAAAGGAAATAAACACAGTTTACTATGTATATAGTTGCTCTAACCAAGTACAAGCATGAGACTATGCATTTCTATAGAAAAGATTTCAGTAAACATCTTCAAAATTCATGCAATCATGTTCCATATCAAATAGAGAAAATTAATCTATTTGAAAATGGTTAGAGATAGCAAGAACAATAATGCTGTGGTTATTTTGCTCTTATCTATCTCAAGAAAACTATAGCCTTCAAAGAAGAATGCATTAAATCTTTCTTATATTGACCTAATAAAACATCTCTCTAAAACATTATTTGTTTCATTTTTTAAATTTCCATTGTAAACTAATCTTTGCTTTTAAAAACTGTATGCCACGAAAATTAAGCATTTTTTTATTTTTGTGATCCATGTGTTTTAGATCATGCTGTATAAAATAATGCATGCAATAAAATCATTACTTTTGTTTCTAATCTCGCTACAGATTAAGAAAACAAGAATATCTATTTTAAATGGAAAATTCTGTTTTTAAACAAAATTTATAGCCTTCATTTTTTTCCCACTTCAATCTAAACTCTACTTTCCATGTCCAATACTTTTTCAAAAATCAACACAAATGAGGTGACTGTGAACATTTGTTTAAAAAAGACCTCTGTAGCAGCCAAGATATCTCATACACTTAGGTCATTACGTTTAAAAACTGCCTCTTAACTAATCACATTTAAGATGTCACAGAAATATCAGCAAACACTCTTGAAACATTCCCTTAATTGTTTTCTTGCAGTGGTGTGCAAAATGCTGGAAATAATTGAAAAGAAATTGTATCTGTCTGAGCAAAAGAAACAATCTGCATGCACTTTACAGCAATTGAAGGACTATTTATTTCCATCAGAAACAAATAAACGTCTGTGAATATCTTAGATAAAGAATTTAGTCAGTTCATATGGAATAAATGATATTTCATTGCCACCAAAAAAGGGAAGAATTTATGTATAAAACTTCCACTTACATTTTTATCAAAGTATACTAGGTTGCATTTAAGCAACATATATAATCATTTTTTATTTCTTTAATAATCATAAATGCAATCTAACATGTTACTTTTTAATTTTTTAATTGGTAACTTTTAAAAATGTTAAAACTTGTGCTAATATATGCAGTGACATAATATAATTATATATTGCTATTAGAACTAGTATGTCTTTATTCCTTTTTATAAAGCAGTTTGACAATATGGATAAGGAGCATTTTTTCAAAATTGTACCTGCCATATTTTTTTTTTTTTACTAAAGTAGAATGTACAACAAACTACACAAACTATGACTATCCAGCTAGATGAACATTCATAAACAAAAGATACCTATATAACCATCACTGAATGGTAAAAAATAAATAAATGAATAAAACTGTCCAGTTGCTATTTCACCCTTAGAAACCCCTACCCTTACTACTTTTAGCAGCATGAACACCACCAGATTATTTTACAAAGGTGATGAAATATTTATATTCCTACCAATAATGTATAAGTCCCACCCTCCATATTCTTACCAACACATATAATCAGATTTTCTTATTTGAAAATTTGGCCATCCCATTAGTTGTAGGTAATTGAAATTTTAATTTGCATTATTTAATTGAGAACTAATAATGCTGAACATCCATTGATATGTTTTTGAACTATTATGAGTTCTTTATAAAGTCTAGAGAGATAAATCATATATAACCAAATTTATAAATTCATTCAATAAATTTTTCATCTAAAATTATATAAAATATTAAAATTATATTATTCATGTGTTTGTAATTATATAAAATCAATAACTATATTATATATTTTTTAAATTTCTTTGCTGCTTTGCATGGTATGTTTTTTATAATCAGTTAAACTATACAAATGTAGATCTCTTTCTGTGGCTTATTATGGTTCTTTAGTATTTTTTAGTGATTTACTTTATGAAGGGGATATTTTAATGCAGTAAAATACTCCCACTTCATGTAGTTTTTTTGATTACTTTTTGCAAATACATGACATGTTACCACAACCACAACCAAAATACAAAATTTTTCCATCATCCCTAGAAGGTTCTTTTCTACTTTTCCATTGGAAAGCTTCTTGAAAGCTTCAAGAACTTGAAATGTTCTTTTCAACCCATCTATTTCCCTGAACCCGCTAATCTGCTTTCCATCAAGATTCCATTTTAAAGCAATACCACTGCAAATGTACTGTGAAGGAGAGAGACCAGTAACATAAGAAGAAAGCCAGCCAAATGAGGCAAGAGATTCAAGAAGGAAGAGGGCTGATAATTTACCTAAGATGAGAACTGAGTCAGAACTGACCTTTGGCTATATCTATGTGGAATTCATTGCTTAATTTGATGAGTAGTTTCTGCGGCATTGTCGAGGAGAAGGCCTGAAAGAAATAATTTTAAGTGAAAATGAGAGGAAGAAGAATGAGGCATAGTGAGTATAATGATGTAACTTTTTGTAGGATATTTTGACTAAGGGAAGCAAAAAAGTTAAAAAAAAATAAATAAAAAGGAGGCAACAACTTATTCCAGAATTCATGTCCTACTCCTCTTCTCACTTTTCACCCATCACACTGGTCTTCTGCTGTTTCTGTCATGCCAATCATTCTCTCCAATATTGGTTTTTGCCTGTGTCTTCTCTGTGCTTGGAGTGTTTTCTTCTATATATCCTTTTTCTTAACTTTCTTCAACTTTGCTTATATATCACCATCTCACTTTGGCTTTCTGTGTCCATTGTTTTAAAAATTCATCTATTTCTCTCCCCCAGCCCTAATTCTTCTAATCCCACTCAATTTGCTTCATTTTTTTTATTTTCTGAGCATTTACTCTCTTCTAATATACTACAAAATTAATTCATGTATGATGTTTATTCTTTATTGTCTGTCTTCTCCACTAGAAGGTCGCAGGAATCTTGGTTTTGTTCACTGATGTATTACAAGCAACTAGAAGAGCGTCTGATACAGGAGGTACTCAAAATACATTTGCAGATTGAATAAAAGGAATCAAGGTGAAAAATAATGGTTTTGAAGAGACAAAGAAAATATAGTATTTAATTACAGAATGATAAAAATGTCATTTGTTTGGGGATTCATAGAAGAGTGGATAGGTAAATCTGTGGGGAAGCTATATTATAATTTCTCTTCTTGAAGACTTGCAGAATGAAGGGTATCGCAAAAGAGTAATGCAGAGGTGAGAGGTTCAATTCATGAAGTAATGTTTTTCTATTTGGAATATATTTTTTCAGTCGATAAGCAAATTTTAATTTGAGGAAAAATGAAGAAAGAAAAACAAAACAATGAATTTTAAGAGGAAGACGAGGTAAAGATTAACAAGATTTGGGCAGTGATTCACGTAGAGGCATTTATTCTGCAATAGCACAAAATACATTCATGGGATTAAAAAGTATGGTTCAGATAATAGAAAAATAATAAGTGTCAGCAAAAATGCTAGAGCAGAATACTATATTCCAAAAATAAAAACTTCTGTTAGAACAAAGAACAAAGGAAGATTCAGAGTGAAGAGCAACACATCAACAAAGGAACAGATAACTGCACATTAACATCATGTTCAGAAACAGACATTTAAGCTGCATATGCAAATGGCATATTTTCACATGCCAGTGGATATTTAGATTTGCAATTATCCGTTTTCATGTATAAGTATCTCTTTGAGTATGCAAATAAGTGATTTGAATGCATAATGTGGGCACTCATTGTGAATATTGGACCCGTTAGAAGATTGCTAGTGGTAGCAGAAGCATCTTATTTTCCGAGAACTGCAAACATCAAAAATTCAGTTTCGTTTTCATGAGAGAAAATGTTCATAAGAGAAAAAAAATCTGAAAATTTTTAAAGTCAAGGATATTTCCTCTTGTGGTAAAATTTATTTTGAGGGGAAAAAATGATCTGTTTTGGATAGACCATCATAAATTGTGACAATTATAAACTAAAATGGGTCAAATAAGTCAAAGAAAAATATGAAATTGGTAGAAAGCAAGTGATAGTTTTCACAAATTTGTAAAAAATTATGTATATTATTTCTGCTCCATCTGATGTTTGACATTTTTTGCTTAGTTTTATTACCTGGGAAATTAACAATAAAATATTTAAAAGGAGGTCAATATTTATCTGTAAAAATTATGTTTAGGTTATTTTTAAGCATTGTTATCTAATAAATACTTGTAATACCTAATATGTACAAAAAGTTTTGATACACAGTGAGTTTAAAACTAAGCTGTTTCTGCCACCAAATTGTTTCCCATCTGAATTATGTTGTATAACATTATGTAACTGACGACCACTAAAATGGAAGCATAATGAGGTTGTTCAAATAAGGAAGACGTTTCATGTTATTAAGGAGATTAGTAAGAATTACTATTTAAAATGAATCTCAGAGATGCAGGTGTTCTTTAGATAATATTTCTTTTAATAGGTTTTAAAATAAATTTCATAAGTAGATGTTTGCACACCATGAAAGGAAACATTTTATGAGAAAATCTATAGGTGATTAACAAGGTGGTATCAAGCCAATAGAAATCAAATATGTAAGAAAATTAGCATATCATTAAATAAGTATACAAAATGCCCAAATTGAAAATGCAAAGGGGCAAATTAACTAATTTTATCATCATGCTTTAAATTTTCGGCCTGCAGCACTTTTCCAATGATGTAAAATTATCAGAAGTATGTCCAAATCTACTTAGAGATAAAGTCCATTTTTAAACTCTCATGATTATAGTTTCTTTGCTTTATATGATTTTTAAGCTATAAAATTCCCAAATAAATATTTTGCTCAATTTCATTACAGCAAAGATCATTAATTCATATGGAGTAAATTACCAAATATTCATTTTTAGCTTATTTATTTCCCTTTAGAAATTTTTATAATAATATAGAATACATTTTATGGAATATTCTTTAAACTTAAAATACATTTTGAATATTTTGAAATAGATATTGTATAAATTAATTTAATTTAATTCAACTAACATTAAAAGGCACCTGTTTGCTTAGTTCTGAGCCAAACAACTTAGGAAAAAAAATGTAAGATTAAGTCATGAAATCTTGACCCTTAAAATATAATATTAAAGAAGTATATTTATTTTGGATAAAAATATGAGGTTAAGATAAATAGAGTTTAAAAAATTTCTGTAGAGGTACTGATTATTTATTTGTTTTACTTTTATAAAAATAATCTGTCTATTTACATTTAAAACAAATATATTTGTGCTAGTTTAATAGTGTTTATCTCAAAGAAAAAAATAGTTTATGTATTTGAGATCAATTTATGTCATATTATGAATGATTCACTAATCATTGAAAATGAGACAGAAAACAAATCCATTAACAAAAAAGTGATATTAATAGACTGCATCTTAAAGTTTACCTAGGATTTTCAAAAATTAATTATTCAAATAATTACAGAGACATATTTATTATATAATAATTATATACCCAAACTAAATTCTTGTAAATAAATAATCATATGAAGCAGCTGAATTATAAAATGATTAGGGAGAAAATATGATATAAAGAAATTCTTTCTGGCTACTGACCTATAAAGCACTGTCATGATAATACAAAATTTCAAATAGAATTTTTCTATATCTTAAATACTTAAAAATGAATATATTATGAAAAAAGATCAGTATCACTAATCATCAGGGAAATGCAAATCAAAACCTCACTGAGATATAATCTCATCATAGATAGAATGGCTGTTATCTAAAAGACAATAAATAAATGCTGCTAAGAATGAAGAGGAAGAGGAACTTATGTACTGTTGGTGTGTAAATAAGTACTGCTATTATGGAAAACAGTGTGGAGATTAGTAAAAAAATTAAATTAGTTTCTTCCTAGTCTCGGTGGTCTCTACATTTTGGCATGATTTTGCAGCGGCTGGTACCAGTTGTTCCTTTCCATGTTTAGCACTTCCTTCAGGAGCTCTTTTAGGGCAGGCCTGGTGGTGACAAAATCTCTCAGCATTTGCTTGTCTGTAAAGTATTTTATTTCTCCTTCACTTATGAAGCTTAGTTTGGCTGGATATGAAATTCTGGGTTGAAAATTCTTTTCTTTAAGAATGTTGAATATTGGCCCCCACTCTCTTCTGGCTTGTAGGGTTTCTGCTGAGAGATCCGCTGTTAGTCTGATGGGCTTCCCTTTGAGGGTGACCCGACCTTTCTCTCTGGCTGCCCTTAACATTTTTTCCTTCATTTCAACTTTGGTGAATCTGACAATTATGTGTCTTGGAGTTGCTCTTCTCGAGGAGTATCTCTGTGGCGTTCTCTGTATTTCCTGAATCTGAACGTTGGCCTGCCTTGCTAGATTGGGGAAGTTCTCCTGGATAATATCCTGCAGAGTGTTTTCCAACTTGGTTCCATTCTCCGCATCACTTTCAGGTACACCAATCAGACGTAGATTTGGTCTTTTCACAGAAACTGCCACAACTAATGAGCAAAATCACCAGCTAACATCATAATGACAGGATCAAATTCACACATAACAATATTAACTTTAAATGTAAATGGACTAAATTCTCCAATTAAAAGACACAGACTGGCAAGTTGGATAAAGAGTCAAGACCCATCAGTGTGCTGTATTCAGGAAACCCATCTCACGTGCAGAGACACACATAGGCTCAAAATAAAAGGATGGAGGAAGATCTACCAAGCAAATGGAAAACAAAAAAAGGCAGGGGTTGAAATCCTAGTCTCTGATAAAACAGACTTTAAACCAACAAAGATCAAAAGAGACAAAGAAGGCCATTACATAATGGTAAAGGGATCAATTCAACCAGAGGAGCTAACTATCCTAAATATATATGCACCCAATACAGGAGCACCCAGATTCATAAAGCAAGTCCTGAGTGACCTACAAAGAGACTTAGACTCCCACACATTAATAATGGGAGAATTTAACACCCCACTGTCAACATTAGACAGATCAACGAGACAGAAAGTCAACAAGGATACCCAGGAATTGAACTCAGCTCTGCACCAAGCGGACCTAATAGACATCTACAGAACTCTCCACCCCAAATCAACAGAATATACATTTTTTTCAGCACCACACCACACCTATTCCAAAATTGACCACATAGTTGGAAGTAAAGCTCTCCTCAGCAAAAGTAAAAGAACAGAAATTATAACAAACTATCTCTCAGACCACAGTGCAATCAAACTAGAACTCAGGATTAAGAATCTCACTCAAAGCCGCTCAACTACATGGAAACTGAACAACCTGCTCCTGAATGACTACTGGGTACATAACGAAATGAAGGCAGAAATAAAGATGTTCTTTGAAACCAACGAGAACAAAGACACAACATACCAGAATCTCTGGGACGCATTCAAAGCAGTGTGTAGACGGAAATTTATAGCACTAAATGCCCACAAGAGAAAGCAGGAAAGATCCAAAATTGACACCCTAGAACTAGAAAAGCCAGAGCAAACACATTCAAAAGCTAGCAGAAGGCAAGAAATAACTAAAATCAGAGCAGAACTGAAGGAAATAGAGACACAAAAAACCCTTCAAAAAATCAATGAATCCAGGAGCTGGTTTTTTGAAAGGATCAACAAAATTGATAGACCACTAGCAAGACTAATAAAGAAAAAAAGAGAGAAGAATCAAATAGACACAATAAAAAATGATAAAGGGGATATCACCACTGATCCCACAGACATACAAACTACCATCAGAGAATACTACAAACACCTCTACGCAAATAAACTAGAAAATCTAGAAGAAATGGATAAATTCCTCGACACATACACTCTCCCAAGACTAAACCAGGAATCTGAGTTTAGTTGAATCTCTGAATAGACCAATAACAGGAGCTGAAATTGTGGCAATAATCAATAGTTTACCAACCAAAAAGAGTCCAGGACCAGATGGATTCACAGCCGAATTCTACCAGAGGTACAAGGAGGAACTGGTACCATTCCTTCTGAAACTATTCCAATCAATAGAAAAAGAGGGAATCCTCCCTAACTCATTTTATGAGGCCAGCATCATTCTGATACCAAAGCTGGGCAGAGACACAACCAAAAAAGAGAATTTTAGACGAATATCCTTGATGAACATTGATGCAAAAATCCTCAATAAAATACTGGCAAACCGAATCCAGCAGCACATCAAAAAGCTTATCCACCATGATCAAGTGGGCTTCATCCCTGGGATGCAAGGCTGGTTCAATATACGCAAATCAATAAATGTAATCCAGCATATAAACAGAGCCAAAGACAAAAACCACATGATTATCTCAATAGATGCAGAAAAAGCCTTTGACAAAATTCAACAACCTTCATGCTAAAAACTCTCAATAAATTAGGTATTGATGGGACGTATTTCAAAATAATAAGAGCTATCTATGACAAACCCACAGCCAATATCATACTGAATGGGCAAAAACTGGAAGCATTCCCTTTGAAAACTGGCACAAGACAGGGATGCCCTCTCTCACCGCTCCTATTCAACATAGTGTTGGAAGTTCTGGCCAGGGCAATCAGGCAGGAGAAGGAAAGAAATGGTATTCAATTAGGAAAAGAGGAAGTCAAATTGTCCCTGTTTGCAGACGACATGATTGTTTATCTAGAAAACCCCATCGTCTCAGCCCAAAATCTCCTTAAGCTGATAAGCAATTTCAGCAAAGTCTCAGGATACAAAATCAATGTACGAAAATCACAAGCATTCTTATACACCAACAACAGACAAACAGAGAGCCAAATCATGAGTGAACTCCCATTCACAATTGCTTCAAAGAGAATAAAATACCTAGGAATCCAACTTACAAGGGATGTGAAGGACCTCTTCAAGGAGAACTACAAACCACTGCTCAAGGAAATTAAAGAAGATACAAACAAATGGAAGAACATTCCATGCTCATGGGTAGGAAGAATCAATATCGTGAAAATGGCCATACTGCCCAAGGTAATTTACAGATTCAATGCCATCCCCATCAAGCTACCAATGACTTTCTTCACAGAATTGGAAAAAACTACTTTAAAGTTCATATGGAACCAAAAAAGAGCCCGCATCGCCAAGTCAATCCTAAGCCAAAAGAACAAAGCTGGAGGCATCACACTACCTGACTTCAAACTATACTACAAGGCTACAGTAACCAAAACAGCATGGTACTGGTACCAAAACAGAGATATAGATCAATGGAACAGAACAGAGCCCTCAGAAATAACGCTGCATACCTACAACTATCTGATCCTTGACAAACCTGAGGAAAACAAGCAATGGGGAAAGGATTCCCTATTTAATAAATGGTGCTGGGAAAACTGCCTAGCCATATGTAGAAAGCTGAAACTGGATCCCTTCCTTACACCTTATACAAAAATCAATTCAAGATGGATTAAAGATTTAAACGTTAGACCTAAAACCATAAAAACCCTAGAAGAAAACCTAGGCATTACCATTCAGGACATAGGCGTGGGCAAGGACTTCATGTCCAAAACACCAAAAGCAATGGCAACAAAAGCCAAAATTGACAAATGGGATCTAATTAAACTAAAGAGCTTCTGCACAGCAAAAGAAACTACCATCAGAGTGAACACGCAGCCTACAACATGGGAGAAAATTTTCGCAACCTACTCATCTGACAAAGGGCTAATATCCAGAATCTACAATGAACTCAAACAAATTTACAAGAAAAAAACAAACAACCCCATCAAAAAGTGGGCGAAGGACGTGAACAGACACTTCTCAAAAGAAGACATTTATGCAGCCAAAAAATACATGAAAAAATGCTCATCATCACTGGCCATCAGAGAAATGCAAATCAAAACCACTATGAGATATCATCTCACACCAGTTAGAATGGCAATCATTAAAAAGTCAGGAAACAACAGGGGCTGGAGAGGATGTGGAGAAATAGGAACACTTTTACACTGTTGGTGGGACTGTAAACTAGTTCAACCATTGTGGAAGTCAGTGTGGCGATTCCTCAGGGATCTAGAACTAGAAATACCATTTGACCCAGCCATCCCATTACTGGGTATATACCCAAAGGACTATAAATCATGCTGCTATAAAGACACATGCACACGTATGTTTATTGCAGCATTATTCACAATAGCAAAGACTTGGAACCAACCCAAATGTCCAACAATGATAGACTGGATTAAGAAAATGTGGCACATATACACCATGGCATACTATGCAGCCATAAAAAATGATGAGTTCATGTCCTTTGTAGGGACATGGATGAAATTGGAAACCATCATTCTCAGTAAACTATCGCAAGAACAAAAAACCAAACACCGCATATTCTCACTCATAGGTGGGAATTGAACAATGAGATCACATGGACACAGGAAGGGGAATATCACACTCTGGGGACTGTGGTGGGGTGGGGGGAGGGGGGAGGGATAGCATTGGGAGATATACCTAATGCTAGATGACGAGTTAGTGGGTGCAGCACACCAGCATGGCACATGTATACATATGTAACTAACCTGCACAATGTGCACATGTACCCTAAAACTTAAAGTATAATAAAAAACAAACAAACAAACAAAAAAATTAAATTAGAACTACCATATGATCCCACAATTCTACTATTGGGTATTTATCCAAAGGAAAGAAAATAAGTATATCAAAGAGATAGCCGCACCCTCCTGTTTATTGCAGCACCATTCAGTATAGTGAATATATGGGATCAACCTAAATGTCCATCAACAGATTAATGAATAAAGAAATGTATACAATAGAGTTCTATTCTGCCATGAAAAAGTATAAAATCATGCCATTCACAGTGACAGGTATAAAACTGGAGAACATCATGTTAAGTCAAATAAGGCAGCCACTTAAAGACAAATATTGCATGTTCTTACTAATATGTAGGAGCTAAAAATTAAGGTCAAAGAATTATACAGAAGAATTATGGTTATTAGAGCCTGAGAAGGGTAAATGGGAGAGGAAGAAAGGAAGTGATTTGTTACCAGATAATAAATTATATTTTATTTAATATAATTTTTATATTAAAATGTAGAAATACCATCTTTATATATAGTATTCTATATTTTTATAGTATATAGTAGTCTATATTCTATATAGTATCTTTTTTTATATGTAGTATTTATTTTTATAGGAATACTATATAGAATATAGAATACTATATGTAGAAAAAATAAAGAATAGTACATATATAGTATTTCTATATTTATAAATATAATACATAAATTTAAATATTATATTTAACATTTTATAAATATAATATTTACAACATTTATATTTATATAAATATTTACAATATTTATATTTATAATATAAATACAATATTTAATTTTATAAATATTATTTATCTATAGATTTCCATATTTTATATATCATATTTCTATATGTATAGAAATTTATATATAAATTTCTACAATATATATAGAAATACTATATATAAAGTATAGGAATACTATAGGTAAATATTTAAATAGATATATTTTATATTAATATTTAAATATGTAGATGTAAATATGATTTATAGATATAAATAATATATCTATATATTTATATACAGAGACAAAATACAGATTTATATAGTTATGTAAATATATTATTTCTATAATTTAATATAGAAATAATATTTATTCACCTATAAAATATATACATACTATACATGCCAAAAAAATTTGTGTAAAGTTTGAGCCTGAACATATTATGAATGAGTTAGAGGAAAAAACTACATAATATTAAAAGGATATTTCCCAGAATATACAGCCAAATTGACAAACATTCTGAAGAGCTGCTTTGGGTAAAATTGGAAGGATGGCAAATCTTGTAAATGAAAGTGAGTTATCTTAAGAGTAGAAGCAAAAGTTTCACATCTGGAAAAGCTTTCAATGTATTTAGTTTATTCTTTCAAACATTCTGCCTTTAACATGAAAACAAATATGTACAGGTGATTAGAATTTAAACATTTGTTTTACTCCTCTGATGGATAGCTTTTCAAATGTTATTTATAACATGATTTGTCTCTTCTTTTTCTCATAAAAGCTCATACAACAAAATAAGTTTTAATAATGTCATTGATCATATTTTAACTTTTACCATTACAAACTGAGAATACTTGTGTAAATAAAGTAATATTTTCATGTTGGCTTGATACCATTAAGTTAAAGCTGTTAGTTTCATTTTTATTAAATCACAATATTTTGTAAAAAGAGTCATATTCCAGCAAATGTGGAATTTACATTCTGTCTTAGAATTTCAATATTTTTTAAAATTAAAATTCATTTGTAATAAATGATTGGAAAACAACTTAGCAAAGTAGTGGGTTCTTGTACATAACAACATCGTTGCTAGTCTAATCTTAAGCAATAAGTGACATATATAATGCTAGCAAGCATAAAATGACATATTAAGGTCATAGAAGTCTAGTCCTTGTATAAGGTTTAAATGTTACATTTGGTAAAAATCTTGCTAATATATTAACATACCTGTAGTTTGTGGAAAGAATACATCATCAATTCACAATAAAAACTAAATTTATCTGAAAACTCACAGTATTAGGAATCAAACTTTATATTTTATATTATCTTATTCTGTGGTAAGGCAATAACAAGGATATGGACTGAAATCAAAATCAAATAATAATGTATGGTTAAATTATTTTCACCTGCATGAAATGTTGAGATGAGGTGTTTATCTGATTGAAATTGATGAGAATTGTTTATAAAATAAATCTGAATAATATTTTAATATTAAAATAGTTGACAAATAGCTAAATTGATAATATTTGTGTTGAAGCTTGTTTAAATTTCAATTAAATTTAAAACAACAAGATACCACTATTCACATATTAGATTGGCCAAAATCAAGAACACTGATAAAGTAGCCTCTTTGGAAACAGGGTGGCAGTTTCACACTAAACTAAATATACTCTTACCATACAATCTATGGCCATATTTGTCAGTATCACCCATATAAGTTAAAAACTTAAGCCCACACAAATACCTGCCCATGGATGTTTACAGAAGCTGTATTTATAATTGCCAAAACTTGGAAGCAAATAAGATGTCCTTAAGTAGGTGAATGGTTGAATGAAATGTGATGCATCCAAACACTGGTATAGTCAGTGTTAAAAAGACATGAACAACTTCCAATTCCCAGTTCCAAATGTAAGGAGCTTGGCAGTTGCCTTTCTGTACTACCAATGAGATAAAAGCTGAAAAATCCACAACTTTTCTTAAATTCATAAGAGAAATAAGTTCACGGGGCAAACTGCTATTCCCAAAACTGAAGAGACAGGCGAATATAGAGAAGCACATGTGGGAGCAGAAACCTCTGTGGGAACCAGTGGTGGCATAGAAAAACCTGAACTATAATTTATGAACTTCTAGAGGCTCAGAGTAAACAAGTCTGAGAATTAAAAACTCCAGGAGGACCTCATCACTGGTTGACTATCACTCTTTTCTGAGTTTTACCTCCCAGAAATTAACTAGGTTCTCAAAGTAAATTTTGGAGAAAAATGTTCTTGCGCTTCCAACACAGACAGGGGAAAAAGAGCTTATTTTGAAATATGCCAAAGCACTCTGTTCTTATCAAGGTCTGTCTAGGAGAAAGTAGTTTACCAAAGCCTAACCTGCTGGAGTCTTATTAAAGCCTACCAGGCCTGGAGGAAGTGAAATACCAAATTATAGACAGATTTAGCCACTCTGTACCAACTGAGGGGGAAGAAAAACATTAGAAACATATAACGATCACAATCCAGAGGCAAAGTCTTACTAAAAGCCTGAGACTTAATCATAGGATGCCTCTTCTCACCCCACACCTTACCACCACATTACTAAAGACCAATGTACAATAGCTCAGTACCCAGTATATCATGTTTGGCCATCAAGAAAAAAATTATGAGGTATATTGAAAGGCAAAAAATAAATAAATAAAAATAAATACCATTTGCAGAGACAGAGAAACCATCAGAAGAAGACAAGCAAGGTTGTTTGAATTACCACGCCTAGAATTTAGAATAACTACTATGATTAAAACGAAAAAGGCTTTAATAGATAAAATAGATAGCTCCTAATAACAGATAGTAATAACATATGGGTAATGTGAGCAGAGAGATGGAAATCTTAGAACAACAACAGCAACAACGACAAAGCGTTAGGGATCAAAAACACTGTAACAAAAATTAAGAATCCCTTTTATGGGCTTATTAATAGACTGGATACAGGTAAGTAAAGAATCCCTGTGCTTAAGAGCCATCAATAGAAACCTCCCAAGCTGTAAAAGAAAGAAAACAAAGAATAAAAAACATAAACTAGAATATCCGAAAACTATAGGACAACTTCAAATATGTATGATGCATCTAATGGAAATACCAGAAACAAAATTAAAAAGAAGTTCCTCAAATTAATATCAGACACAAAACCACAGCTTTAGGAGGCCCACAGAACTCCAAACAGGATATATGCCCCCAAAACTACATCTAGGCATATTATTTTTGAACTATAGAAAGTCAAAGATGTAGAAAAACATCCTGAAAGAAGCCAGGGAGGATGGAGGGAAATGCCTTACTTAATGGAGGAGCAAAGGTAATAATTACACCTGATTTCTCAGAAACATGCAAGAAGAGAGTAAATTGAAATATTTAAAGTCTTGAGAAAATAAAAACCCTGTAATTCTGTGCATTGTGAAATTATCCTTCAGAGTAAAGACATATTTTCTCAAACAAGTAAAAAATGAGGGGATTTGTTGCCAGTAGACCTGCCTTGCAAGAAATGTTAAAATAAGTTATTTAAAAAGAAGGAAAATAACTTAGGCCAGAAATTCATGTCTATATGAACAGAGAAAGTGTTAAAGAAGAAATAAGTAACAATAAAATAGAAACTTTTATTCTTATAGCCAACAGATCTAACATATAATAGTTTATTCAAAATAATAGCAGCAATGTATTTAACTACATATGTACATATAATACATATGTTTATATGTGTTTATATATATTTGTAAAATGAATGGTAGCAATTATGCAAGAGGCAAGAAAGAGAAGTTAGGATTATTTTGTTGTTTTAAGGTACTCATACTACCCTTGAAGCAGTAAATGGTATAGTGTTATTTGGAAGTGAGTTTGAATGATTTATAAATGTATATTGTAAACTCTAGGGCAATCACTAATCAACTAAAGAAAAAAGCATAAAGTCTAATTGATATACTAAGAAAAAAAGGAGAGCAAATAATATCATATAATATGCTCCATTAAAAGCACCAAAGGCAGAAAAAGTGAAAAATAAAAATTTAAATGAAAACAAGGACAACAAATAAAAAATAGGAACAACTATGTAAGATATGCATTCAGCTATATCAGTAATCATTTTGAATATCAGTAGTTTCAGTGCACCAAAGACAGAGGCTGTCAACTGAAACAACAATGGAAAAGACCCAACTATATGTCATTTATAAGAAACCCACTTTAAATAATAAGGATACATATAGATTCAAGGTAAATGTATGGAGACAGATAAATCATACTAACACTAATTTTTTAAGTAAGAATAGCTATATTAATTGGAGAAGATTTCAAAACTCAATTACCAATGTAATTGTATTGGGAAGTGGAGCTTTTGGGAGATGATTACATCATGTGGTCACAGCCCTTAAAAATGGGGTTAGTGCCTTACAAATGTGGTCCCAAAAAACTGACTTGCAACCTTCCACCTTCTGAGGACACAGTGAGAAGGCATTGTCTATAAACCAAAATTGTGCCCTCATTAGATACTGAATCTTCTGGTACTTTGATTTAAGACTTCTAAGCCTCCAGTATTTTAATAAATAAAGTCCTAATTAATAGAAACTATTCAATTTATGATACTTTGGACTAAAGCAGGTCAGTTCTCTAACAAGACGTAGAACTTCTTATCATGTATGCACCTAATACTATAAGATTGCATAAAAATATGTTGAGCAAAAACTGAAAGAACTGCAAGGACAAATAGAAGAATCTATTGTAATAATTGGATACTTCATCACCCCTTTACCAAAAACGGACAAAGTGAGCAGGGAGAAAATTTGTGAGGACATAGCTGAACTCAATAGCACCATCCCACCATTGGCATCTACAGGCTACTTCATCCAACAGCAGAGTACGCATTGTTTTCAAGCTCACATAAAACATTCACCAAGATAGACTACATTTTGGGCCCTAAAACACATCTTAAAACATTTTAAAAAGAATAGAAACCATATAATGTCTGTTCTCAGACCATGAGAGAATTAGGCTAGAAATTAATAACCTAAAGATAACTAGACAATCCCAAAATATGTGGACACTAAACACATGTTTAAGCAACACATAAGTCAAAGATGAACTCTCAAGAGAAATTTAAAATATTTTGAACTAAATAAAAATGAAAACATGTTTTCCCCAAACTTTTGGAATGCAGCCAAATATATGCTTAGAGGGAAATTTGCAGCATCAAATGTATATATTAGACAGGAAAAAAATGTAAAAATCAATAATCAAATTCTTCACCTTAGGAAACTAAAACTAACACCATCACAACAAAAAATCAATCCAGGCTGGGCTCGGTGGCTCACACTTGTGGTCCCAGCACTTTGGGAGGGTGAGGCGGGTGGATCTCGAGGTCAGGAGTTCACGACCAGCCTGGCCAAGATGGTGAAATCCCGTCTCTACTATAAAAAATTAGCCGGGCTTGGTGGCAGACACCTGTAATCCCAGCTACTTGGTAGTCTGAGGCAGAGAATTGCTTGAACCTGGGCAACAGAGGGTGCAGTGAGCCAAAATCGCACCACTGCACTCCAGCTTGGGCCAGAGTGAGACTTTGTCTCAAAAAAAAAAAAAAAAAAAAAAAAAAAAAGAAATTCAAAGTTAGCAGAAGAAATTTAAAACTATTAAGAGGAAATCAATAAAATTGAAAACAGAAAATTAATAACATTAATGAAAACAAACTCTGGTTCTTGGAAAAGATTGATAAAATTAAAAAACCTCCAGCCTGGCTAAGAAAAAAAGAGATAACACAAACTGATAATATCAGAAATGAAAGAAGGGATATCACTACAGATACCATAAAAATTTTAAAAACAATTAAAAATACTGTGAACAGTTCTATGCCAACAAATGTGATAATCTAGATGAAATGAACCAGTTTCATCTGGTTTGATACGATCTGCTAGAATTCACACAAGAAGAAATCAACAAATCTAAATAGGCCTATATTTATGAAAGAAATCGAGTTGGTAATTGATAACCTTCCAAAATAGAAAGTAACTGGCTTCACTGGCTTATACTACCAAACTTTTAAGGAAAAAATTCTGTTCATACAATT
Organism: Homo sapiens; assembly: GCF_000001405.40. Classification (NCBI taxonomy): domain Eukaryota; kingdom Metazoa; phylum Chordata; class Mammalia; order Primates; family Hominidae; genus Homo; species Homo sapiens. Next base: position 190,723,534 of record NC_000001.11, on the reverse strand, counting down.
GCTTTCAGAAAATAAAAGCAGAGAAAATACTTCCTAATTTATTCTGTGTACTACCATTAGACAGATACCAGAAAAGCTAAGATATTACGCAAAAAGAAAACAAGACACCAAGATCTGTCATGAACATAGATGCAAAAATCCTCAGTGAAATATTAGCAAATTAAATCCAACAATATATTTTTAAAAATCATATACCAATACCAGATCTGATTTATTCCAAATACACATGGCTGTTTCAACATTTAAAAATAATCAATGTAATCCATCACATCAACAGGCCAAAGAAGAAAAATCACAAAATCATATCAATAGATACAGAAAATGCTTTTGACAAAATCCAACATCCATTAATGATAAAAAAAATCAGTACAGTAGGGATATATGAGAACTTTCTCAACTTAATAAAAAAAATTAAAAAAAAAACCTTCAGTTGCGATCATACTTAGCTATAAGAAATTAGAACTTGTCTTATTAGTTGTCTCACTTGATAGTGAGACTAGACAAGGCAAGATGTCCCCTCTCCCCATTCCTAATCAACATTGTCCTGGAAGCCCTTGCTAGTGCAGTAGAGAAGAAAAAGAAAATAAAAGGCATACTGATTGGGAAGGAAGAAATAAAACTGTCTTGGTTCACAGATGATATGATTGTCTTTGTAGAAAATCTGAATGAATCAACCAAAAGGCTCCTGGAATTAATATACCATTTATAGCCAGGTTGAAGGATATGAGGTTAGTATAAAAAGTCAGTTGTTTTCTTATATACCAGCAATGAGCAAGTAGAATTTGAAATTAAAAGCATAGTTATTATACCATAATATTTAGATACAAATCTAACGTAATACATGCAAGATTTATAGAAGGAACACAACACATCTCTGATGAAAGAAATCCAGAAAGAATTAAGTGGAGAGATATTCCAATTTAATTAATATGAAGACCCAATATGGCCAAGATGTCAGTTCTTCCCAATATTATCTTTAGGCTCAATGCAATCCCAATGAAAATCCATGACAATTATTTTGTGCATATCAACAAACTGATTCTTAATTTTATAGGAAGAGACAAAAGACCTTGAATAGCCAACACTCTATTGTTGAAGAACAAAGTTGAAGGATGAACACTACCTAACTTTAAGACTTACTATAAAGCTACAATAATTAAGACAGTGTGGTATTGGTAAAAGAGGAAACTAATAAATCAGTGTACTAGAATAAACATCCCAGGAATACATGCATACACATAGGGTCAATCGATCTTTGAGAAAGCAACAAAGGAAATACAATGGAGAAAAGACAGTATATTCAACAAATAGTGCTAGAACAACTGGAGATCCATATCTAAAATAAGCAATAAATCTAGATTCTATTCTTAAATCCTTCAAGAAAATCAGTCATAACGGATCACAAACCAAAATGTAAAATGCAAAGCTATAAAGCTCCTAAAAATAACAGAAGAAAATCAAGTTGACCCAGGTTTAGTGATATCTTTTTAGATATGACAGCAAAGAACAACCTATGAAAGAAACAATTGATAAGCTGGACTTCAGTAACACTAGAAGTCTTTATTTTGTGAAAGATAATGGTAACAGAATGAAAAGATAAGCCACACACTGGAAGAATATATTCACTAAGGGCATAGCTGAGAAAGGACTGTTATCCAAAATATACCAAAAATACTCAAAACAATAAGAAATCAAATAAGCCAATTAAAAATGGGCCAAAGACCTTAACAAACACCTCATCAAAGAAGATATACAGAAGGCACGTAATCATATAAAAAGATGCTCCACATTATATATAATCAGAGAAATGCCTATTTGAATGGCCACAATCCAGAGCGCTAAGACCTAATACTAGTGAGGAAGTGGAGCAACAGGAACTCTCATTCATTGCTATTGGGAATGTAGAATAGTAGAATCAGTTTGGAAGACAACTTGGAAGTGATTTATAAAACTAAACATACTCTTTACATTATGATCCAGCCATCATATTCCTTGGCATTTACCAAAGAAGTTGAAAATTTATGTCGACACAAAATTCTGCATTTGGATGTTTATAGATTTATTTATAGTTTCCAAAACTTGGAAGCAATTAAGATGCTCTCCAGTGGGCAAATAAACTGTAGTATAACCAAAAAATAAAATATTATTCAGCACCAAAGGAAGCACTCTATTAAACCATGAAAAGGCATGGAGGAAATGAAAATATGTATTATAAAGTGAAAGAAGCAAGCCTGAAAAGTTTGCGTACTCTATAATTTCAACTATGTAACCTTCTGGAAAAGGCAAAACGATACAGTAAAGAGATTAGTGGTTGCTAGGAGTTAAGGGGAAGGGAGAGAGAAGTAGGCAGATTTCAGGAGATGTTTAGGGCAGTGTAACTATTCTATGTGATACTATATCTATGTGGATTCATGTCATAATACATCTGTCAAAAGCCTTAGAAAGTACAATACTCTGAGTGAACTTTAATGTAAACTATGAAATTTGAGTGACAATGTGTTATTGTAAGTGCACAGATTGTAACAAATGTGCCACTCTGGTGTAGGGTGTAGACAGTATGGAAGGTTGGTGAAGGGGTAGAGAGTATATGGAAACTCTGTACTTTTCATCCAGTTTTGCTGTGAAACTAAAAGGACTCTAAAAAATAAATTCTTGCTAAACGAATTAACACAGTAATGGAAAACGAAATAGTGCATATTCTCACTTATAAGTGGGGGCTAAAAACTGGGCACACATGGACCTGACATGGAAACAATAGAAACTGCAGACTACTAGAGGGGGTAAGGAGGGAGCAGGACATGGGTTGGAAAACTACGTATTGGATACTGTGCTTACCCCCTGTGTGCAATATACCCATGTAACAAACCTACACATGTACTCCCCTGTATCTAAAATAAAAGTTGAAATTTAAAAGAAAAAAAAGTGCTCCAGTTTTTCTAATGGAAACAAAAAAAAAAATGAAAGGATAGGTAGTAAGATAGATAAACAGGAGCTAAGGAAGCAGAGATGGGCTAGTTTATAACTTTGAGGAGCCTGGTTTAGCAGAAATGGAGATGAAGATAAGGTATTATTTAAACGTTTTCAAAGAGGTGATATATATATACACACGTATACACACACACATATATGTTTTAAACACACACACATATATGTTTTAAATAAAAATAACATATACACGTGATAAGAAAAATACTGAAGAACTCATAAAGCATGGCCACAGCCTCCTGCACTCCTTCGCATCCCTACTAGGACTCAGGCACTTCTGTTTCCTGAACACTGCTCTTACCATGTTCACCAAGAACCCTTCCTCCCACTAGACATTTTCCTCCATGATATTTGGTTTTGTTGGTCACCTTTTTTTTCTTGAAACTCAAGCTAACTTGGATCCCATGTAACCATTTCCCCTAGAGTAGCTCTTATGCCTCTGACTCCTCTATTCTCCAATTGCTCTCAGGCTCCTTTGCTCCCCAACATTAAAAATATTGCAGCTCCCCAGGCTTTGTCCTCACCTTCTTCCCACTCAATCTGATTTTCCTGTGTGGTCTTATTTGTTCCCTTGGCTGTAAGTAGCACCTAGATGCCAACAACTTCAAAACGTACAGCTCTAGTGCAAATCACTCTCCTGAGCTCTAGAACCATCTATTTCTATCTGTTCACTAGACACAAGGAAACCCCACAGGAGCTCCAAATTCAACAGACCCAAAACTAAATTCACAAACCTGACTCCTTAATGACAAAAGCAGACCATGTCATTGCAGAACATTTTATCATAGAATAATTTCTCTCTCGTAATTGATGAAAAAATAAAATTAAACAAAATATTACCAGCTATATTCAATGAAAAGTAAAAGGAATATAATATGAATAAATTGTGTTTATTTTAGAAAAGTGATATTGGTATAACTTTTACAAATCAATTTACCTATGTATCACATTAATTCATAATAGAAAATAATATTTGATTATCCCAATAGAGGCAAAATGATGGATAAAATTGGACAGCTATTCATCAAAATATATTCTAGTTTGCTAGGAATGAAATGGAATTATTCTTAATCTAGTAAAACATATATATTAAAATACTTACATGCCTAATAATAAAGTCATATAAGTCTTCCTCCTGAAATGAAGACATATGAGAAAACTGATTATTCTCACTGTTATTCAATGTTTTACTGGAGGTCATAGCAAAATCAGCCAAGAATAGTTAGAAAAGCTAAAAATCTGATAAGCCGTTTAAATTGGTAAAGAAATATGGCAATCTCACTGGATAAAAATTTTATATACAAAAATTAATTATTCATCAATGTACACATAAAAACCATTTTAAAAATGAATATTCAGAAACACCAAATATGCAAGAATAAATCCAATGAAATATGTGACTGGCCTGTACTCTGAAAGTAAAATAAATATCAAAAGAAATTACAGAAGACCAAAACAATGAAGTAGAATGTCACCTTAATGTATTGGAAAACTCAATATTATAAAAATGTTACTTATGCGATATTACTTACTTATATTTAATATTTATATTATGTGTAATGCAATTCAGAATTTTAGCACTTTTTTGGTGGGAGCTATACAAATTGATTCAAGAATTTGCTAAAATTGAAAAATACCAAGAATAGCCAAAAGCTTTGAAGAAAAACAATTATGGAAGATTGTACCTCTGTGTAATCCGCACTCATTATACAGGTATAGAAAGAGATAATTCAATGTAACATAGAAGCAAAAGAGAAATAGATTCGCAGTAGAACAGAATATAGACAGCAGAGAAAGATCCATGCTTGTGTGGACAACTCATTTATAAGAAAGCTTATTTCTTACTTACATCTACATGAAAAACCCCTCTTTATCTCTTATAATATTTCTTGTCTTAAAATAAATTTTGTCTGATATTAACAAAACCACAACAGCTCTCATCCTTAATATTACTACGCTTGACCTTTCCCCATCTTTTTGTTTTAAAACTGTGCCTTTACATTAGCAGTGTCTCTTCAATGTATTTTAAAATATCTTTTATATTTTTCCTCATTTACTTTTATTTCCAGACTTCCTTTGGTTTAACTGGTATTTTGTTTAATATCTATTTCATTTCCTCTTTTGGCTTTTTGCTACATCTATTTGTATTACTGAAATATAGTTCCTGAAGTTATCACAATCTATTTGGAAATAATTAGTATGTTGCAATGTAAAATATGGCGTTAAATTAGGATAACTTTATTCTCCTTCCCTTTGTGCTATTGTTTTGTATTTAATTCTATGTGTATTATAAAACACAAAATGTAATAAAGAGCAGAACATTATCACTCAGAGGAAGACGCTTCACAGTATTTATCTTTGGAAATCCTAGTCATCATGAAGGAATAGACATCAAAATTAAGGTTTCATCAAAGCATTGCATTGTTTTTTGTTGTTTTGTTGTTGTTTTTATACTACTTGCTATGCTTATAGCTGGAAATTATACTAAAGGAGCAACATCTAAAATGCAGGTTGTTTTGGTATACCTAATGGATAGATTTAGGAGTTTTATGTTAAGTTGGAAAACCTTTATGATTTATCTATACTGGCAGACTAGTTAGTTTGGACAAATCCTTCCACGGAAAATATCTATTAAAACTGGGCAAAGAGTTCAAACACATCTGCTTGTCAGCATTATGGAGTTAAAAAGGAACAAAGCACTTTTGGGTCAAGATATAGAAAACTGAGGAAACCAAAGGACTGAAAAAAATAATTAAATAAAAAATAAAAACTGGGGTCTGCTAAAACCTAGGTTTTGGACTGGGACCTAAGGGGCTCCACCCAAATATCCGTATAAATCTGATATGTCAGACCACACAGGAACTGAAGACTAGCAGCAAGTCTCAATTTGTGCTTGGATTAACATGATTTGGGATTGTCATTGCCACTAGTCAACTCTTGAAGGGAAAGGTATAGACAGAATACATATATTTTTTAGAAAAAAACAGAAACTGAGAGCATCTATCACCAACAGTCATACTCCGAATGAAACACTAAAGCTGTTTATTTAGAAGGAAAATGAGTTAACTTGTCCTGACTATGTAACCTTAAGGATGCTATATTCAAATAAGCTTAAGACATATTTATGATTGGTTGTTTAAAGTTTGTCTTCCTCAATATAGTGTAAACACTATAAAAAAGATAGTTTGCTATTTGATTATCATAATATACTCAAATGTGGCCTCATGCTTGACATAATAAATTTCTCAATGATTTTCTCCAGGATAGCTGAATATTAATTAATTTTTTGCTGTGTAAGCATTTATGATTCAAATATTTCATGGCAATTTAACCCTATAAAAGTGAGTTCACCGATTTCTCATTTGATATTTAATTTTTTTACATACAAAATCTGTACATAATTAATACATATAACTTAGTGATTTTGGTGATAAATATGCAATTAAGCAACCATCACTACAATCTTTGCCATAAACCTATCCATCATCTCTTAAAGTTTCCTTTACCCTGTTAGTTATTATTATTTTGCAATAACACTTAACAAAATCTACCCTTTTAGTAAATTTTTAAGTATACAATGCAGTATTTTTATTATACACTAGTTCTCTAAGACTTATTCATCCCACTTTGTTTTACAACCTCATGCCTATTTCAATGCCTAGTTCAACATATTTTAGAATTATTTGCACTGTCACACTGTATATTTATTTATTTGTTTATTTAGAGACAGGGTCTCTCTCTGTCACCCAGGCTGGAGTACAGTGGCACTATCTTTGCTCACTGTAGCCTTGAACTCCCTGGGCTCAAGCGATCCTCCCACCTCAGCCTCCTGAGTACCTGAGTACTGGGGACTACAGGTACATGCCACCATGCCTGGCTAATTTTTTGTAGAGACGAGTTTTCCCCATGTTGCCCACTGTCTTGAACTCCTGAGCTCACACATTCCACCTGCCTTGGCCCCCCAAAGGGCTGGGATTATGGGCTTGAGCCACCGCGCCAAACCACACTGGTCTTAGGCTCACTTCTGCTCTTTTCTCTTTCTCCTTTAGCTAAATAGAAAGAATAAAAAAATAGCAAGACCACGTAAAGCTAAAACACGTAAGCATTCTTAGGAAGTGGGAGAAGCAGACGAAGAGGGGATTTAATGTTTTAATTTTCATATCATCCATTATATTGTATATATGAGTAATTTATTTTGTATTTTCTGTAATTAAGGTCAGTCTTTAAAAGACTGAAGTAAAGAGCAGTTTTTGTGATGTAATTTGATTGCATGACCAAATGACAGTAAAAATATCCCTTCAACTGTAGTTCATGTGCCTGAAACTCTCTTTTTAGAGAGGCTTGTATATTTCTTGTATATTATACATTTTTTGAACAAAAATTTTCAATAAAATATCTAATCTGTTAAATACCTTATTTCTTATCATGCCACTAACAAAGTTTAGAGAAAATACGAACCACCAAGATCTAAAGAATTCTACCAAGTGACTATAGTTTGTTCTTGATGATTGTATTAGTCCATTTTTATGCTGCTGATAAAGACAAACCCAAGATCAGGCAATTTACAAAAGAAATAGGTTTAATGGACATACAATTCCACATGGCTGGGGAGGCTTCACAATCATGGTAGAAGGCAAGGAGGACCAAGTCACATCTTACATGGATGGCAGCAGGCAAAAAGAGAGTTGATGCAGGGAAACTCCTTCTTATACAACCATCAGATCTCCTGAGACTTATTCACTGTCACAAGAACAGCTCGGGAAAGACCTGTCCCCATGATTCGATTACCCTCCACCAGGTCCTTTCCACAAATGTAGGAATTCTAGATGATATTTGGGTGGGGACACAGCCAAACTACGTCAATGACTAAGGCAGTATCACACAAATAGTATAATTTCGTAACCTTAAATAACAAAATGATCCTTTCCATTTATTTTTTAAGAATATTTTTGTTAGGATTGGGAAAGTACATTTCTATATTGTTTGCTTTATTGATTTGCCATGCTATATAAAATTCTGCATAAGTGCAATGTTAATGATTGTATAATATAGCAGGATATAAAACTATCATACATATTTAAGTATCTGCTTCTCTGCATTTTGGCTATTTTCATTTTTATTCAAATTACTATGCTATGATAAACATTTATGCATATAAATCTGTGTATGAAATCTGTTTCTGTTTTTAAGAAAAATTCTTTTAAGTGGAATAATTTAGTACAAGGGTATAACTATTCTAAATAGCTCTCCAGAATAGCCAAGTTTTTATAATCTTTAGCACTCTAGATTATTGAATATCTCATGTTTTATTTGGTTAGTTTTGTGATTGGGAAAGTTGCATGCTTGTAAACAGACATAGAGTGTATATGAGTACTTACTATATGTCAGGTAATATATTAGGTATTTTACACTTTTCATCTTATTTAATCTTTAATAACACTCATAAATTCAAATATAAATGTATCTGACTGTAAATCTGTGCTCCTTCCACAAGATTACACTTCCTCAATATCTGTATACACACAAATACTGCTGTTTTAGCATTAATGTTATAAATGTTGGCATCATAAATATGCATATGCAATTGCATTTGTAAGTACACCAAAATGGAAAAACATGTATGTGTATATATGTATATGTGTATACATGAAATTTTATGCTTAAATTTATTTTTCTTATTGTTTTATGTTTACCTGTATTAGTTTTTATGTGAACTTAGGCAGTCATATTATGCTTTTAAGTATTCAATATAATGTAAACACATCAATATTTTAGTAACTATTTAATGAGCATTCACTGACAGCCTTTGTAGTTTCAATCTAATTTGAAAATATAGCAAATGTAGTCATGTTTCCTCAGAGGTTTTGCAGTAGAAATAATATTTTACTAAACTTTTGATCATTCTGAGACTAATCATATACTGTGGTGAAACCATATGGCTTAGTGAAGACCCTCAGGTATTTTCAAACAGACAATTCTAGTCCAATGTTTAACTTGACAAACAAGCAACCTATACGTAAATAATCTGAATAAAAGAACATCTCAAAATGCAAAATTTTTGCACACATTTAGACATAAAATGTAGCATTAAACTTTGCTGAATTTTTAAATTTCATATGCACTAAAACTGAATTATTTAAAAAGTCTGCAAAGAACCTGAAACATGATTTCTGAATTTATTCTTAAAGAAATGAAAAATGTATGTTTATTCCATGTAATTACAGACTTTGATTTATGTCTCATAGTTCAAAGCATATTTATGACAGCTATATCTACCTCATTTGCTGTGCCATGTATAACATGAAGCATTTCATCAGTTGATGCTTTGCCAAAAACTATTCTAAAAGTTTATGAGTTTTTCTTCCACTTTCCAGTTCCACCAAGACTGTATTCTGTTAAGATTTTTCTTAGTTCTTGTAGCAGTCATTTCATATTGCCAATTCTTGCTTCATATCACCTTCTTCAGGCAAGGCTTTTAATTTTAAAATTAGCAATTCATCTCTTACAGTCATTTTCATGGTTCATACTGTTCACAACACCCAAAGGCCTGCTTACTATTTCAAATCACAATTTCAAGAATAAGGATAATTAATAACACTTAAATTCTGAACAGAACCCTAACAAAATGATTTCTTATGTAGAAAAAAGGTAATATGCAGGACATCAAAAATATGCATATGCAATTGTATTTGTAAGTATACAAAAATGGACCCCTTGGTCCACGGCACTTTGGACTCTATCCAGAAAGCATTAACTATAGAAGCAGTGAAAATATCTCATTGCAAGATAATTTTACTGTTAATATGGTTTGCTTTCATGGAATTGAGAATATTATATTTCTGGAGTTAGATGTATTTTTTAAATCAAACTATTCCAGATTACAATGCCAATAAATAAATCTAAGGAGGCAAACTTAAAAACTAGCACATCAACAACAACAACAAAAAAGAAACCAGATATTGCACTTATGGTCCAGGTAAAATGATATAGAATCATTGCTTTCTGCCCTACCTCATTAATTAAAACTATAAACCCAAGAAATAATGCAACCAGAGGAGAATTCTGAAAGGTGGAAGTAGGAAAACCAATTGGTTTCGTTTTCTCCAGAACTGGACGAATAGCAAAGTATCAGAGGCCTTTCATTTCCCACTCAACAGAAGATGATCCAGGCCTGATGTTTCCTGAACCCTAACCCAGCAACAGATGGTGATTGAGTTAAACACAACCCTTGCTAAATGAAATGGGTATTCCACTGACAATGCAAGGCAAAGAGAATTGATCAGGAATCATAGACAATCAGATGATAGGAGAAACCCATTTCTTACCTGGGGGCCTAAGGCACTACATCTCTACCAAGAGGCAGCGTGAAACTAGTGGTACTGGACAGGGAGATTCTGCCACAAGAGGCAGAAAATATATTTATCCCCAGGAGCCCAAGACTCCCCTCCTTCACCTAGTGTCACCAAATAGCCAGGTAGCACTTTCAAGAGGGACACTCCCAGGAGTTCTAAACGACTGAGAACCTCTTCGCTCATTTTGTACCACCAGGTTGCTTCTCCTGGAGAAAATCCTTGTGACCTCTCAGGAATCAGGATCAACGAGCATTGGTCATTCCAGCTGCACCAATAAACCTAGCAGATAAAACTAACAATGCAAAGCTGCAGAGAACTAAATTTTATTTGAAGTCACAGCCCAAAAAGTAGAACAGGAACCTGTAAGCTAAACCAAACAGGGCGACTGCCAGCAAAACAAAAGATGCAAAGTCTCCTACTTTAATAGAGAAGAGCTAAACAACACAATCGAATAAGATACAATCAATGTATATAAACCACCTCACTAAACAATAGCAAACACCCTTTTTCTTTTCAAGCATGTCTGGCATTCACCAAGATGGATTATCCTAGACTATAAAACCAGTGAACAAATTGAAAATAATTGAAATTATACAGAATTTATTATGTGAACACAATGGAATCAAACTAGAAACCAATAACAGAAAGATTCTAAAAAATCATAAATGTTTGAAAATTAAACAACACATTTTTAAATAATCTAGCTGCCAAAGAGAAAGTCTCAAAGGAAATATAAAATAACACAGAGAACTGAATTAAAATGAAAATACCAATCTATCCATCTGACAAAGGTATAAATCCAGAATCTACCAGGAACTCAAACAAATTTACAAGAAAAAAACAAACAACCCCATCAAAAAGTAGGCAAAGGATATGAGCAGACACTTCTCAAAAGAAGACATTTATACAGCCAACAAACATATGAATAAAAAAGCTCATCATCACTGGTCATTAGACAAATGCAAATCAAAACCACAATGAGATACAATCTCATGCCAGTTAGAACGGTGATCATTAAAAAGTCTGGAAACAACAGATGCTGGTGAGGATGTGGAGAAATAGGAACACTTCTACACTGTTGGTGGGAGTGTAAATTAGTTCAACCATTGTGGAAGAAATTGTGGCGATTCCTCAAGGATCTAGAACCAGAAATACTATTTGACCCAGAAATCCCATTAATGGGTATATACACAAAGATTATAAATCATTCTACTATAAAGACACATGCTCATGTATGTTTATTGCAGCTCTATTTATAATAGCAAAGACTTGGAACCAACCCAAATGCCCATCAATGATAGAGTGGATAAAGAAAATGTGGTACATATACTATGCAGCCATAAAAAAGAATGAGTTTATGTCCTTTGCAGGGACAGGGATGGAGCTGGAAACCATCATCTTCACAAACTAACACAGGAACACAAAACCAAACACCACACATTCTCAAGCATATGTGGAAGTTGAACAATGAGAACACATAGACACAAGGAGGGGAACATTACACATTGGGGTCTGTCAGGGGGGTGGGGGGAAAAGGGAGGGAGAGTATTAGAACAAATACCTAATGCATACGGGGCTTAAAACCTATATGATGGATCGATAGGTGTAGCAAACCACCATGGCACAGGTATACCTGTGTAACAAACCTGCATGTCCAGCACATGTATCCCAGAACTTAAAGTAAAATTTTAAAAAAAGAAGAAAATACATAATATCATAATTGGTGGCACACAGCTAAATCAGTACTAAGAATGATATTACAGTGCTAAATGTACATGTAACAAAAGAAAAAAAAACTCAATAATCTAAGTTTCTAACTCAAGAAACAGGAAGTGTATAATAATCTCAAAGAAGGCAGATAAAAATAAAACCAATGAGCAAATAATCCATAAATTGAAAATATGAAAAAAATCAAGGAAAGAAAAGGCTGACTCTTCAATAAAATAAAATATAATTGACAAACATAACAATACTGATAAGAATGATTTAAAAACAAAAATCTTTAGGGCAAAACATAAAAAGAAAGAAGACACAAATCATCAAAATTTTAAATGAAAGAGGTTATTTTATTACAAATCCTACAGTTATAAAATGGAAGATCAATTCCTTAAAATCTATAAGCAACCAAAACACAACCAAAATAAAACAATGCGAGTAGTCCTGTAACTTTTAAAGAAATCAAATTCAAAATCCAAATACTCCTGAAAAATAAATATTGAGGTCCAGATTGTTTCAGTGGATAATTCTACCAAACATTTGAAGAACTTAGATGAATTTTGTACAGTCTCCTCAAGAAAATAGAATAGAAAGAAACTCCTCTCAACTAATTTTATACAACCAAAAACAATGTCAGTACCAAAATCAAACAGCAGTAATAGCTACAAGTCAATATATTTTATTAATCTAGATATAAAACATTCTCAACAAAATATTAGCAAATTAAATACATCAAGATATAAAATGACTATACATCAATATATAAATGACTTAAGTAAGATTTATTGCAGATTTGCAAAACTGACTCAACATTTGAAAAATACTCAAAAAAGTCTAAAGAAGAAAAATTACAAGATTATATTGATTGAGGCAGAAAAGACGTTTGACAAAATCCAACACACATTGTGGTAAAAACTCTCAATAAATTAGAAATAGAGGGGAAGTATCTCCCCTTGGTAAAGAGTATCTACAAAAAAAAAATAAGTAAATAAAACAAAACTATAGCTAACATCATAACATCGTACTAAATAGTAAGAGACTAAGTGCTTTCCCCATAAGTTTGGAAACAAGGCAGAGATGTCCTGTCCCATCAATCTCATTCAATATATATTGAAATTTCTGGGTACTGCAATCAGAGAAGAAAAAATGCATAACTCAAAATTGATTATGAACCTAATTTAAAACGTTAAGCTCTAAAACTCTCAGAGAAAAAAAAATCATAGGAGAACACCTTTGGGATCTATAGCTAAGCAAAAAGTCTTTAGACTTGACACCAAAACACAATCCATACAAGAAAAAATTGAACTTCATCAAAATTAAAAACTTTTGCTTTGTAAAAGATCCCAGTAAGAAGATAAAAAGAAAAACTATATGCAGGGATAAAATATTTGCAAACACTATATCTAATAATGTACGAATTCCTAGAAAATATAAAGAATTGTGAAAACTCCATATTATAAAACAAATCAAGTAGAATCTGGGAAAAATTTATAAAGAGACATTACACCAAACAGAATATACAGATGGTAAATGAGCAGCTGGAAAACCCATTCAATGTTATTAGCCATTAATGAAATGCACTTTAGACCCACGATGTGATGTAATTCCCCAAACTTACCTGAATTGCTAAAATAAAATTGGTAACAACACTAAATGAAGCAAGGATGTGAAGACGCTTGATTACTCATACATTTCTGATGGGTATGTAAAAAGGGCATAAGCATTCTGTAAAATATTGTAGTCATGTCTTATAAAACTAAACATCCAACTTCCATAAGGCTTACCTATTGAACTCTTGGGCATTTATCCGAGAGAAAGGAAACCTTCTATTCATTCACACAAAAGCCTGCATACCAATGTTCTTAATAGCTTTCTTCATAGCGGCATTTAAAGTAAACTACCCAGATGTCTTTCAACAGGTAAATCAATAAACTGTGGTACATCCATACCACGGAATACTACCCAGCAATAAAATGAATGAATTAGTGATCTGCACAACAATTTTAATTAATCTCAAGAAAATTATGCTGAATTTTTAAAGCCAATTCCTAAAAGTTACATACTATTACATACTGTATGATTTCATTTAGATAACATTTAGAAAAGATTAGTGTTTGAGTAGGTATACAGAAAGGAGGCAGATGTTATAAAAAATGAATAAGAGGAATTTTTATGGGGATTGCCACGGTCTGAGAGTTTAGGTCCCCACAAATTCATATGTTAGTCCTGATCACCAAGGTGACAGTATTAGAAAGTGGGGACTTTGAGAGTTGATTAGTTAGGCTATGAAGGCTCTGCACTCATGAATGAGATTGTTCCCCTTATAAAAGAGGCCCAAGAGAGCTGTGAGGGCAGAGAAAACAATCAGCAGTCTGCAACCCAGCAGAGGGCCCTCACCAGAACTCAACCATGCAGACACCCTGATCTTGGACTGCTCAGCCTCCAGAACTGTAAGTAATAAGCTTACGCTGTGTATAAGCTACTCAGTTATGGTATTTTGTTATAGGATGCCAAACAAACTCAAATAGTGAGGGTGATTTTCTATATCTTAAGTGTGGTGATGAATATATGAACACATGTAATAAAATTGCATAAAATATACACACACCCAGCACAAGTAAAACAGAAGTATGAGAAGGATTGGTGGATGTAGAGAGAAAGAGAAAGACAGTTAAAGAAAGAAAGGAAGGCAGAGAAGGAGGGAGGGAGGGAAAAAGGGAGGAAGTAAATGTGAAAGAAAGAGGGAGGAGGGGAGGTAGGGAAGAAGGGAGGGGGGAAGGAAGGAAGGAAGGAAAGAAGGAAGGGAGGGAGGGATGGAATAAAGAGAAAGAAAAATAAAGAAGGAAAGAAATCCATTAAAATCATATATTATTTCAACAGAACAACGGCGTTTCTTGACATTAAATGATAAAATGATCTATGTATTATTTTCTACAAAAGTTTTTGTAAACTATTCTCTATAGAGAAAACAGCTCATATCTATTTAATCAAATATATATTGAGTATCTGCGTTGCTTGGTAGTTTATTCCAGAAGTAGTTAGGAACACTTAAAATGGTTTCAGTTGCTATTTATTAGCAATGATTAATTCCAATCAATCTACTTCTATCCCCAAAGCTACAAAGCAATATTTGTACTTAAAATCCATTATGAATTTCAGTGACAGAGCAGAATAGTAAACAATAGGGTTATACCAACAGAAGGAGGAGTAGGCTGCTCTCAAAGGCAAGTATCAACCTTAATGCCTGTCCTAAAAAGTCCTACAGAGGAAATAACAGGGACATCTTGAAAGACACAAACACATATGCACAGATATATCTGTACCCACTCAAGCGCTAAGAAAAGAAAATGAATGGAAAAGAAAAGAAGAAGAAAAAGGCAAATCAGGACAAGGCAATGCAAGCAAAGGTGATGAAAACAAATCAAAAGAGCTGAAAGCATTGCTCCTTACTTTATTAGCTTGATAGACACCTTAAAAACCAGCACATTGATTTTTAGAATGCTGTTAAATGAGACCAATCATCATCACACTGCTTCTGATTGATAGGTGGAGTAATGTGCTGCTGGAGTGTTGAGAACAGTCTTGAGTTTCTCCTCAGGGTCTAACTCCATTCTTAAACAGTTTGCTTTCTGCGACCAATACAATGTCACCCATCTTCCCCAATTCTCTTGACATTTCTACAAATTTCTGCCTATAAATGGCTTCTACTCTCCAAGTCCATCTATTACCTTTGAACTTTCTGACCTCTGAATCACCCTGGCCCCAATAGTGTTATAACAACATCATCTAATGAACAATAATTTAGTCCTGCATTCCTCTGGTTGAGTTTTGAAAGGAAACTGGGAGATAAGATACTTGGATATGTCAATCACAGATGAGGGAGAGCAGGAAAGACTTCATGCCATTAGGGTATAGAGTGGGAATCACCACAGGAGAGATAATCCTGGCAAGGGAGTAGAATTTCTACGTTGCACATCTTGTCTTTCTAGGAAATGACTTTCTCCAATAAACAATTTAGAATACGATTATGTGGCAGGTATAGTAAGATCCATGACCTCGAATAGTATCTGTCACCAATAGATTTCTCTTATGAAAAATTTTAGTTTAGACCACTAATAATATCTTAACTGGTTTCCAAGGCTAGAATAATACCTAGATATATTTTAGCTGATACCACTACTTAATTTTTGGGAAACACAAACATTTAGCCCATAGCAGTGAGCCAGGGAAAAATTTGGATAAATGAGGAATTAATTTCCCAAGGTTAAGCTAAGGCTGAATTGGAGAGAGAAAGAAGAGAGAGAGAGAGAGAATGGGTTTTATGAGAAAAACAATTGTAGGAATTCCCTGCCAGCATTTCCCACCAACCTTAATACACAAAATACTCTTAAAATCATTTTGTTTTCTCTAATTTCAGAGGTCTAAATGGACACTACATGAAATTCCTTTTTTAGGCTGGGCGCAGTGGCTCATGCCTGTAATCCCAGCACTTTGGGAGGCCGAGGCTGGCGGATCATGAGGTCAAGAGATCGAGACAATCCTGGCCAGCATGGTGAAACCCCCTCTCTACTAAAAGTACAAAAATTAGTTGGGTGTGGTGGAGCATGCCTGTAGTCCCAGATACTCAGGAAGCTGAGGCAGGAGAATCGCTTGAACCCGGGAGGCGGAGGTTGCAGTGAGCCGAGATCATGCCACTGAACTCCAGCCTGGTGACAGAGTGAGACTCCGTCTCAAAGAAAAGAAAGAAACAGAGAGAGAGAGAGAGAGAGAGAGAGAGAGAGAGAGAGAGAGAGAGAGAGAGAGAAGAAAGAAAGAAAGAAAGAAAGAAAGAAAGAAAGAAAGAAAGAAAGAAAGAAAAGAAATTCCTTTTTAAAAATGATTCTTTGTAGGAAGATGAATAAATAATAAATTTCAGTTTAGTACCTAATTTTAACCCCTCCATACTAAGCCTACATATTCTTAACCTCCCTCCCGGCTCCTTGATCAGACCATTACTTATAAAAAGTTTTACTTAATTATTTTGTTTCCCCATTCCACTGCAAGTCTAAAATCAAACCCATTATTTGTCCTTAATACCAACGCTCCTTGAGTATTCCTTGCCATAGATAGTGGCTTTTTTTTTTTTTTTTTGCCACAAAAGATTGAAAAATGATTGGAATTTTTGTTAACATCTACTCTCCCTTTCCCCCTGATTCTAGTCAATTAGAAAAGGTTTTACTCATAAGTTTATTTATTCATATATAAAATTTCACTGTATTTTTACAGGCATATATTAACTCTAACTTAAACTATGGCAACCTTCTCATTTGTAATCTATTTCTAGTCTCTTTCCCATGAGATTCATCAGACATACTGATGTTGCATTAGGCTTACTATAGTAAAATCTACATGCTCTAGACTGACTTTACAAGGCACTCTGTAATCTGCTCCAGAATTCATATTTTCTGTCTTCTTTTTACCATAGCCGAATTATATCTTTACTCTCCTGTCTTATAACCTTTGCTAGTGCTATTTATTCCTCTTGGTATATCTTGGTTACTCCTCTACAGCTACAAACCCATGTTTTATTCCAGGTTCAGTTTCATCTAACTCTAGTGAAAGTTTCCTTGACATTGGCCTATAAATCTTTCATGCTTGTGAAATTCTTAATAGAAATGTAGCAAAATGTCCCTCCACATTTGATAACTTTAGAGTACTATATTTTTTATAGTTGAGGACCAGCATTTCCCATTCAACTTTCTGAAATAATTTTAATAGTTACATGCTTGCATATTCATCTCAGCTAGATTTTGACAGAAATTAATTACTGCACCTAATGTAGCGAGCATTTTGAACAGTAGATTTTCCTAGGTAATTAAGTCAGGATATTTTATATGCTTAGAAATACTGATTTAATTATAATTATTTTGATTATAATTATAAAGTTTTATTAGCATCTCTGTTAGTCACTTCTAACAGTTCTTTGTGAGGAGTCTAGTAATAATCACTTATTTATTTTGGTTTTAGAATTATCCGTGATTTGCCACCTTTGTTTTTATGGAAATCACTTGAAATATATAGACCTTTTCTTTTTTGGAGTTGCAAAAATAGTTTGCTTAT
This sequence comes from Homo sapiens, assembly GCF_000001405.40. Taxonomy (NCBI): domain Eukaryota; kingdom Metazoa; phylum Chordata; class Mammalia; order Primates; family Hominidae; genus Homo; species Homo sapiens. Next base: position 190,705,382 of record NC_000001.11, on the reverse strand, counting down.
TTACTTACATTTTGACATTAAAAATGTTTAATATTTGGGGACATAGGTACATATTTGCCTAGTATGTGCATCTATTTCTTCTGATGTTATAAATTCTACCCACATTCTAGGTTTGATAACTATCTGTTTTTTAAACTTTCATAGGGTTTTTAAATTTGTTTTTTACTCTTTACTCCATCTGGAATTTATTTTTATAGGTGATGTAAGAATATAAATTGACACTTTGTTTTTAGAATAGCTTTTTCAAGCATACCAACACCCTTTGTTGAAAAATAAACATTTTTCTTTTGATTTGAGTTGCCACTTGTAACATACATCAAATTGTTTATTATAATTGTGTCTGTAATAAGCAATCAGTTTTCCATGGCAATCTATTTATATTTGAATAAATATTTGAATATTTAGCCTAGGGTAATTGTAAATGTTAATGATTGCTAAGTCTAATACCTTATTTTTCTTTTTTATCTTATTTTTCCACTGCTTAGACTTTGCAGAATATGTTTTTCAAATGCTTTCATTTGATAGCAGGGTCCTTCAAACTAAGCCTTTGCAGCACTCAAAAGTATAGAGCAGATGAAAGCGGAGCTGCTCTGGTTGAAGAAGCCTGGAGCCCTGATTACCAGGATTGCACCGCATCCCGTTTGCAGAGTTTTGGGGCTCCTTGAACTCTTATTTAAACCTGTCATTTCAGATTTACAAGAATATATTTTTGACAAATTCTCTCAAAATCAAATTTGGATTTAGTTGCAATTGCTTTAAATCTGCAAATCAATTTGAACATAATTGACATTCAAAATTGTGCCTATTAATTAACTTATTGCCTCCCAGCTCCAAGCTGACCTTTCCTTCTCCTGCTTGTGATACTACAGCGTTTCTCCTTTGTCAATCATCACAATGTTAAGCTTTGTCAGTAAAGACTGATAGAAGGACCCTGGAAAAGATAAGAAGAGAAGTTTTCTTTCCCTTTTGTGTATGCTTTGTTGGCTTGTTCCTGTGTTGTAAAGCACCCACCAATTAACAGAGACTCCAGCAGTGCTCAGCTTGTAGCTTGCCACTTACCCTCTGGGTTCTCTGCCTCATCAGCCTTTGCCACCCAGCTTCCCAGATGGGGTTTCCTGGCTTGCAGATCTCCTTTTGCCTGTTTTGATCAAGTGACACCCAACAGACGGTTACCTCCTTGCCAGTCCTGGTCTACAGTTCCCCGTTGACCAAACTCAACTATTTACAATGAGCTGATTGAGGATTTCTGACTGCCAGCTTTGACCTGCCAGCATCCTCATAAGGGCTTTATGTTTGCTGGCCAGTCTCCAGCTCCTTGTCCATTACCTTTAGTCAGATAGCATTCCAGTGGGTGATGTTTTGATTGGCAGACCCAACCACAGTTACCCATGCTCCAGCCTCAGTCGGGTGTCACACTAATGAGGAGCTTCTAAATTCAGTCCCTGTCCACAGCTCCCTGCTCACCGGGCTCAGTCCAACACTGTGTATACATTCAGACCACCAAGGCAATCCTGCAACTTCTCTGCCATTTAGTAGGCTGCAGTAACACACCCTCCGATGATGGCTGAATTACAGTTTTGAGGAAGAGAGCTTCCTTCCAACTGTTTTCCTTTCTTAAGCCTTGGAGAAATTTTTAGAATCCTTTTTTTTCTTTTATTCAGTCTTAATAACCAATCTCAGGAATATGGTTAATATTTCTTTATATAAAACTTCCTGTTTTCAAATTACTGTGTACTTTTTGTCTCCTAACTAAATACTGATTTATACAAAAAGATATTTTCTCCTTCTCGCCTTCTTCTTCTCTTCCTCCACTTCCTCCTTTTCCTTTCCCTCCCTCTTTTTCCTTTCCTAGAGGATACATCTTTCCAGTTATTCAAACCCTTATTCAAAGTATTTTTTGCTTTGAAAAATTTTTTGTTTATTTTTCTTTAGTTAAGTAGCATCCTTTTGTTTTAGAAATACAATGCTATATTTTAGTCCTATGGTAGATGAGGTAATTTCCATTATATTATTCCTTGGAATTTAGTGATGCATATGAAGCTAATGCTTTGCTTTTTAATATGTTTAACTTACATCTTGACATATAACTAAACTGTTTTATAATCAAATGGTTTCATTTTTGAGGTATTCTAGTTTAACAATTGTATTATCTGTAAATAATGATTGTTTTGCCTCTTTTTTTTTCACCATCCCTGTATCTGAGAAATAGTCCCTGTCTTTATGAGATAAATCTTTTTAATCTATATAAATGAGTAAATAGTAGAGGGAGGGAAACTTCTTTTAATGAAAATGGGAGACATCATTTCCCCCCAAAACACTCCTACCACCCTGCCTCTCAAAGAGAACGATGCTATTATAAGATCTTGATTAAACTACCGTGCTTAAAATCAAAATTTATTTATCCATAGGTATGTTTGTGCAGCCTGCTGAAGGAAGCCATAAGGAATCCCTACTTCCATTTTTAATTAAGGTACTCACCAGAAATTTACTACCTATCAAGTTTTTCCTAGCTATTTTCCCAGTTGAGCTCACCAGTGTTAACCACGATAGCAATAGTTCACATTTACAGAGTGCTTATGTGGGACTCTAAGCTTAATTCCATTCTACGTGGTATTTTATATATGTGTATTCATTGAGTTCCCACAACATCCTTTTTAAATCATACTATCATCTTCTCATTTTATAGATGAAGAAACAGAGAACCAAGAATATAATTTTCCAAAGTGACACAGTGACAAATCTAAGATTTGAAGTCTGGTGGTTTCTAAAATCTATATTTAATGCTGCTACACATGGCAGCAGAGATCACATTAAACAATGTTAAGCATATAAATATTCCACAAATTAAGAAACTTTGTTCCATTATTGAGTTTGTGAAAAATTGAAATAGCCAAATTTTGAGGGGAAAAAAAGGGAGAGACCCAAGGAAAATAAATGCAACTTATCTTCCTCCTCCTAAAACTGCCCGTCTCTCATATTTTTATTCTGTTCAATATCAGCAAGAGAGGATCTCACTCAAGTGTATAGTGGGGATGGTAACACCACAAACAGATGAAACTTGACCTTTCAAAACTGTTCCAAAGTCTATAACACATATTTTATATATTTATAACAACAAAATTTAGCACAAAGTACAATATTTTGAGTGGCAGTAGAAAACCAATTGTCTCTGAAGTTGGTTGGAGGTTGGTGATACAAAAAATGGTATACATGTTTAAAAAAGAAAAGAGAAAAGAAAAATCTTGGTTTAAGTTTCCTTAGTGTCCTAGTGAACCTGATTCTCTGAAAAAAGTGAAAAACATCTTCCATAAGAAAAATAATGTGATATTGTATTTTCTACATGTATTGGGAAGATCCAGTTGTATATACTGTCTCATATTTTGGAGTAATATTTAAGTATATGTCATAATTTGTAACGTAGAAATTTGCAACATACATAGTAAGCCACAGTCATACTTCTCTGACTTACTTCTTTCCCTTCGTATCTATCACATTTCCCATTTAAGAAATATGTTCTAAACAATATTAATGTTGAATTGACAATGGATTATTTCCAGAGAGGCTTAGGAATGAAATTTATGCATTATTATGATTTTTAATATATCTCATTCATAGAATAAATATGGAAGATGTAGTAATCAAAAACCTTATTAATCAGTTTACTCTTATTTCTTTGGGGAAAACAAGAAGGAAGAAAAGATAAGAAAGCTTTCCTAGCTTGCAACACAGGCTAAGAATTCCCTCCACTTATCACTAGGCAATGTCTTCTTTTATCATTGGAAGTTTTCTTTATATAGACTTTAGTCTATATTGTGTAATTAACCTAGGCAGTACAGCTCTCTTTTGATTACTATTGATAAGATACACCTTCTGTTTTCAACCTTTTACTGGTAACAATCTGTCTTTATATCTAAAGTAAAGTTCCTGTAGACATTTTATAGTAGGATTCTGCTATTGTTAAATCAAATCTAAAGATCCCTGATTTTTTACTGTGGTCTTGAGACTCTTTACATTTAATGTAATTGTAATGTAGTTGGAATGAAATCTACCATTCTGAAAATTATTTTCTATTAGATGTATGTTTTCTTTATTATTTTGTGTTGCTCTTTTCCTGGCATTAAAATTAAGTGAGTATCCTTAATTATACTATTTTATTTTAAATATTGGTATACAGTAGTAGCTAATCTTTATTTTTCTAAGTTGTTACTTTAGATTTGTAATGTACATCTTTAATAATACCAGTCTACTTTCCATGTCTGGTGTAAGAATCTCATGAAAATATACTTCATATTTTCCACTGTTTTTTATATTGTGACCTACATTTTGTTTCTTCATGCATTATTTAAAACCCAGAATACATTATTATGATGGGTGTGCTTCTAAGTAAATTAAAAATAAGAAAAAAGTTCTTACTTTTATTCTCAATTATTTTTAAATTTCTAATGCTTTTTCATTTTTGGATAAATACAAATGACGATCAGATACATGTTTCTTTTGTTTTAGGAACTCCTTCAACATGGCTTACAGTGCACATCTGCTCACAATAAATGTATTCTTTCACAAAAAGACAAATGCTGTGTGTTATCACTCATATGTGAAAGCTAAAAATGAACTTATATGTATATATAAGTTTAACTTATACTGCACTTACACCACAAATCTATACCACAGCTCATAAACATGTGAGTATACGTATGTGTGTGTATATATATTCACGTTTTATGTTCTTTTCTTTTCAAATGTCTAGTAAACCAACTCATTATTTTAAACCTATAAAATTGAGTTAAGGAATCAAGCATTTATCTTTGCTTTCGACATAAACTATCAGTGTAATTAAAAATTTGATGAGGCATAATTGCTCTATTGAAGAATTCCATCTATTAAATTGAAAATGAATAAGGGAATTAAAATATTATGACTTTATTTGGAAGTTTTCAATGAATCAATACATCCAAGCATTGAATATCAATGGCCACTCACATCAGAAAAGAGAGGTATGTACATGTTACATGTCGCCGATGAAAGAACATAACACCAACCTCTGAAATTGAATTTGATCAATCCTTTAACTACAATTAAACATTTTCAGAAACAAAACCAATACTGCACAGCATAGATGGGAATCACAAAATTCAGATTGTGGGAAATTCCATAGTAAAAATAACGCAATTTCTTCCAAAATAAATTACTAAAAGCAAAACAAAACAATGACATGGAAAGAGAACCTATAGATCAAAAGAGCCACAAGAAATGTCAGCCAATCACAACATGTGAATATTTTTAAAAATTGCAATCAAAATGAAAACTGTGTTAAGATTTATATACATACATACATATGTATATATGATTTATTTAATTAGAATGTTCAAAATTATATATTTGAAGTTTTTAACAAATAAATGCTTTTTTGTGTGATGGTGGTATTGTGGTAATATTACAAATAAGAGATAAATTGATGGATGATACATAAATATAATAGAATATATATGGATAAAATAACATATCTGAAATTAGCTGTAAAATGATATGAGGGTGGAGAGAAATATAAATGAATTAGTTTATCATGACATAATTATTGTTGAATCTATGTGATACCACATGAGTATTACATTACTTTGTCTATTTCCTGTATATCCAAAGGTATCTAATAAAGTGTCAAATGGAAATAATAAGGATATTTTAAAATAAGTGACCCAGCAAAAATATCATAAAGGATATTTCAAAGAATTTAGCACAGAATTCTCTCCAAGAAATAAAGATAATATGAAACAACAGCAAGTTTGGTATTATAAAATATTAAATAAAAAAGAATCATATTTCCCAATTTTTAAAGAGATTGTGTGATGATGTGTTTAAAAGGTTGTGCTAGAGACAATGGCCTGCATGGAAAAGTTTCTGTTTCAGTTCGTTCTCACACTGCTATGAAGAAATCCCCCAAACTGGGTAAATTTATAAAGGAAAGAGGTTTAATTGACTCAGAGTTCTGCATGGCTGGGGAGGCCCGAGGAAACTTACAATCATGGCGGAAAGCACCACTTCACAAAGTGGCAGGAGAGAGAATGAGTGCTGAGTGAAGGGGGAAGCCCCATATAAAACCAATAAACTTATCAGATCTCATGGGAACTCCCTCACTATCATGAGAACAGCATGGGAGAAACTGACTCATGATTCCATTATCTCTATCTTGTCCCACCCTTGACATGTGGAGATTATTACAATTCAAGGTGAAATTTGGGTAGAGACACAGAGCCAAACCATATCATTCTGCCCCTGCCCCTCCAAAATCTCACGTCCTCACATTTCAAAACACAATCATTCCTTTCCACCAGTCCCTCAAATCCTTAATTCATTCCAGCATTAACCCAAAAGTCCAAGTACAACGTCTCATCTGAGACAATTCAAGTCTCTTCTGCCTCTGAGCCTGTAAAATCAAAAGCAAGTTACTTACTTCTTAGATACAATGAGGGTACAGGCATTGGGTAAATATATCTGTTCCAAATGTGAGAAATTGCACAATACAAAGGGGCTACAGGCTCCATGCAAGTCCAAAATCCAATAGGAAAGTCATTAAACCCTAAAAGTTCCAAAACAATCCCCTTTGACACCATGTCTCACATCGAGGTCATGCTGTTGCAAGAGGTGGATTCCCATGGCCTTGGACAGCTCCGTCCTTGTGGCTTTGCAGGGCACAGCACCCCTCCCAGCTGTACTCACAGGCTGGCATTGAGTGTCTGCAGCTTTTCCAGGCTCACGGTGCAAGCTGTCAGTGGATCTACCATTCTGGGGTCTGGAGGACGGTGGCCCTCTTCTCACAGATTTACTAGGCTGTGCCCCAGTGGGGACCCTGTGTGGGGGCTCCAACACCACATTTCCCTTCTGCACTGCCCTAGCAGAGATTCTCCATGAGGGCTCTGTCCCTGCAGCAAATTTCTGCCTGGACATCCAGGCATTTCCATACATCCTCTGAATTCTAGATGGAGGTTCCCAAACCTCAATTCTTGTCTTCTGTGCACCTGCAGGACCAACAACACATGGAAGCTACAAAGACTTGGGGCTTGCACCCTCTGAAGCCACAGACCAAGCTGTACCTTGATCGCTTTTAGCCATGGCTGGAGCAGCTGGGATGCAGGGCACCAAGTCCCTAGGCTGCACATAGCAGGGAGGACCTAGATTTGGTTCACAAAACCCTATTTTCTCCCAAGCCCACCAGGCCTGTGATGGGAGGGGCTGCCACAAAAGCCTCTGACATGCCCTGGAGACACTTATTTCATTGTCTTGGTGATTAACATTTGGCTCCTTGTTACTTATGCAGATTTCTGCGGCTGGCTTGAATTTCTCCTCAGAAAATGGGTGTTCTGCAAATTTTCTGAACTTTTATGATCTGCTTCCTCTTGAATGCTTTGCCACTTAGAAATTTCTTCTGCCAAATACCCTAAATCATCTCTCTGAAGTTAAAAGTTCCACAGATCTCAAGGGTAGGGGTAAAATGCCACCAGTCTCTTTGCTAAAACATAGCAAGAGTGACCTTTACTCCAGTTCCCAACAAGTTTCTTATCTTCATCTAGGACCATCTCAGCCTGGACTTCATTGTCCATATCACTATCAGCATTTTGGTCAAAGCCATTCAATAAGGCACTAGGAAGTTCCGAACTTTCCCACATCTTCCCTTCTTCTAAGCCCTCCAATTCTCTAGGAAGTTCCAAACTTCCACACATTTCCCTGTCTTCTTCTGAGCCTTCTAAACTGTTGGAACCTCTGCCTGTTACCCAGTTCCAAAGTTGTTTTCACATTTTGGGGTATCTTTATAGCAGCACCCACTCTCTACAGTATGAGTTTACTGTAGTAGTCTGTTCTCAGAGTGCTATGAAGAACTGCCCAAGACTCAGTCATTTATAAAGAAAAGAGATGTAATTGTCTCACAGTTCCTCGTGGCTGAGGAGGCCTCAGGAAACTTACAATCATGGTGGAAGGCACGTTTTCTCAGGGCAGCAGGAGAGAGAATTATTACTGAGTGAAGGGGGAAGCCTTATATAAAAAACCATCAGATACTGTGAGAACTCAACTATCATGAGAACAGCATGAGGGAAACTGCCCCCATGATCCAAATATCTCCACTTGGTCCCACCTTTGACACATGGAGATTATTAACCCATGAGATGTGGGTGGGGACACAAAGCCAAATCATATTAGTTACTTAATATCCATAAGCTATAGTTTTCTCACTTATAAAATATGAACAATAATAGTACCTATATGAGAGAACATATAGTAACCACTGAGAAAAATGTTCAATAATTCAAGTAATGTTTAAATAACTATCACTGGTATTGATATCATCTCACCTCCAATATCAATATCATTATTAACAATATGTGCACAAATGGTACTATTATAATAGTAATGCTGTGTTGCAGTTGTATTTAACTCTTAAAAATAATTGTTTTGTTTTATATGACAATATCAACAAACTTCAATGTTAACAAGGGCCATAAAAATAATATTTTTATAAGACTTTAACTTAAATAACATCAGTGTAAAACAATTTGGCCTATGTAATCAAAAGCTACTGATCAATAAACCATTCATCAATTAGGATGCAGATAAATAAAACATGTAGATTAATAGCAAAAGTGTTACTTCTATAATGAATTAGTTATATAAATTAGTAAGAAAAGATGTAGTTATTTCATATAAAATTTTAGATTTATGTATTTTAAAACATTAGATTAAAAGAGTTACCTGTTACAGAAATGTTTATTATACAATTAACTACCATTAGATTTTATAAAATAATTAAAAACCAAAAGAATAAAGCTGAAAATGTTAGTGTACAGGTGCTTCTAAATGATAGTACAAAGATATCAGTGAACTATGCTTTTTTTAATCTGTAAGTCAGATACTGAAATGTAGTCTGCAAAATTTTTTTTTGGATGTTAGTATCCATCATAGTTTGTACTGCACTTTTAGTTTATAAAGTTAGTATATACCACAGACGGATTTGTAACCTTGTTTACTCCGGCAGTACTAAATATCCTACATATGAATAGATGAACATACAGACATACCTTACATAGTTTTTAAGCTTGTTCATGTGGGAGTGGATGTAAATTTATGGAGAAAACCCAAAATTACAAAAATTAAAATATTTCATTTGAAAACATTGTAGTAAGACTTTAACATTCAATGTAGTTTGAATCATGAACACTAAAATATTATTACGGCCTGTTCACTTTTGAAAAGCACTTAGGGTGAAGCAATCTTCATTCAATTAGGTCTTATTCAGCTTTCAAGCCATTATGACAAACGACAACTTGTAACTAGGCATAGAAAATAAAATTTGCAATCTATCAAAGGGTGATTAAATTTTATATCAGACCAGCTTCACTTATCCCTATTCTTCAAATATCACCATTTTCTTAAATGTAGACAATTGAAAGTAATTTTTTAAATTAGTCAGCTTGGATGAGATTGCTCTAATTTTGACCTTTATTACCTTAAAGAATGAACTATAATGGATGAATTCCATTAAACTACATTTTTTTCCCAATTTTACTTAGTTAAATAGGCCATAAGAAAAAATTATTTAGTCACTTTGCGAAAAACTTTTTACCTTTAGGATTCTAGTTTAATCATATATATGTATATATATAATCATCTATGTCTTTATTCAAAATATGTTAATACTATTGTCCTCTCTGTCTCAAATAACACATTTTAGGAAGCTGTATTGCTATTGTTTCTAAAGCTTAAGATAAATAAGTAAAAATTGAGTTATCTGAAACATTTCACTCTCAATCATATAAACTGAAGAAAATGTGATAAAAAGTGCTTGTACTTATGCTGATGAATTATACAATTTTTCATAAGTTCCAGAAAACCTCATATTTGATTATATATGTTTTTTAAATATGAAATTTGGATATATATTTGCAAGAACTCACATTCAAAAGATAGCATTTTATAAAAAATCTAAACATTATAAAATTCAATATTAACTATTGAAGCTTAAATTAAATTATGAATATGCTTTAGTTTTTATTTTATAGTTTCAATATTTAAAACTATGTCTTTTAAAATAAATTTATATAAATGAATAATTATTTTTTCAAAATACTATTTATATTTATAAGTTTATTTTTCCCTGTGTCTTAAGACAGAGATTTTATTTTGGTAAAGAGACAAAGCAAACAGTTTTACTTAAATTTATCAAATGCTGAAAAAACGTATCTATCACTTGTAATCTCACCAGGTTGTGATTGACTCGTACCTAGAAAATGATTTCATATACAGATAGCTAGATTTTCTTCAATGATTTTCAGCTTCAGAATTACAACTGTTAAATTCTAAATATGAAGATAATAAGATGGAAACCAATAGAAATATTGGAAAGAAAGTGTGATCATCGTGATTCATATATATATATATATATATATACGTATATATATATATATATACGTATATATATATATATATATATGAACCTGATTCATCAACTCAGATATTTATATATAAATATATCTAGTCTTCTTCCCCTTTTCTTAACATATAGCTCTGAGAATACGTGTAATCTTCAGAGTGATAAGAGTGTCTTTTGTATGCTAATAAGATAAATGGTCACTGACAGCCCTTTGATAGCTTCAGGATGAGGGCTGGTCACATGAAATGCTATGGTATGATTAGAATGTTGGGTCAGCCATACCTTCTAACCTTCAAGTAAGAGAGAGGAGCTGAAGTTAAAGTTGACCATTCCATTCATAGCCAATAACTTAACCAATCATGCTTATTTAATTAAGCTTTCATAAAAACCCAAAAGGACAGTATTTCAAGGCTTCTAAACAGCTGAACATGTGGAGGTTCCTAAAGGATGGTGCTCCAGGGAGGGCATGGAAGCCCCCTCCCTGCCCCTTCTCCCACACCTCACCCTATTCATGTATTCATCTGTTGTTTATTGGTATCCTATGTAATATCCTTTATGATAAACCAGTCAATGTAAGTGTTTCACTGAGTCTTGTGAACTGCTCTAGCAAGTTTATCAAACCTGAGGAGATAATTGTGGGAACCCCGATTTATAGTCAGTCAGCCAAATGCACAGGTTATAATCTGTGCTTGCCACTGGCATCTGAAGTGACAGAGTTATAATTGAATAGTATAAGAGAATACCTAGATGGTGTCCCCTGCAGAACTGATTGATTGCTGATGGAGAAAAATCCGCACAGATATTTTGGTGATCAGAGTAACAGTGTTGATTGTTGAGTGTGAAAGTAGAAAAAACTTTTGGATTTTCAATATCCTTAAAGTAAGGTACAAGTATTTTGCCTTCTATTAAATTGTAGTTAATCACCTGTAGACCACAAGTGATTAATGAAGAACTTCTAAAGTAAAATTTTTGTCACATTTAAAAAAAATAACTGGTAGATTTTGAGGGGAAGTTTCAGGGTTATAGAAAAAGTGAGCAAAAAGTACAGAGTTCCCTTATACTACCCTCCAGTTTCTCCTTTATTAATATTTTGCATTTGTATGGTACATTTCTTATAATTAATGATCCAATATTGCTACATTATTATTAACTAAAGTCCAAAGTTGACATTAGTATTTATTTTTGTGTTGTACACTCTATGGGGTTTGACAAATGTATAATGACACCTAGCAGCCATGACAGTGTCATTGTGCGAAATTGTCCTAAACCTACACATTCTGAGCCAAATTTAAAAATTTGGAGCCAAGGGGAAAAAAAAATAAAGCTACATTGTCTCAGCATGAAAGTTCCAATCAGGTATCTTCTATTTGCAAACATTTTGATTCCATAACAGCAAAGAAGTTAGCAATGTATTTAATTCTTTTTTTTAATTATACTTTAAGTTCTGGGATCCATGTGCAGAATGTGCAGGTTTGTTACATAGGTATACACATGCCATGCTGGTATGCTGCACCCATCAACCCGTTATCTACATTAGGTATTTCTCCTAATGCTATCCCTCCCCTAGCCTCCCATCCCCTGACAGGCCCTGGTGTGTGATGTTCCCCTCCCTGTGTCCATGTGTTCTCATTGTTCAACTCCCATTTATGAGTGAGAACATGTGGTATTTGCTTTTCTGTTCTTGTGTTAGTTTGTTGAGAATGATGATTTCCAGCTTCATACATGTCCTTGCAAAGGACAGGAACACATCATTTTTTATGGCTGCATAGTATTCCATGGTATATATGTGCCACATTTTCTTTATCCAGTCTATCATTGATGGACATTTGAGTTGGTTCCAACTCTTTGCTATTGTGAATAGTGCTGCAATAAACATTAATGTGTATGTGTCTTTATAGTACAATGATTTATAATCTTTTCAGTATATACCCACTAATGGGATTGCTGGGTCAAATGGTATTTCTGGTTCTAGATCCTTGAGGAATCGCCACACTGTCTCCCACAATGGTTGAACTAATTTACCCTCCCACCAACAGTGTAAAAACATTCCTATTTCTCCACATCCTCTCCAGCAAATGTTGTTTTCTGACTTTTTTGTGATCATCATTCTAACTGGCATGAGTTGGTATCTCATGGTGGTTTTGATTTGCATTTCTCTAATGACCAGTGATGATGAGCTTGTTTTGATGTGTTTGTTGGCTGTATAAGTGTCTTCTTTTGAGAAGTGTTTGTTCATATCCTTAGCCCAATTTTTGATGGGTTTTTTTTTTTCCTTGTAAATTTGTTTAAGTTCTTTGTAGGTTCTGGATATTAGCCCTTTTTTGGATAGATAGATTGCAAACATTTTCTCCCATTCTGTAGGTTGTCTGTTCACTCAGATGATAGTTTCTTTTACTGTGCAGAAGCTCTTCAGTTTAGTTAGATCCCATTTGTCAATTTTGGCTTTTGTTGCCATTTCTTTTGGTGTTTTAGACATGAAGTCTTTGCCTATTCCTATGTCCTGAATTGTATTGCCTAGGTTTTCTTCTAGGATTTTTATGGTTTTAGGTCTTACATTGAACTGTTTCATCCATCTTGAGTTAATTTTTGTAAAAAGTGTAAAGAAGGGATCCAATTCCTGTTTTCTGCATATGGCTAGCCAGTTTTCCAAACACCATTTATTAAATAGGGAGTTATTTCCCCATTGCTTGTTTCTGTTAGGTTTGTCAAAGATCAAATGGTTGTAGTTGTGTGGCACTATTTCTGAGGCCTCTGTTCTGTTCCATTGGTCTATATCTCTGTTTTGGTACCAGTACCATGGTTATTCTTATAGTTTCTTATGGCATACATAATTGATTTTACAAGATTTAAAACTACAGGTTTAAAAGTTTTTTCCAATTCTGTGAAGAAAGTCAATGGTAGCTTGATGGGAATAGTATTGAATCCATAAATTACTTTGGGTAGTATGGCCATTTTCACAATGTTGATTCTTCGTACCCATGAGCATGGAATGTTTTTCCATTTGTTTGCTTCCTCTCTTATTTACTTGAGCGGTGGTTTGTAGTTCTCCTTGAAGAGGTCCTTCATATCCCTTGTAAGTTGTATTCCTAGGTATTTTATTCTCTTAGTAGCAATTGTGAATGGGAGTTCACTCATGATTTTGCTCTCTGTTTGTCTATTATTGGTGTATAGGAATGCTTGTGATTTTTGCACATTGATTTTGTATCCTGAGACTTTGCTGAACTTGCTTATAAGATTAAGGAGATGTGGGGCTAAGAAGATGGTGTTTTCTAAATATACAATCATGTCATCTGCAAACAGAGACAATTTGACTTCCACTCTTCTTATTTGAATACGGTTTATTTCTTTCTCTTGCCTGATTGCCCTGGCCAGAACTTCCAATACTATGTTGAACAGGAGTGGCGAGAGAGGGCATCCTTGTCTTATACCGGTTTTCAAAGGGAATGCTTCCAATGTTTGCCCATTCAGTATGATATTGGCTGTAGGTTTGTCATAAAAAGCTCTTATTATTTTGAGATACATTCCATTGATACCTAGTTTATTGAGAGTTTTTAGCATGAAGGGGTGTTGAATTTTGTCGAAGGCTTTTTCTGCATCTATTTAGATAATCACGTAGTTTTTGTCATTGGTTCTATTTATGTGATGGATTACGTTTATTGATTTGCATATGTTGAAATATCCTTGCTTCCCAGGAATGAAGCCAACTTGATCATGGTGGATAAGCTTTTTGATGTGTTGCTGGATTTGGTTTGGCAGAATTTTATTGAGGATTTTCTTATCAATGTTCATCAGGGATATTGACCTGAAATTTTCTTTTTTTGCTATGTCTCTGCCAGGTTTTGGTATTAGGAAGATGCTGGCCTCATAAAATGAGTTAGACATGATTCCCTCTTTTTCTATTGATTGGAATAGTTTCAGAAGGAATGGTACCAGCTCCTCTTTGAATCTCTGGTAGAATTCGGCTGTGAATCTCTCTGGTCCTGGACATTTTTTGGTTGGTAGGCTATTAATTACTGCCTCAATTTCATGACTTGTTGTTGGTCTATTCAGGAATTTGACTTCTTCCTGGTTTAGACTTGGGAGGGTGTTATGTGTCCAGGAATTTATACCTTTCTTCTAGATTTTCTAGTTTGTTTGTGTAGAGTTGTTTATAGTATTCTCTGATGGTAGTTTGTATTTCTGTGGGATCAGTGGTGATATCCCCTATATCATTTTTTATTGTGTCTATTTGATTCTTCTCTCTTTTCTTCTTTATTAGTTGGGCTAGTGGTCTGTTTTGTTGATCTGATCTTTTCAAAAAACCAGCTCTGAATGGTGATCATTAAAAAGTCAGGAAACAGCAGATGCTGGAAAGGATGTGGAGAAATAGGAACGCTTTTACACTGCTGCTAGGAGTGTAAATTAGTTCAACCATTGTGCAGGACAGTGTGGTAATTCCTCAAGGAACTAGAACTAGAAATACCATTTGACTCAGTAATCCTATTAGTGGGTATATACTGAAAAGATTATAAATCATTGTACTATAAAGACACATACACATTAATGTTTATTGCAGCACTATTCACAATAGCAAAGAGTTGGAACCAACTCAAATGTCCATCAATGATAGACTGGATAAAGAAAATGTGGCACATATATACCATGGAATACTATGCAGCCATAAAAATGATGTGTTCCTGTCCTTTGCAAGGACATGTATGAAGCTGGAAATCATCATTCTCAACAAACTAACACAAGAACAGAAAACCAAATACCACATGTTCTCACTCATAAATGGGAGTTGAACAATGAGAACAATGGACACAGGGAGGGGAACATCACACACCAGGGCCTGTCAGAGGGTGAGGGACTAGGGGAGGGATAGCATTAGGAGAAATACCTAATGTACATGACAGGTTGATGGGTGCAGCAAACCACCATGGCATGTGTATACCTATGTAAAAAGCTGCACTTTTTGCACATGTACCCCAGAACTTAAAATATATAAAAAAAGAAACATAAAACAAAGTTTTAAAAATATTGTGATTTAAGCACATTATTTTTTATGTATCAGTATATCCAGTTATATTTTTGGTAATTAGGTGGGCATGAAGGAGATGTGAGATCTGATTGTTTAACAAAGGAAAACAAAAGATGGTAATAAGTTTATTTCTGGGCATAGTAAAGTTATATTTAAGAGCTCTTCCAGCATAGAGGTTCTTAATTAAACATCAATAAATGTGCTCCCCTATAACCATGAGTTATATACAATGTTACATCCTGTTATATATCAAGTAGATTTATCCACTTGTGCTTATTAGACTTATAGGTTACCATGTTAGCTTTGTTAGAATTCAGAGTTTTCAGTTAGGTTAGCTGCTTTATAATGGATTATAAATTAAATAATTTCTAAAATCTAATGTGGGAGAAAACCAAGAAAATATTAATGTATCTTATTATTTCATCATTCTAGCTCTGTTCATTACAGTGGCTTGGAAACATTTCCACAAGTTATAAAGATATTTATCTCTAAAACTTAACTTTTTATTGCTAATGTTTTCTTCTAAAATGAACCTGAGCTTATCCGAATACCTTATTGCAATAAAGCAAGATTATGTAAATTTTATGAAAGCTTTTGTTATTTAAAGAACACAGCTACTTCATCTTCCATTGGTGGGTTTCTGATAAATTTCACTTTAAGAATATCACATATATTCAATTGAAAATCAGTTACACTGGCCACAAACCAATCAAAATAAAAGCTATGTGGCCATGCTAACCCTCAAAAAAAAAAAAAAATTACTCTACTTTCATAGTACTATACTCAGATTGATTTTATGAGGAATATAAAATTTGTTAATGTTTATTAGTATTTATCTTTACCAGCTTATAAAAATAATCACACATGTTTACCCTCAGAAACAAACTTAGTAGTGTTTCAGACTCCAAATGGTTTTGTCCACCAATTACAACAAAGGCTTATGCTATCCACTCCAACTTGTACAAATGATAAGCGTAGGAAGGATTCTCAAGCATCTCTTTACAAATGAAAAAATAAAGAAGAATGCATTAATGAGGTATGTTAAGACATTTCATTCAATGCTGCAGTGATTAGGGTAGTTCATAGTTATTCCATTTATTTTCCTCTGGGCTTGTGGTGGATATCCTTTTCCACTTCCTTCCACATAAATTTCCATAGCCAATGATGTGTGTCACTTCTGGAAGAAGGCTTTAAGATCTAGTATGCAATTTGGTGCCTTTGCTTTTATTATTGAGTCAATAATTCTCAGAATATGGGAACAGGACCTCCCTAATTGGAACAGCATGGGACAGATCCCTCTAGGGATGACAGATATGTGTACATTGTGAGTTAAATAAAACAAAGATAATTATATTTGTTGCTATAATATAATTTACCCATACTCTCTATACAGTCACATAAGCTAGAGTTTCTACTGTTTAAGTTATGGAGTAAACTGACAATAATTGGGCTACAAATAAAATCAAGCTAAGTAAAAGAACAAGCCAGGCTTTATCCATAACAACTACAAAAAAAGTTATGAAGACCTCCACTCCCAGGTAAATTCTTCACAAAGTAAGAAAATGTCTACTTTAGACAGTGTCAGGTCTTCAAGGCAACTTTGTGGGTGTTCTTTGCATTGGGGTACATCATGCTTCTTTTTTCTTGACAATTAGCCAGACTCATCTTATGAGTAATGTTAAAAACTGTGAAAGATAGAGCAAGGGAGACATAAAGCTCTAGTCCTCAGACAAAACAACAAAAAAATTACTTAAATGACAACCACTCAAGTAATCCATGTATGGTGGTTACTTTGAAGACTATTTATTGCTGGCACGAGTATTATAAACTAGTGAAAATATGTGTTTAAAGAACAAAAGTTTGCCAAAACAGAGAAAACTGCTAAATTTGAATGCATTAGCTATGATAAATGCTCTGTCTTTTATCTGACATTTATTATCAACACAGAGACCTTAGTATAAATACGTTAATAATTGAAACATAGTTAAATAAAGGCGACTTCAAGTGAAAAACTACTTTAGTTATGCTAAATATGGAATACATAAATCTTTTTCTATGTAAGTGCTCATACCCACAACAGAGATAACAAAGCCTGCTGTTTTGACCAAATGATAGAAGAAATAATGCAAGACAGTAATGCTCTTTATATAATTTCATCCAGCAAAACAGTCAAACCAGTAAAAATAAGCAAGAAATTTAGCTAAAGGATATAATGTACAAAATATTCTTTTGATTAATCCTCCACATTTTTTATAAAACACAACTATTTAAAGGCAGTGTAAAGTAACCCAGAAAAGAAAGAAATTGCCTCAAAAGAAGGTAATCCCACTACATTTATGTTTTTTTCCTCTAAGGAAATTCCCCAGTCAGGTAATGCAAAGCAGCCAGATTGATGCTACACCAGAAAATAATTACATAATTCCTAGCAACCAAAAAAACAGGAACCTTAGAGTAATGTGATATGTTGTCAATAAGACATAATTGCCCTTGAAATATTGTTCATACTTTTTTATCTATATATGCATGTTTTACAGCCAAATTTCTTTCCCTACCTAAGTAATTTAAATATTTAAGTTAAAGGGGCATTTAAGAGAGGATCAAAATATCATCATTAGTGTAATAAAGATCAAATTGAAACAAGTGGTTTATGTGTAGATCAATAATGGACAAAGTAGGAAGACTTACTCAAGCATTCATTGCAACTCTCTAATACTGAGCTATTCCATGGCTGTAACTAGACCAGTGAATATGTTGTGAACTGACAAAAATCTCCATCCTCCCCTCTCCCGCAAAAAAAAAAGGGTTAAAAAGTGACTGAGAGGGTGAAATGAGACTCCCCATAATTGGTACAAACATTTTTGCTGAGACACTTTCTAATTATTAATTAAGCAAGTGATATGAAAAACAAATCAGTAATACAAAACAGAGAAAACTTTGCATATATGTACCAAAAATTGTGAAAGAATATTTAGAGCAGCATTGTCTTTAATATAAAATATATATATTAACTTGAGAATAGATAAATATACTTAGCATATCTACACAAAGGAATACTATCCACCTTTGGATATATGTGAATAAATAAGTTGTATGTAAATTGAATGTATCTCATAAATGTTATAGAGTGATATAAATAAGTTGCAGAATATAATTGCCATTATTTAATTTACATAATATATAAAGGAGAGAAATAAAAGTATAGATGGTTTAAGAATACGTATATACAATATGAGAAATGCATTAGAGTAATCTAAACCAAATTCAGAATAGTGGTTGCTTATGATGCAAATGAAGGAATGAAATCAAGGAAATTTATACAGAAGGCTGTAATGATATTGGAAAGAGAGTACTTCTCTGCTTAATGTTTGTCAGATACATTTTAAATACTCTTTAAAAAAATACAAATAAATAATTTAACCAACTGTAAAGGAGAAAGTTAGAGACTATCTGTTATCATAAAATATAAGTTAAAAGCTGTATTTATTTTCCATTTGATAGTGGTTTATTTATCATTTTATGGCAGAATATTTCTTTGGGATAACTATTACATAGGTCATATTTTGGAAAACTCTAAGTAAGTAACTTATTCCAGTAAAGTCTTATGAAGTTCTAAAAATATAGGCCAAGATTAGTAGCATATTCTACAGAGAATAGAAGCCATTTAATATAGGAAGAAATGGTCCTAGAAGACATAATAGCTCCTGAGGGTGTCACTGTACTAAAACATGGCACAAAACTTGCCATAAAACTGACCAGCAAAATATCATGCTGTAAGTTACCTTCTTATATGTTTCCGAGGGGACATTATGAAAAAGGTATTGGGAGACAGTAGAAAGTGATGGTTAAAATGAGGGTTTTCGAATCACAGTGCGTGATTGTGAATCATGGTTCAAACACTTGTTTGTTTTCTGATTTGGGGAAAGTTAATTATATCATCGAGCCTTAAATTCCTGAGCAATAAAATGAAGTTAGTATAGTCTCTAAGTCGTAGAATTATTAAAGGGTTTCCATGAGATAAGACAGAAAATTCTCAGTGCTTCTGAAGGCACTTTAATGAATTGCTCAATACATGTTTATTTTTATTATCAAGCTTCTGTAGAGTTGATCTTTAACATAATTATCTAGAGGTGTTTCACATTTTTTTATTTTAAAATAAACATACATTGTAATTTAATTAAATACATGTTTTACTAAAAATGTAGTAATTGTCAGTCTTGGGATTGCTCAAAATGAATCACTTCCTCTAAACGTGCCAACCAATAACCTGCACAAATGCGATCACATTCTGTAAAATGGTAGTATTATTCCGCTTTTTAAAAGTCAAACTTCTGGTCTCCTGACTAGACCAAAAAGGAATCAAGAGCAAACGACTAAGAAAAACTGCATTTGGATAAATAAAATAGAGAATAGTTAACCAAGAACAATTACCCTTATAGTTACACTCTAAAGCGCCACAGAATTTAATCGAGAAAGAAGAGCTCAGGCCCATACTTTTAGACTACTTATTACATTAAATACTAGCAGGCTTGTTTTTTCTTATTTTACAGTCCTTATATTATTAATAACTGTTAATTATAAGATCACAACCATGGGATATATTTATGGTAGTAAGAAGCTTGATAGATCATATAACAAGATGGATACATACAAAGATAAAAGTTGAGGCCACATTTAATTTGTCTTTCTAGTACCCAGTATTAATTACCTGAAATACATTAAGTATAAGCAAGTATTTTATAAACACTTCTTGGTAAATAATTGTGATGTAAATTTTAAAATTAAAGCAGAGAAAGCCACAAGAAATGATCTGAAAGTAATAAATGTCCAGAAAATAGCAATATATGCTTTTATACCTTGAATTCATCAAAATATTATATGCAAATAAATATTTAAAATGCTGACATGTTTCAAGAAGTGGTGAAATGGAAGTCAGTGAACTCTGTATTAGGAAGCAATAGTAGTTGTTAAAGGAAGTTCACTTAAGTAATTTATAAAATCTGAAATAAAGTTATCTGAAGATTCTAGACAGCAGAACTTTGATACCTAATTATTTGATTTATAAAAATAATAAAAAATATTTAATATTATGGTATTAAAGTGGCATGACAGCTAGCATGGGGAATAGATTGCTATCCTTTCTGCAGTCTTTCAACAGATAACAGTTGTCTTACAGGTAGCTAATTCATTTCTTTCATGTTAGAAGCCTTTGGTTATGAACAGATAATAAATGAATGCCTTTGACATGAACATTAAGAATAGGCTTCATACTCAAATATCCTTCATTCTTTTACTCCAGTATTTACCATCCAGTAATATAGATGTCCCTTTCTAATTTTCTGAAGACATTACGTTTTTACT